>NC_000024.10:17160053-17769601 GCF_000001405.40 Homo sapiens
GGAATAGAAGACCAGTCTGGCCAGCATGGAGAAACCCCATCTCTACTAAAAATACAAAAATTAGCTGGGTGTGATGGTGCACACCTGTAATCCCATGTACTCAGGAGGCTGAGGCAGAAGAATCAATTGAACCTGGGAGGCAGATGTTGCAGTGACCTGAGATCATGCCACTGCACTCCAGCCTGGGCGTCAGAGCAGGACTCTATCTCAAAAAAAAAAAAAAAAAAGAAATCTTGCAAACATGTAAAAGAATGCCATACTTCTCAGTATTTTTTTTTTATTTTTTGCCTTGAAACATGTAGTTATTTTCACCAAAATATGGTGTTTATTAATTTGTAATATTTATTATTGCCATTTTAAAATTAGTTTATATATATTTTTAATTCTCAGTTTTAACATACACAGTGGTACATATTGGACAGGTAAATCTACATCAACTAATCTCTCTCAAAAAGTTTGAAGAATGTAAAGAGATTTTAGGGAGTTTGATAAATGCTACTCAGGAATATACTTGACCTGTTAGAAGCTTTTATAAATTTATTTTGTTCTCAATTTCTGCCACTCTGCTTGAGTCTTAAATGTGTCTTGGGAGGGTCAGATTTGCTTTAAAGGATACTCCAATCCTAAAACTCACATGGGATTCCTACTATCTGATGGTTTAATCTACTTTTTCATTCAGTAACTTCTAACTGATACCAAAAACTACAGTGAACCAGTTTCTGTGTTGTTTTGACTCCACTGATCCTTCTGCTTGTTTCCATCATTTGTTCTTCACAATTGCCCACCGAGGTAAGCGGTAGCAAGATTTTGATAAAAATTCAAGTCAGGCTAAGAAACTGTGAAGACAAATTCAAGTCAGGCTAAGAATGACTACGAAGTGAGTCATTCTTGCCATATCCAATGAAAACAAGAGTCAAGAGACCAGGAGGAAAAAGCACTCAGGGCACAGAGGATTGCTCCAAAAAGTGGAATTCTTTGCAGGTCCAGCAGCTAAAACTACCTGCTGTGATCTAAAACAGGTTTTATCTACCGGTTGCTGAAACAACCAACTATGGCTGCCTTCACTGACAAATCGAAACTTGCCCCCTCCCCAAAACCTTACTAGTGCTAATGAACTTTCTCAAAGAGGAATACATAACATTTCTCCTTTTCCTAAGACTTCTAACTTTCTCTTTGTTCATTAGATACCATGAAGAGAAGCAGGTCTATGTATCTGCCCTGAACTGCAAGTATGTCTTCCCAAAGAAATGTTTTAATTTTAGATATATACATCTGTATTTATTTGGCTTTACAAAACAAAGGCTTAGGGGTCCGATAGCCTGTACACAGCCACTTAACTCAGAAGAGATTTGCTTTATCCAAAGTCAGAATTCTGAATCTCAATAGCAGTATCCCTTTTCAGCAGTGGAATGAAAATTTTGAGGCCATATCTATTTGTAATAGGCAGAACCATTTCCATTAGTGATCAGTGATGGTTGGGCTAATTCAAAATATATTAAGAAACAGTAATTCTAATTGAAGCATACACACATGTATTATTCTTATGTGGTATAAAAATGTCAGACTTTTCTGAGGTATGAATATCAAATATATAAGAGAAGAAACATGTTTTATATGTACTTTAAATACATTCTCAGATAAAAGAATGTTTGATCCAAAAAGAAGGAAATTTAATGCAATGTGTGTTAAGTACCTCCAACCTGCTCTGAATTATCTAAAAACTGTCAGAAATGAAATGATGAGTAAAAATAGTCATTGTTCTCTGGAATTCATTGTTAGGTAGGGGACAATGATATGCCCACAAGTAGGTCTATTCTAAGGCATATTGAGTTAAGTGTCATTTTTCATTTTTCTGGTTAAAAGACAATAGGTATAATGTGTTAGGAATAATTCTATCAAAATGGATAAGAAGACAGCTTTACCTAGTTCTTTGCATTTATAATTAACAGAGTCCTTTTAGATAGAGTTTAATGTTAAAAGAAAAAAGAGTAGGAAAGGATAACTTTTAGCTGGGGAATGGGGAAAGAAAACAATATAATCCATGAAAGAAATAGCATTTCAGCATTCACTTGAAGATGGCTAGAATGTTGAAAGCTGTAGCTGGAGAAAGATATTCTAGGAAAGTGGAACAATATCAGCAATTATTTGCTGTTCACTGAGTTTGAAAATTAAGTGAATCAGAGAGCTTAGCAAGTGCAATTACTATGCCTGGACCATGTGAAATCCAGATTAAATTGGGTGAAGAAATGACTTGGGAGTGAATAAATAGCAACAGAGTAAAGAAAGAGAATAGCTGTAAAAAGATAGAGCCACTGGGTTGAGAGATTATTATTGTTATTGTAGTTTTTGGACAAAACTCAAGAGCTTCAACTCTTTCTCATAGCAGTAAAACCAAAAGCCTTGCCTGATTTTCAATATGTATGATTTAGAGTATGTATTTAATATAAGATTCCAGGAATGTAATGACAGGTGGCAAAAATACTTGAACAAAAAGGAAAGATGTGTGATGCCTCTGGTCCTTGAAAGTATATTTCTTACACACCCTCTTTGACAGGGAAGAAGAGTGAAAAATTTTTAGTTTCATAAGCACTCAGAAGTATTCAAATCCTGATTTTGCTTCAACATGTTAAACTGAATAGTGGTTTGTAAAGAATTTTTGAAGTTATTTGTACTTCAATACTTAACAGAAAGTCAGGGCTAAGTCCTCTAATCTTGTTTAGACATAAAATCTGGGGGTTGAAATGTTGCAAACCAAAGATGATAATGTCTTTGGTGAATGTATAACAACTCAATATTGTATATGTCTCTAATTTCTAATTTCAGATGGACACAAAAAGATTTTATGTACACATTATATATATATGTATTATATGTGCATATATAAGTACACGTACCCTTACATATATAAAATATATGTATATAGATATATATGAAAATTTATTTGAATAGATACACATAAATGCATTTTATATATCTTAGGAAAGTAAACTTGTATTTATACACAATCAGTCTTCACTTAATGTTGTAGACAGATTCTTGGAAACTGCAAATTTAAGAGAAATGACATAATGAAATATTTTT
Source organism: Homo sapiens (assembly GCF_000001405.40). Taxonomy (NCBI): domain Eukaryota; kingdom Metazoa; phylum Chordata; class Mammalia; order Primates; family Hominidae; genus Homo; species Homo sapiens. The sequence goes on from NC_000024.10 coordinate 17,163,135, forward strand.
TTCCTCATAGACATTGTAATGTAACAAATTTGAAAGAAAATAATATTAATCAAGAATCTGCTATGTGTTGTTTTTCTTAAAGTTGCAAGTTCCAAGAACCAATTGATGATATTGTGTGAGGACTTACTGTGCGTGTATATATATATATATATGTATATATATACATATATATACTTACTCTGTTTGTATATATACACACACACACATACTGTATATATATATACATAACATGTATATATACACATATACATATACTGTGTGTGTATATATATGCACATATATATACACATACACACATATACGCACACACACGATGTTACTGAGGACTTACTATGTATGTGTGTGTGCACATGCTACTCCCACATTGTATATTTGAATAAATCAACTAATTGTGTAAATTATGTTAGTGTATTCCCTTTGGAGTAAAGGTATTCCAGGAGATTGATCTAGAATCCCTATTAAATAACAAGAATAGAACTAGCTACAAAAACACATTTAATGCATTTGTAAATTTACAAAAGTAAATTATTCACTATTTTTGTATTTTTGAGAAAAAAAATTTGCCATTAGCAACATAAAACAATTCAAAGCTAGACAGCCTGAAAAGATATAGGGAAGCTAAATGAGAGATATTCACCTACTTTAATGGAAATGACATCATGCCCAGGTCTACTAAGTACTAGTTTTAATGTATAGCACATTTTACAAGATCCAAAACTCCTTACACTTTAGAGGCACAATTACATTTTAGGGGAAGAGGATTGCTGAATACACAATATTCTTTCCTCCTGCTGAATGAAATGTAGAGTGATAATACCCTTTCTGGACCTGCTGCCTTGGATGTATGTAGTCCATTAATGAAGGACTTGTTTTGAACTGATCAAGTCCTCCTGATTTTTAAGCCATTGTAAGTTTTCCTGTTAGAAAGATTTGGCATAACATAACCATGCTGAAGTTTTCCCTCTGACAACTTTACATATCATGTAGGCTTTTTATGTCATTTAAGTGTTCAATGACTCATTAAAAGCATTTCTTCAAACAAATTGCTGATATTCTTTCCCTTCTGTTTCATAGATCTTACTATAAAATGTGTTTACATAGCATTAGTTGAATGATGCAAAATGTGCAATGTAGCAACATTGCCCTGGAAAATGTATACGGCACCAACCAAGATTGACCTTAGTAAAGTTGCAATATTAAGCATAAGCCACCATAAAATGGAAATAAAAACTTAGGCTGAGCGCTGCTGTTCTTGTCCACTTAATGCTGACTATATCAAAAAAGAAGGGATGGAATTCCTAAGTTTATTTTTACATGGATTTCTTGATTATTAATCAAAACAATATTTATCAAGGTATATATTATGGTGGTTGTATAATTATGGTAACTTCCTAAAAATTAGCTGGAACATCTGTATTAGGACTATATTTGGTTGTTTTTGTGATTATGTACCATTAATGTAAAATGAGTCAAACCTCAAGCCCTTGAGATCATACCAAAGAATATTGCACAATTAGAGGTTAGACAATTTTTAAACCAGAGATTTATTCATAATTTCTAAACACTGATTCTGTTTATGGCTTTCAAATGGCATTTGTTAACATGATAAATACATGTGCTATGTGTGTTTAGGGGAACATGTATCCACACACATGCACATATATTTATGTAGAGTGTTAAGTGAACTCAATAGTTTTATGTTAATTTAATGAAACTTACACTCTTTCACACACACACATATATATAAATTGTCCACTTAATTAGATGCCTGCAATTCAACTTTCTGTCTCCAGACCTAAGTGTCAAGTAAATTAAGCATGAAGGTAGCATATTCACATTCTCCAAATCCCTCTTCATTTTTTAATATCTCTTTAAGCTCTGTTCTTAATGTTCCTCCTAGAATTTTCCAGGCTAAGTAAGCAAAATATTAATTATCACAGAAACCTTTGAAGGTTCCTAGGACCCATTTTAGTTTCTCGGATTTGAGGCATTCTCAAAGCCTCACTTGCTTGTATGAGGTAGACAAGATACCTCACTGAGCTCTGGGGATCAATCGTATTTCTTCCTTCTGAGATTCTCTGCTGAAAAATGGAATGTTCTACTGACCAGATCAATATTTTCTTCAAGAGATGTCTTGAGACTTGGCTTCTCCCTGAAAATAAAATGTTTAAACTACAAAATACTTAATAATGTAGACCGTTCTACCTAAAGTAAATTAAGCGGATTCTATTGTCTGCCAATGAAAAGTCGTTGTCTATTGGTTCCTGTAACAGATGCGGATAAAACAGCCTCAAGGTAATGGGAATTTTAGGTGGGTCCTTTTTATTTGAACTGACACTTGGATGTTATGGTAAAAGTCACCTAAATTGTTAATTTCAAAGCAATGCATAGTGAAAGAACTGGTTTGATTGTGTACATGACTGTTGCAATGAATCATTTTAATAGGATCTAGGAATACCGGGACAGTGGAATATGCTGGCTACTTCTTACTGCGCTCTAGAATGTTAAGGAACAAAAGTCACTGGTTCAAAATGTTAATTTCTCAGCTCATGGAATAGCTAGGATATTAATAACTTTATTATCACGGACTTTAAAGAAAAGATCTGATTTCTGTCACCCTGGCTGCAGCGCAGTTGTCCCTCCCGGTTTACTGCAACCTCGGCCTCTCAGATTCAAGCAATTCTCCTGCATCAGCCTCCCATGTAACTGGGATTACAGGCAGGCACTATCACGCCCGGCTAACTTTTTATGTTTTTAGTAGACAGGTTTTCACCATGTTGGCCAAACTGGTCTCATACTCCTGAGCTCAGGTAATCTGCTTGTCTCAACCTCCCAAAGCCCTGGGATTACAGGCATGAGCCAATGAGCCCAGCCAAAAGATCAAATTTCTTATAGGCCCAGAATTGGTGTATCTGAAATTCCAAAGAGGAGTATTATACTGTGATTTCAACAAAAGATTAATTATGGATTTTCTAAGTCTCTTGTGAAGTTGATGAGGAAAGTATGTGACTCCAAGAAGTGTATTGCAAACCTTTCAGACTACCCTAATGTATCGTTGCTCAGGAAACTCAAGAAACTTTGATGAGGCTGTCTCTGCCTTGTTTGAAGAACTTGTAATATCCTCACCTGATCTATTACATCACCTGAAGTATATTACCTGAGATGTTACCTGATAAGGAAGTGCAAATTTTCTTCATACCCTACCCTTGTGACTTCTTGTGGTCTCCAGACCTATAATGAGAGTCAGATCCTAGCAGGCTCTGTGTTTACTTGCATAGATGAATCCAGGAAGAAAAGAAATTTACACCATAAACAAATCCAGGAGGAAGAGAAGTCTACACCATAGATGAATCCAAAGAGAAGAGAAGTCTGCACCACAGATGAAACCAGGAGGAAGAGAAGTCTACACCACAGATGAATCCAGGAAGAAGAGAAGCCTACACCGTAGGTGAATCCTGGAACAAGAGAAGTACACCAAAATAGGGCACTATTTTGCAGGGTTTTTTTTTTTTTTTAAATCTGCAAGCCCAGGGAATATGTGTGGAAATAGGAATATATTCTAATCATGCTAGCCAAGGTAAAAAGAAAAAAGTTGTAAATCAATAAGAATTTATTTCCATAGTTGCATCTACGAGAGGATCTGAGAGGGTTTTTAACTGTTTGATCTGTTGGTGATTGAATGTTAAATAAACATAGATGTCAGAAAGCCCCTGCAGCAATAGGAAAGGAGGAATCAGAAGACTTTTGGTGAAAGTTTGGGTGGATCTAGCATATGGGATCCACATATCTGACATCTTTGTTCCCCAGGAGGGCTTGATGCTTTCTCTCTTTATAAAAGCATCAAGAAATTTATGAAGAAGGGAAAAACCTGCTCCTGGCAAATGGGTTCCCTTATCTGCCCTTGTGAATGCAGGAAATGAAGGTTTTGTTTGTGAGTCATTTGAAACAGGTTCACTAAGTCATGGGAAGTAGGAAACAGGCAAGACCAAGGGAGATTGTTTAACCATTAGACATTAATAGCAGAAGAGGCACTGGGCAGTCTGTAGACCAGAATGTTTTATTCGCAGAGATCTTTGTTGCAGGTTAATTTATCGTGGCATCCCTAGGAACCCAATATATGGAGAGAGCCTACGTTGTTGTCCACCACGGGGAAATAAAATAGGGGTAAGTGGGTGTTTCTCTTGGACACCGTGATCCTGAGTCATGGACCCTCAACCATATCCAGACCTCAGTTATTTCATGACTAAAAATCTTTTGAATGGTGTCCTTAAAGAGAGAGACCTTGATAACATCCAAAGCACTTTATCCAAGTGATTGGAAGCCATTAACAGAAGTTCACATGAGAAAAAAAAAATTTAGGCTCTTTCAGGATTTATAGATCATTGGCTCAGAGTTAAGCACATGTCCCTGGTGACTTGGAATGCTTCTAGGGTAGCTGAGTCAGAATGAGGACTCATTGGGCTGGCTGTTAGGGGGGTCACTTAAATAGAATTGTAATGTGATTGTATCTCACAGTGAGCAAAATAGGTTCAAACCATCCTGCCATTGTATCTTATGTTTCAGAATATATATTATGAGTGTATATACTTATCACCTTCTAGGGACCCCCAACATTGGCTTTCTAATCTTCAAGTGATGATTATGGCAGGAGATATGACAGGTGCCTTCCTTTTACCAAAATGACAAACCCAACCAAGAAGACATCCCTGAAAAATGAAATATTGGGGCCATCATCAGAGATCTAACATACAGAAATCTTTGATCTATACCTTTTGTATAGAATTGTATTCTACTCAAAATTCATATGCTGAAATTCTAACCCACAGTACTGCAGAAGTTGACAGTATTTGGAGACAGTTTCTTTAAGGAGGTAATCTTGCCATGGATATAATTTCAAGGAGACCTCTTGGGGCTCATTTGCTAAGAGCAAATCACTATCATGATGGATCTACCAATTTTACTTACTATTTGCTTTTCATTTCCCCTCTAAGTTTGCATAGGACGTTGGTAGAGTAATCTCACCATTTAGTTCTTAGCTTCTAAGAAGTCGATGTGAGATTGTGATTTACCTACAGGAGGAACAAACAAAACCCAGGGGAAGGAGAGTATGCAAAGTAGAGTAGCCAAAGAAAGGTTCTGAGACAGATATTGATCATCAGCTTATTTTTCACCAGCCTTAATCTCTTTCTAGAGGCCTTACTTCATCTTCTATATGGAATGGAAATCTTGATTCCCTTGTGGCTGGGTTTCCTTATTTTCCCCATTTTGCACCCAGTAGATGCAACCGCATGACATTTGGGAACTGGAATTGAGGAACATGAAATAGAGGAAGCATTGAAGGACATAAGCTATTGGGGTTGAGGTATTTGTTTCCTCTTAGGAAGTTAAAGCAGAGGTTCTTTGTGGTTAAAAAATATCTTAGTGTGAATTTTTCAAAGATCAATTTCCTTGGACTGATTCTTTTCTAGAGAACCTTATAGTTGGTTCTTCCACAACGTCAGATATTCAGGTACTTATTTCTATGTGAGTGTCATTCTTGACTCACATAGTCAATGCAACATGCAACATAGGACAAAGAAGAATGTGGATACACTCATTTTTAGTGGCTTGTCCAACACTTTTTTTAAAGTGTTATGAATAGTTATTCTTTTTTTGTATTATTATACTTTAAGTTCTGGGATACATGTGCAGAATGTGCAGGTTTGTTACGTAAGCATGCACATGCCATGGTGGTTTGCTGCACCCATCAACCCATCATTTGCATTAGGCATTTCTCCCAGTGCTAGCCATCTGCTAGTCCTCCACCCCCTGACAGTCCCCAGTGTGTGACAGGCCTCCCTGTGTCCATGTGTTTTCACTGGTCAACTCCCAATTATGAGTGAGAACATGCAGTGTTTGGTTTTCTGTTCTTGTGTTAGTTTGCTGAGAATGATGCCTTCCAGCTTCATCCATGTCCCTGCAAAGACATAAACTCATCCTTTTTTTGGCTGCATAGTATTCCATGGTGTATATGTGCCTCTGATGTTAATGGGTCCATAAGATTCTGTGTTCACAAAGCCAGTTCACTTAAAATGCTGCTCATGTGATATGCCAAAGGGAAAGGAGAGTCCAAGACAAATGCATATTGATTTCTACTGATTTTATAAAATGCACTGAAGGGCAAGAAATGTCTAGATGAGCATTCTACCCTTGCCCTTGCCTTAGAAATATCTCAAAGAAGAATAAAAAAGATAAAATGGAGGGAAGATGTCAAACCAAAGGGGACCATGGTGAATAATGCTACAAAGAAGTAGCACATAAGGAGAAATCTGCTTGAATCATAAGTCCTTCCACTGAGAGTCTCAATAGTTAGTATGTAACTATGAGTTCAAAGATAATCACTAAAGAAGTGTTAAATAGTACCAAGGTCTCTTTCAGCCTTGAAGGAGGAAAGTTAGACATAATACCCCCACAGGAACTCAGACTATGTACATGAAGAATTAGAAAGAACTGAAGTTAATGCTTCAGAATACCTGGATTTATGCAACAGAAAAGATAAAATAAACCTCTATGAACAAAGCGAAGTGCCATGAGGCTTTTAGTAAGAAAGGAGATAAGCATTTTTTTCCTTCTCCATAGATATCAAATGCCAGAGTTTGCTTATGAGAACAGGGAGGAGACAAGTCAAGTAAACAATCTATTTTATGAAAATTCATATGATGGAAAAAAGGAGTGGGCCTGTGGAAAGAGAATTATGGTCCAGATGGATCCTCATGTTTACAGAGATGATAAGGGAAGATACTCAAACCAAAAAAGAGCCATCCCTAAATAAACTATTGAAGTACAACATATTTGATAGAAAAGAGTTTACATTCTATGTATCTGGCTCAGTGAATCGTGGTTGAAAGCCAAAGCTAATCTATGCAATAATAGATACCCGACTTGTGTAGCAACTTATGCTGAACTTGAAGATGACCATGTGAGAGGGAAGTCCCAGGGATAGAGGATTGCAGAGCCAGTGGTCATATGTGATTTTCTCGGTCTACCAGCAGGACAATGAACTTTCTGCCGCTACCCTCTCTTCCCAGATCCCAAGTGTGCCTGGCAACGTCTGAGCACCAAAGGGAATACTTGGCATTCAGAAAGAAACTTAATGTCCTTGGTGGCCTCCCAAGGGATTGGTTAGGGTGCCTGTACCTAACATAGTCTGTCCAAACCTAGTTTTGGACCCAAATTCAGGGGTAGACTCCTAGTCATTGAGGAGCATGTAGAACAGATTTTGTTCCTTTTATCATTGTTTTGTTTGCAAGTGGTTTCTGGCATTGGGTAATTTTCATCCTGGTGATTGGTAATCAAACAATGTCATAGCAGGACTGGAATAGACCAAGATATATGCCATGAGATGAACTGGTTACACGATAACCCTTGGGACCAATCACTGATGGCACAAAAAGCATAAGAAAAGTATGACCCTTAAATCTAGGTTAGAAGAGCTCCTGTGCTGATACTTGCTTTCAAGGACTGAATTCTGAACTTCTTCCAGCCACATTCATCTGTGCAAGGACTCCAAGATGTCAAAGCTCTATACCTCAGTTTAGAACCCACTCTGGGTATCTAGGACCATGGATAATCCAGTCCAAATGACTCTCCACCCACTTCCAGAATTAGCATGGCTTGTTCCCTACGTCGTGCCTGTAAAGGATTCTTCTATTCAGAGGAGGGGCCATGTGGTGGCTGCTGGGAGGTCAGAATAAGGACTTGTGTTGTGGTTGGGTGAGCAGAACATAGATGACCTTGTGGGAGGAAAGATGGAATATGGACCCAAGATTGCATATGGGTTCATAATAATGAGGTGAATCAAATATGGATGTGCATGGGCGGGATGGATGGAGCACAAATACCCATGAAGAATGAGTGGAATATAATGGCCATTGTTGGGAGGGATTGATGGAAAATAGACATGAATTGGGAGAGTGGATGGAAACAGATATGCATTAGGGGTTGAATGCCTATGGATGTGTTTTAGGAGGCAGATGAAATAATACAGACGTACAGGCTGGGGTCTCTACCCATGAGTGCTGGAGGAGCTTAGGAGATAGCCTGGAGGTTGGAAGAGAAAGGGACAGGTCTCAGGCTTGACCAGTTCCCCAGACCCCCTCTCTGGTTCACAGCCCCCATTGCCCACCCAGTTTGTACCTATCCTTCCAGGTTGTTATAAAAATGTTTTGTTAACATTGAAATATGGAATATACATTATTTTACCGATTTGCTTGGTTATAACTTTGAAATATGTAGACAAATATTAGGTGAATTGCCTTAGGGTTGTTACCATGGACATGTAAAATAAAAAGCCAAATCTGGTCAGGATCCAAGTCCAGGACTTCCAAATCCAAGTTCTCTGTGTGCCCACTCACTTGCCTCTCAGAATGTGTGGGAAGAGAGAAGAAAGGGTATCAACAATAGATAAAAGAAAGGAGAAGATATTGGACTTAAAAAGGAATGGAAATAATGTCTTCATTATGTATTGTTATGGCATGGCATGTTACATGTTGTTTTCTGTTGTGGTATTGCATGCTCTAATATATGCTATGCTATGTTATGTCATATCAGGTTATGTTATGTGATGTGCTGCACTATGGTAGGTTCTGTGTTATTCTGTGCTATGTTATGACTTATGCTATGCTTTTCTTTGCTATGCTATGTTAGGTTATAAGTTATGTTATGTTATATTTTATGTTATGCTGTTTTATATGCTATGTTGTTATGCTGTGTTACAGACTATGTTATACTGTGATATGTAATGTGATGTTATGCTATGTTATGATTTATGCTGTGTTTTTCTAGGCTTTAATGTGAGATTATATGTTATACTATATTAGGTTGTGTTACATGTTATGCTGTGCTATATTTTGTTTAGTCTATGTTTTATGCTATGATGTTATGTGATATATTTTGGTATATTATACTATTATTTTCTATGCTATGGTATGCTATGGTATGGTATGGTATGGTATGGTATGGTATGGTATGCTATGCTATGCTATGCTATGCTATGCTATGCTATGCTATGCTATGCTATGTTTTATGCCATGATGTATGTGTTAGTGAAATGGGAAAGGATCCCTTGTCTCCTTCACAGGGTGTGTGATGGGAGTATGGCTTACTTCTTCCATGCCCCGCTGCTCAAACCTCTACAGGGCACAAGGCAGGCAGGCTGTAGGGCTCCTACCCCATGGCAGCATCTACACCCCAGTGGGCCTGTGTTAGAGGGTGCTCTTTTAATTTGCCTATAGGCAGTTTTTGTTAACCAGCTTAATTAGACCCTCTACCTTGTTGCAAGGACAGAGGGCTTTCTGTATCCTGGGTTCTTACCTTGGTGTACCAGAAGAATCAGATCACAAATGGGCTTGGAAAATGAGTGCAAAGTTTTATTGAGTGGAAATACATCTCAGCTTATTTGGGAGCCAGAAGGGAGATGGTTTTCCCCTGGAATTGGGTCACTCAGCAGCCCTAGCTCTCCTTGAACTGCCCCAGCCAAACTTACCTTTTCCCACTGGTCAATGGCCTGCCCATGAGCTGGTGCCTGTCCTTGTGCTCTTCTGCCAGTATGCTCCTCTCAACATCCTCTTGATGACCAGCTGCTTAAATCTTCTTCTCCCAATGTGCTCCTCAAGACACCTGATCACCTATGTATTGAATAGGATCTTGGGCTTTTATAGGCTCAGGATAGGGATGTGGCAGGCCAGAGTGGCCTTGGAAAATGCAACATTTGTGTGGGAAAGCAGGAGTGCCTGTCCTCACCTAGGTCTGTGGGGGTGAAGCCCTAGCCAGGGACCTGCCTTTCTCTACCCAGCTCTTCCCTTCCCTACTTCTGTATCATTTAAAGTGATATGCTCTTTCCTTCTCATCATTCTTGTACATTTGGTTTATGTTTAATGCTATGTTACATGTTATGGTAGGCTCTGCTATAATATGTTATATGCCACCTATGCTGTGCTATCTATCATTCTGTTTTGTGTTTTCCTATGCTATGCTATGCTATGCTATGCTACATTTATGCCATGTCATGTCCTCTTATGTCACATTATATGTCACTCTCTGCTAGGTTATGCTGTGTTATATGTTATGCTAGGCTAGGCTATATTATTTTATATGCCATGTGATGTTATGTTATATGTTATGTTATGCTATCCTATGCTTTGTTAGGTGCTGTGCTACATTATGCTATGCCATGTTATGTAATACTTGTTATATATGTTATGTGATGCATGTTAGGTTATACACATTATGTTTTCATATACAATGTATGTTATATGATCCACATTATATAGTGCATATTCTGGTACACATGTAAAAATGCAGTATTTAAAGGACTTTGAAGTAATCAAGGGCAAGTAAAAATTGCTCCAGAGAAGGAAGAACAAGACTTACGACCAGTACAGATTCAGGGAATCCTATAGATTTGAGGCCAAGAAGTAGGGAGCTAAGAAAGTTTCATTTATGACATTACAGGAAAACACAGTTATTTTGTCACAATGGTTGAGGAAATCTAAGGCTGCCTGCAAGAGATAACTTTATATCTAACAGGAGACAGACAGAATTGGGAAAAGATGCCCAGGTATTGAAGAATAAAAATAAACAAGTTCAGAACAGAAAATAGCAAATTAACAATAATGGAAGAGTTTTTCCTTTCAATGTATTCAGGGAAGGGAAAATTGACACTGTAAAAGAAGGCTTAGAACAATGAAATATGAAGACACATCTATTAAGTAAAAAGATAACCTTTTCCACAACATTATGTGAAATCACATTAGGATCATCAGATAAACTGGCAAGGGTAGTCAAGGATACATTTTGCCAATTATTTATGCTACAATAGGAATAGTACAGTTTAGAAAAGTTACTTCCCAGATGGGCTGGATACCCAACATGTGCTGGGAACACCCTCTTATGTGTGGTTGAAAGAACAATGGTAAAACCTCCCATGTGGAACATCTTTTTATTTGCTTTTAAAACTGGGATTTTACATCTAAAGAAGCAGATATTCCACCGAGATCAATGAGGAGGTAGCACAGTGAATGCAAGATGGTAATAGGAAAGCCTAGTTATTCTTAAATAGTTTAAAGACTGTGTTAAAATTATGATGTAAAAAATAAAGTTGTGGCTGGGCACAATGGCTCATGCCTATAATCCCAGTACTTTGAAAGGCTGAGGCAGGAGAATCTCTTGAGGCCAGGAGTTCAAGACCATATTGGGCAACAGTGAGACACCATCTCTAAAAGTAAAAATACAAATAAATTAGCCAGGCATAATGGTGTGCACCTGAAGTCCCAGTTATTTGGAAGACTGAGACAGGAAGATTGCCTCAGACCAGCCTGGGAAGCATGGTGAAAACCTATATCTACAAAAAACAAAAAAAAAAATTAGGTAGGCATGCTGGTGCAAGCCTGTACTTCCAGCTACTTGGAAGGCTGAGGGTGGGAGGATTGCTTCAGTCCTGAGGTGTCAGGGCTGCAGTGAGCTATGGTTGCACCACTGTACCCCAGCTTGGGTGAAACAGTGAGACTCTGTCTCAAAATAAATAGAGAAAGACAGAAAGAAAAGAAAAGAAAGGAAAGTTGTGAATATAAATTATTTTGCTGGGGTTCTTGGGAAAATAAAATACCATGTATACATTCTCACTCAGCATAGCAGTGGAAACTAAATAAATCACATGATAATCCAAATACAGAAACACATGCACTAGGTTGATTATATTGTTTTTGTTAATTTAATACAATGGATGACTTTTTATTAGTGAATAACATAGTAAGTAGCAGGAATTACTTTTCTATTGACTTCCATGATATTTCCTGAAATCATTGGCTGTAACTCCTTTAGAAAAGATAGCCAGTAACAGACTCAGAGACAGTTCTTTTTCAACATTTAATAAAGAATATCAGGCATTGGATACAGAATTTATAAAGAATGGTAATGCTTGTTTAAATCACAATTGTTGGTGCCTTTCTGTTTATCAGAAACCCAAACCATTCTGAGGCCTTTATATATTTTGGAGATGAAAGAGTGAAAAACATGAACACACCAGAACTGAGACTATATTAAAATCAGAGTACTGAATATTATAATTTCTTTCTCAGCCAAAGAAAATGGTTCTTTGAAGCCATCCAGCCTTGTAAACAAATTGTGCTAATGTGCTAGGGTTTAGTGGAGAAGGGACATCATTAAATGGTTTTCTATGACCTAAACGACTGTCAAGGAAAGCTCCCATTTCTTTCTCAGCTCAGTGATTTCTCATCCAATTTCCTTTATTTTTACCTTGGCAGAATGACAGCTTGGTACATTATTTTCTCTCTCATCATCTTTATCTCTTGATAAGCAAATGAATTTATTTTTAAACAAAAGTCAAATGAATGACAAACTTTGGATATCTGGTCAGGCAGAAAAGTGTATGTAGATAAATAGATCAGTTGCACGACAATTCTTAGGCAAATATTTGGGGAACCTTAAAATGGCAACAACAGTGGAAATGAGAATAATCTTTTAACATTTGCTGAATAGCCTTTAAATGATGAGAGTCTGTGGTGTCCTAAAGCCCACATATGCAAATAGGGCAAACATCCAAAGTTGTTTTTCCACTAAAGAGCATGCCTTCCCTAATAAGGCTGCCTGGGGCATCTTATTATTCTTGATTTTGGGCAAAGCATGGCTTTCAAAGACACCAAGAATCACACATCATTTCTGGGGAAATTGAGGGTGGAGGAAGCTTAAGGGTGACTCAGTCATGCAAAGCATCCTTGTCTCCTGAGGAAAAAATTGTGTGGTCCATTTTTCTTTCATTTACCAAGCAACTTGGGAACAAATAATTGTATCTGCATGATGGGAGAAAACTCTTTTTTTGAAAATGTTTTTGATATGAAATATGTCTGAAACACAGTAATACCTAGTGGCTAGTACAATATTTCATATGTAAACACCTTATGAATACTCCACACAGCCCTGAAATGTCTGAATGTTTTGAAATGGTTTTGTAATCATCTTCTTCATTCATTTCTTAACTTTAAAATTGTTGTATCTTCATCTTTCAGAGAGTTTTTGTCAGGTCAAAAGAATTTTTTTTAGTTTACTGGAAGTTTGTCTTCCAGTTAATTATCATTAACATTTGTTGAATGCTTTATTAAATTATGACTTGTGTTCTTTATTCTGTGGATGCAATAGTTCATACTCATATATTTTTCAATAATCAAATATTCTTGGGTTTCTAGAATAAACCTAAATTGATTGTGATTGATTTTTGTAACCTAGCTGAATTCACTTTTCTATTTTCATTTAGGATATTTACAATCATATCCATATGTACATTGTTATAGTTTTCTTACAAGACTCTGGTTTTTCATCACGTATTTTATTTTATTAAAAAAATATATTCAGTGAAGGTTATAATGTTCTCATAAACGTAGATGGAAAGTGTATGTGTGTGGGTTTGTGTGTAAGTGTGTTTGCATGAAATTCTGATTTGAACATGCATCTCTGAAATAAACCTCAGCATCCTTCTTGGTTGACTGATGGGGAATGAAATACAAAAGTACCAGTGAGCATCAGCGAATGTAGAGAAGTTGAGTGAGGGTGAAGCTGAAGGATATGAAAAGGAAGTTTTTCAAGATCTATCAAGAGATTATCTCAAAGCCTGATTTTGTATTTAAAATGAAGACCTGCTTATGAACACGTAGTGGTGTTCCTCCGCCTAAAACATTCTTGCTTTTTGAAAACATATGATAGATTATTGTTAACACTACTCATCTTACAGTGCTTTAGAGCGTTAAAATTTATTCCTCTTATCTAGCCATAATTTTGTATCCGTTAACCAACCAGTCCCTATCTTCCTTCCCTTCCCCTTCCCAGCCTCTAATAACTGAAATACTCCCTACTTCTATGACATGGTTGTTATTATCAGCATATGTATACATGTTATTATAAAGAATATTCATGTTTTCTTCAGTTTCAAAGTCCTCCCTCATTTCTTGATATTTGTAGGGACTGTTATTTTAACAATAGAATATGATCTCACAAGTGTTATGGGCTAAATTGCATGTCCTTAAAATGTATACATTGAAGTCCTACCAAGTCCTAATCCCAAAACTTCAGAATGTGACTCTCTGTGAAAATGGGTTCTTTGAAGAGGTAATTAAAGTAAAATGAGGTTACTAAACTGGGCCCTGATTCAGTTGGACTGGTATCCTTATAAGAATAAGAGATGAGGACACAGCCACATGCAGAGGCATGACCCTGTGAGGACACAAGGAGAAGAAGAAGACAGCATCTACAAGCCAAGAAGAGACGACTCAGGAGAAATCAGCCCTGCTCACACCTTGATCTCAGGCTACCAGCCTTCAGAATCATGAGAAAATAAAATCCTTTTGTTTAAGCCTGCCAGTCTCTGGTATTTTTGTTATTGGCAGCCTTGGGACATTAACACAAGACATTGCATAATACACTGAAGAGAATATAGACTATATTTTAACTATTCACTTGAATTTTTAAATAATTTTTCTATTGATGCAACCATTAACTATATTCAGTAATATATAAAATTTCTGTCATAAATGATATTAAGTATTAAATTAATTAAAAATATATTCCACTACTAGCATTATTCATTTAATAAAAATGATTATTAAGAGAAAAATAAGACATTTTATGTAAATTGTATTACAAATGGAATATTTTTGTGTTTTTAAAAGCTCAGTGTCCAGGAAAGACTCCAGCTCCATTTCTGAGTCTAATTCCAACTGTGGTGAGCTCTGCAGTTTCTATTTAGCTGCAGTTGAATTTTCTGAACTCAACCGGTCTACTTAAATTGTCACATTTTCCATCTTGGGCTGACCTCAGGGTTAAAGTCTGCCCTTGGATTTGTAAAATCCTCCTTCTAGCAAGTTACCAGTGAAAACAAATAACTAAATATCACCACTGAAATATTGTTCTGTGAGTTTTACGATTTTAACTGTCCTCCTAAAAGTTTAGGATAACTTTATAAAAAATCCCAAATGACATTCTTTCTACACAGTTACCATTGGATCATCACCGTCAAAATTCATCTAAGATGATAAGACCTGCTTTTGAGGGCATATACACAGAAAAGTTAAACATTATATGAAATGTCATGAATCCAAGGTTGGCACTCAGGTATTTAATTTTATTTATTCTAAGTAATTTAATATTTATTCTAAGCATACACATTATTCTAAGTCACTTTAGTAGTATAAATATATACTATATACTGGATATTATATATCCAATATTATATGTATATATTAGTATATAGTATGTACACTAGGTACATTATATTTATATATACATAGTATATATAGTTGGTATTTGTATTGTATATATGTGTAGTGTATATATTATATATGATGTACTCTATAATATTGTATATATACTATATGTAATATGTAGTGTGTATATACACTAATGTGTATATATACACACATATACTATATGTAATATAGTATATATACTATATATAAGGTATATATAATATAGTATGTATATGATATAAAATGTGTGTGTATATACACACACACTCCCCAATACACACAGGCACACACATGCACACATGTACACATTACAGTAACTCCCAATTACACATTGTTGATACATTCTTGGGAGCTCTGACTTCAAGTAAAGCATTGTACTGTACTGTATTGAAAAAAACACATTTATCCAGGTGCAGTGGTTCACATCTGTAATCCTAGCACTTTGAGAGGCTGAGGCAGGTGAGTCACTTGAGCTCGGGAGTTTGAGACCCATATGGGCAATATGGCAAAACTCTGTCTCTTAAAATAATACAAACAAAAATTGGCTTGGTGTGGTGGCATGGACCTGTAGTCTCAGCTACTCAGTAGGCTGAGGTGAGAGACTCTCTTGAGCCCAGGAACTTGAGGCTGCTCTGAGCTAGGACTACACCACTACACTCCAGCCTGGGCAAGACAGTGAGACACAGTCTTGAAAATAAAATTAGATGTTCACTCTAAAATAACAATTAAAAGTATAGAATAGCAAATGCATAAACCATTAACACAGTAGTTTGTTATTATGAGGTATTATGTAGTGACCATAACTGTATGTGCTAGACTTTAATATGACTGGCACTGCAGTAGTTTTGTTTACACAAGGATCACCATAAGTACATGAGAAATGCAAGACTTTAGGACAATTACAAACTCAGTAAGCAATAGGAATTTTTCAGTTTTATTATAACCTCATGGGACCACTGTCATCTATGACCACGATGTTATGAGGTGTGTGGCTGTAGATAGGTTTGTAATCACAAATTGTTTTGCCATAATTTCAGTAAGCGGTCCATTTCAATACAATAGATATTAAAATATTTGAATATCTCAAGTATGGCATGCACCCATAGGCATTTTAGACAGGCAGCCCTTTATGGGGGTTGAGCGCTGAACCTTGGGCACTGGGCTGGTCAGGCTGAGTTCTTATCTGAGATGTCCCTCTTACCTATGGCAGGAGACATAACTCACTGGGTCTCAATGTCTTCATCTATAAACGTGGGATGGAATTTTTTTTTTCTCCAGAGGGTGTTGGCTTGAAGTAATTAAATAATAATACTCTACCGTTAGAGTGTGCCAGCAGGTAGTAAAAGTTCAATGCATGTTTATTACTTTCATCAGTAATTTGGG
Organism: Homo sapiens; assembly: GCF_000001405.40. Classification (NCBI taxonomy): domain Eukaryota; kingdom Metazoa; phylum Chordata; class Mammalia; order Primates; family Hominidae; genus Homo; species Homo sapiens. The sequence continues at coordinate 17,179,811 of NC_000024.10, forward strand.
GGAAAAATACATTTTTACCCAGCCATCCCTGAAAAATAACTTCAATGCCATTCAATATTTTAAATATTCAATTGTTAGCTGTATGCCAGAAAGTGTGATAGCATCAGGTACATAATTGTAAACTGTGGTAGTTTTTTTTGTTTTGTTTTGTTTTGTTTCCCTTATCAAGAAATTTTAAGGGAGTGTTTCTGAACTGCAGGACTTCTGATATTTGGGGCTGATTTGTGTGTGTATGTGTGTGTGCAGGGCCACGATATATATTGCAGGGGTGATATGATTTGGATCTGTGTCCCTGCCTAAATCTCATGTAAAATTTTAGTACCCAGTGTTGGAGTTGGGGCCTGGTGGGAGGTGTCTGGATCATGGAGGTGTTTGTCCTAAACGCTTTCACACCATCCCCTTGGTGTTGATTTTATGATCCTGAATGAGTTGCTGTGAAGGCTGATTGTTTTAAAGTGTGTGGCATCTCCCCCTTCTCTTTCTTGCTCCTGCTCTGGCCCTGTAAGATGTGACTGCTTCTGCTTTTCTTTCCGCCATGATTGTAAGCTTCCTGAGGCCTCCTCAGAAGCAGAACCCACCATCCATGTTTCCTCTACAGCCTTACAGCCTGCAGAACTCTGATCCAATTAAACCTCTTTTTTTTTCGTAAAGAAGAATAGTATTTCTATGTAGCTAATACAGGAGATTTAACCACATCTCTGATCTCCACGGGATAGAAGACAGTAGCCTCTTCTCAGTTCTCATTTCACAGCTGTGACAACTAAAAATGTCTCCAAACACTGCCAGATGTCCTGTTCCCAGGGGCAAACTTGCCTCCGTTTGGAAACTGCTGCCTTAAAGAATTAGTAGCTTAGCAACTGCACAGGAAGATGTGTAAAGCACTTACAAAAAAGTTACAAGTGAAACCATCTTGGTATACACTGGGAGACCCTGCCTGGGCAAAGCTGATCAGGAAAGGTTTCTGCAGGAGTATGTCTTTAAAATGGACCTGAAGGTTGGATATAGTTAAGCCACAAAGTGTGAACAGGGTGGAAGAAAATCTGTGAATAAACCTAATATGGAAGAATAAGTTGCATTTCAGGAAGTGAAAGTTCAGTGTGGCCAGAATACATAGAATAAGCAAAAAGAAGTATGTTGAGGGATACTTCCAGAAAGAGAAGTAGGAGACAGATTGTAATGTTTCTTATATACCCTTTATCCTGAAAGCAATAAAAATCCATTCAAGAATTATGCAGTGAGGTAGTATATTAATTATAGTAGTATATAAATTAGGGTTGACTGTAAGTGAAAAGATAACCTCAATAAAACAAGAAAAAAGAGTTCTTTCATCTTGTTTCTCCACTACTCTCAATACATAACTTCTACCCATGTAGTCCAAAGTGGCTTCTGAACTTCCAGCCATTAGGTCTGCATCACACTGGCAGTAAGAATAATTTCTCTAAGGAATTAGAAATCCCTCCTTTTTAGGATTATTTCTTGAAGTTCAAATATCACTTCTTACATCCTATGGGTTGAAAATTAATCACTAATGCAAGCAAAGTAAAAGAATAAGGATTTTTTTCTGAGTGGCCATGATATCAGATAAAAGTAATAAGATCTGAAAATTACTGGAATTGATTGACATATGAAGGCACACAACTAGAAGTTTTATAACTATAATAGAACCATTTCATTAGATCCAGTCCTGGAAATTACAGCCATCATTCCTACCTCTAATATACATTAGCATCTTAACCTAAATACCTGATGCGTGAAGATATGATTGAGGAGCGATTAGTTTTTCAGTCTTATATTAAGAAATATATGGCTCACGCCTGTAATCCCAGCACTTTGGGAGGCCGAGGCGGGTGGATCATGAGGTCAGGAGATCGAGACCATCCTGGCTAACAAGGTGAAACCCCGTCTCTACTAAAAATACAAAAAATTAGCCGGGCGCGGTGGCGGGCGCCTGTAGTCCCAGCTACTCGGGAGGCTGAGGCAGGAGAATGGCGTGAACCCGGGAAGCGGAGCTTGCAGTGAGCCGAGATTGCGCCACTGCAGTCCGCAGTCCGACCTGGGCGACAGAGCGAGACTCCGTCTCAAAAAAAAAAAAAAAAAAAAAAAAAAAAAGAAATATAGTTTGGCACTAGAGAACATTTTTACTTTCCAATCTGTCCAATACTTTATAAAGTTGAAAATATTTGGAAGAAAACAAGTAAAATATTAGTAACTCACACCCTATGTCCCTGTTTCTCTGTAATAACTAAACACATGAATCTGATCAATTTTCTTCCTTTCTCCCTCCTTCCTTTTTCTTTCCTATCTTTTTTCTTTCTCTATTCTTTCTTTTCTTTCCTTCTTTCTTTTCTATTTCTTTCCTTCCTTTCTTTTTTCCTACTTCCTTCCTTTGTTTCTCCCTTCCTTCCTTTACTTCTCTTTTTCCTTCCCTCCTTTCCTTCCTTGTTTTCTTCCTTCCTTCTTCCCCTCCCCTCCTCCTCTACCCTCCCTTTCCTTTCATGCATTGCATACCCAGGTAGATGTAGGAAATTGTCCCACAAATTGTAAGTTGATATTATCTAGCAACTACAGTATTATCTATGCAGGTAAAATTTAAATTTATCTTCACACAGTGTTTATAGTGGACTTATTAACACTTGAATTCACCTCAACAGGAGAATAAATAAACAAATGGTGGTACATTCACACAGTGTAAGATAACTCAATAATAAAAAAGAAAAAAACTGTACACAAGCAAAACCTTGAAGAATTTCCAAGCATAAAAATCTAAGAGGAAGATGTCAGATGCAAAAATCTATATACTGAAACAGCTATGTATATAAGATTCCAAAACAGACACAACTACAGGAAGAGCCTTAAATCAGGGGTTGCCAAGACTAGGAGTTAGGGGAGACTCTGACTGCAAAAGATTAGGATGAAAGTACAGAGATGTTCTTTATCTTGATTGTGGTGGTGGTCCTGTGACTATACAACTTTGTCAAAAGTTGCAGAACTTCACATACACCAAAAGTATACATTTTACAGTTGAAAATTATATCTTAAAAATCTGAAAAATGTTTATAGGAAACATTGTTTTCATTTGATGAATGACTCAAAATACAGGAATAGGTGACCTATCAGGAAAACCTGCTTTAAAATATCTCAAATATTGAAATTTCTAGATTTCTGTAGAATGTTTCATCAGAATGGCATTTACTGGCCAGACACGGTGGCTCACTCCTGTAATCCCAACATTTTGGGAGGTCGAGGCAGATCACAAAGTCAGAAGTTTGAGACCATCTTGGCCAATATGGTGAAACCCTGTCTCTACTAAACATACAAAAATTATCCGGGTCTGGTGTTGTTCACCTTAGTCCCAGATACTCAGGAGGCTGAGGCAAGAGAATCACTTAAACCCGGGAGGTGGAGGTTTCAATGAGCTGAGATTGTGCCACTGACTCCAGCCTGGGCAACTGAGCAAGACTCCATCTCATAAAACAAAACAAAATAAAAACAAACAAGCAACCCCCCCAAAAAAAACAAACACAGACACACACTAAAGAATGGCACTCCCTGAATTGTTGACATAACCATTGAGAGGGAATCAGTGATGCCTTTGTGAAAGGGGAAACAGATTAGAGGGAAGTCAAGGTGAATTTAGGAGAAGCAGTAAGCAGTATTATAAGAAAAAATAGGCCGGGTGCCATGGCTCACTCCTGTAATCCCAGCACTTTGGGAGGCCAAGGTGGGTGGATCACAAGGTCAGGAGTTTGAGAGCATCCTGGCTAACACGGTGAAACCCCATCTCTACTAAAAATACAAAAATTTAGCTGGGTGTGGTGGTGGGTGCCTGTAGTCCCAGCTCCTCGGGAGGCGGAGGTAGGAGAATGGCTTGAACCCGGGAGGCAGAGCTCGCAGTGAGCCAAGATTGTGTCACTGCACTCCAGCCTGGGCGATAGAGTGAGAATCCATCTCAAAACAAACAAACAAACAAACAAACAAAATATATATATGTAATTAGAGCCTGAAGCAATAGAGGGGACTTTTCTTGTGAGTGCTTTTCAGCCACTGAAATCAACCAAATCGTCACATACACAGTTTTTTTCCTGGATAAACATGGACATGGACGGCTCTGGCCTTGAAGCTTGAAACTTACTTTGTTTTATCTGTGTTTCTTCTTCAGAAAAGGACCACTAGGCATCTTAAAATGTATCAAAGAACTGAAAATCATGAGATCATAGCATCAAGACAAGGTCCCTCATTCATCACAATTGCTTCCTTACCCCTCCTGAGTTCCTGTTTCCTCACACACAATTGCATTTCTTCCCTGCTATATAAACCCCTGATTTTAATCAGTCAGGGAGATGGATTTGAGTCTGATTGATCTTCCATCTCATTGGCTGCAGCATCTGATTTAAAGCCTTTTCCCAGGGGCAATGCTGGTTGTCTTAGTGATTGGCTTTCCCTGTGGTGAGTAGCAAGACCTAGACCGAACTCCTTATATTTCAGTAACATCATGATTCAGCTCAAGTGTTTTCACTCCAGAAGTTACAGACTTAAAACAATATATGCTATGGAGAAAGTTATGAATGTGTATCCTATTTAGAAATTGGTGGAACCAGGCCTGACTAATCACCCTTGGGCTGGCAGCTGGATGCCAGTCTGGTGGCCCTTGCTCATGCAGTGATTTCTGGCAGAGATGGTGAGGGTCACACCCACTGCTGGACAGTGTGAGTCAGGGGCAGCCTGGACTGATGCCATGGCATTTCTGCTTGCTAAAGATGCCAGCCTGCAGAGCCTGGCCAGGAAGATCTCCTCCCAGCCAGCCCAGAGTCAGAGGTGGGTATGTGGGCTGGCAAAACTCAAGGCTCAGAAACTGTAGGGCCCCAAAAAAAGAAAAGGAAGAAAATACACATAAAATTTCCAGAAGGGAGAAGATAAGGCTGCTGAGCACAAGGCCTAGTCCCACTGTGTCCAGAATTGGTGGGTTCTTGGTCTTGCTGACTTCAAGAATGAAGCCACAGGCCCTCGTGGTGAGTGTTACAGTTCTTAAGGATAGTGTGTCTGGAGTTTGTGTCTTCAGATGTTCAGATGTGTTTGGAATTTCTTCCTTCTGGTTGGTTCATGTTCTCGTTGACTTCAGGAGTGAAGCTGCAGACCTTGGCGGTGAGTGTTACAGCTCTTAAAGGCAGCATTTCTGGAGTTGTTCATTCCTCCCATCCAGAGTTGTTTGTCCCTCCCAGTGGGTTCATGGTCTCGCTGGCTTCAGCAGTGAGTAAAGCTGCAGAAATTGGAGTGAGTGTTACAGCTCATAAAGGTGGCGCAGACCTAAAGAGTGAGCAGCAGCAAGATTTATTGTGAAGAGTGAAAGAACAAAGCTTCCACAGCGTGGAAGGGGACCTGACTGGGTTGCCACTGCTGGCTCAGGCAGCCTGCTTTTATTCCCTTATCAGACCCCACATCCTACTGATTGGCCCATTGTACAGAGAGCTGATTGGTCTGTTTTGACACGGTGCTGATTGGTGTGCTTACAATCCCTCAGCAAGACACAGAATGCTGATTTCTGTATTTACAATCCTCTAGTTAGACATTAAAGTTCTCCAAGTCCCCACTAGATTAGCTAGACACAGAGCACTGATTGTTGCTTTTACAAACCTTGAGCTAGAAACAGGGTGCTGATTGGTGCATTTACAATCCTATAGCTAGTCATAAAAGTTCTACAAGTTCCCACCTGACATAGGAGCCCAGGTGGCTTTGCCTAGTGGATCCCATGCCAGGGCTGTGGGTGGAGCTGCCTGCCAGTCCCACACCAAGCGCTTGCACTCCTCAGCCCTTGGGCAGTTGATGGGACAGGGTGCTGTGGAGCAGGGGGCGGTGCCCAGCAGGGAAGCCCAGGATGCACAGGAGCCCACTGTGGGGGGCTCAGGCATGCTGGGCTGCAAGTCCCAAGCCCTGCCCATGGGGAGGTGGCTGAGGCCTGGTGATAATTCAAGTGTGGTGCAGGTGGGCCAGCTGTGCTGGGGGACCCAGCACACCCTCCACAGCCACTGGCCTGGGTGTTAAGCCCCTCACTGCCTGGGCCAGAGGCACCAGCTGGCTGCTTCAAGTGCAGGTCCCACTGAGTCTGCACCCACCCAGAACTCGCACTGGTGCATGAGGGGTGTGCACAGCCTCGGTTCCCACCCACACCTCTCCCTCCACACCTCCCCACAGAGGGAGCCAGTTCTGGCCTTGGCCAGTCCAGAGAGGAGCTCCCACAGTGCAGCAGTGGGCTGAAACCCTCCTCAAACATGGCCAGAGTGGATGCCAAGGCCAACGAGATGCTGAGATCAAGTGAGAACTGCAAGCATGCTGTCACCTCTCAATCCCCTCTCTAAACATGACACCCCAACTGTTGTTGGTAATTTGGCGATGACCGTTCTAGCTACTTCCTGTTGGATAGGGGTGATGAAGGGGCCCTGCAGTTGTAGTGTCCTACAGAGGGGAGCTCCCTAGGCTAGTGGAAGTGCCAGTGGGTCACTCCAGGGGTCCTCGGTAGAAGTTGTTAGTTGAACTCGTTTGGGGTTCCATTTGTAAGACCATCTGCACCTTGATGGCCTCAATTCTAGAGTAAACAAATTTAACAAGGAGGTTAAAAATACACGGTCCAAAGGCAAGTAATAGCCAGATGGCTGACACGGGACCTAGAAAGGGGAGAAGCCATGTTGCTTAACTCTAGAGGTTGGTATAAGAATTTGAAAGGCATTGTCTGATTTCAGAAGTCTTTTCCTGTAAACACCAGGCAGCATCTCGCACAATCCCTGACTGGTTAGTGTAAAAACAACACTCTTCTCCTAAGAAGGTACAGAGTCCTCCTTTCTCAGCAGTGAGGATGTCTAGGCCTCAGTGGTTTTGGAGAGTCACTGCTGCCAAAGAGTCTGTTTGGGATTGTAGAGTAAGGATAGATTTAGTTATTTCTTGCAAACTGTCTGAAAAATCCTTTGAGTGTGTGGTAATAGGATAATGAAGTAGATAAACTGGCTATTCCAGTTCCTGTAGTGGCAGCCATTCCTAACCCTATAAGTAGGGGTACTAGTTTTATGGCTCTGCACTGACAGACTTGAGCTTTGAGGGGTACTGATAGGGTCTGATTTCCTGGGGCAATGTTAAAGACTAACGTGCAGATGCCGTTCCAGTTAGTGGGGAGATATAGGTCAACATTCCACATAAGAAGAATATACCTTGGCTGGGTAGGCAGAACTTTACCTTGACTTTTAAAGGAATAGGGTACATTGTTTTTTTTCTCTACTAGTTCCATCTCTCTTTCTTTCTCTTTGACTTCTTCTTTGTCTCTTCCTCTCTTTCTGACTCTCTCTTTGACTTTCTGTGTCTGTCTCTTCCTCTCTCTTTCTCTGACTTTCTCTTTCTCTTTCCTTCTTGCTGATCTTTCCCTGGCTCTGCCAGCCACTTATGCTGCTATTCTCTCCTCTCCTTCCCATTTCGATGGCTTTGGCAGTGGAAGACTGCCACCTCCTTGGACTTTTCATTAAGTGCAATAAATCCATAATTTCCTTGTTGTATTTAATGGGGGTTCCCTCAGAGGTTAGGAACTCCCTTTCTTTCCATATTGCAGTATGGCCAGGTAGGATTAGATAAGCATACTTGCTATCTGTATATGCATTTATTCTTTTTCCCTTTTCTAGTTCTAAGGCTCTGGTAAGTGCCACTAGTTCTGCTCCCTGGGAACCGGTCCCCAGGGGAAGAGGCTTACTTTCAAGTGTGGTTACCTCAATAGCTATGGCATAACCTGCCCTTCATATCCAATTGTTCAAAAATGAGCTTCCATTGACATATAGGTTAAGGTCAGGATTAGCTAAGGGGAGTTCCAATAGATCATCTTGGGCAGCATAAGTCTGGACTATAATCTGTTGGCACTCATGCTCCATTGGTTCCCTATCCTCTGGGAGAAAAGTGGCAGGGTTGACGGTCATGCACATGTGTATTTGAAACACTGGTCCCTCAAGGAATAGTGCCTGGTATCTAAGTAGGCAGTTGTCTGATAGCCATAAACTTCCTTTGGCACCTAGTGTGACATTTACATCATGAGTAGTCCAGACAGTGAGATCCTTTCCTTGTATTATCTTGATAGCCTCTGACACTAAGACAGCCACTGTCACAACTACACTTAAATAGTGAGGCCAGCCTTTTGCTACTACATTATTTTCCTTATTTAGGTATGCCACTGGTTGTGGGGTTGTCCCATGAGTCTGAGGAGAAATCCAAGAGCTATCCCTACTCTCTCTGTGATATATAAAGAGAAGTTTTGTGCTGTGGGAAAGCTTAAAGCTGGAGCTTGTACTAGGGCCTGCTTTAAGGTTTTGAAGGTTGTTTCTGCCTCTGGTTCCTATTCTACTAGATGAGTATTTGCCTTCTGAGTTTCCTTGATTAGAGTATAGAGGGGCCTGGATATCTTGCTGTTCCCTGGGATACATAATCGGCAAAAGCCAGTGATTCCAAGGAACCCCTACAACTGTTTTAATGTCTTAGGGTGACGATAAGCCAGAATGGGCTGTTTTCATTCCTTGCTGAGGGCCTTGGTCCCTCTGGCTATGATTAAGCCTAGATATTTGGCCTGCTGTAGGCAAAGCTGGGCCTTTGACCTAAACAGCTTGTACCCTTGATTAGCTAGAAAGTTCAAGAGATCTAGAGTAGCCTGCTGGCATGAGGCTTGAGAACTGGTAGCCAAAAGTAAATCATCCACATACTGAAGGACCAGAGTGGCTGGATTTGAGAAGTGGCCTAGATCTTGGGCCAGTGCCTGACCAAACAGGTGAAGCCTATCCCTAAACCCTTGGGGCAAGACTGTCCACGTAATTTGGGACATGTGGTCTGTGGGATCCTCAAAGGCAAAGAGAAATTGGGAGTCAGAGTGCAGGGGAATAAAGAAGAAGTTATTCTTGAGGTCCAGAACCATGAACCATTCTGATTCCTCTGGTATTTGAGAGAGCAGGGTATAGGTGTTGGGTGCAACTGGATATAGAGAAATTACTGCCTCAGTGATGAGTCTAAGATCTTGTCCTAGTCTCCCCTGACTGTTCAATTTTTCTACTCATAGAATTGGGGTGTTGCAGGTATTGCTGCATTTCCTTACTCAGGCTTGAGCTTTTAAATGTTTAACAATATCCTGTAATCCTTTATGAGCTTCAAGCCTTAAGGAATATTGTCTTTGATAAGGAAAAGTGGTGGGGTCTTTGAGCTTGACTTGGAGTGGGTGGGCATTTTTTGCCCTTCCAAATTGTCCTTCCAATGCCCAGACTTCAGGGTCGATTCCCTCCTCAAGTAGGAGACAAAATATGGGTAACTTGTTCCCCATATTCATGTAGATAATAGCTCCAGCCTTGGCATATATATATCCCTCCCTAATAAGGGTGTGGGACTTTCAAGCATAACAAGAAAAACATGTGAAAAGAGTAAAGTCTCCCTATTACAACTGAGGAGATGGGAGAAATACCTGGTTACAGGCTGTCCCAGGAGCCCTCAGATGGTAATGGACCTTGAGGACAGTCATCCAGGACAGGAGATTAACACTGAGAAAGCCATGCCAGTGTCCAGCAGGAAGTCAATTTCCTGGCCCTCAATGGTTAAACATACCTGGGGCTCACTGAGGGTGATGACATGAGCTGGTGCTTGCCCCAGGCACCCTCATTCCTGTTGTTGGATCATCTGGTTGGGGGCTTCTGACCCAGAGAACCTTTATCCTCTGGGGCAGTGCACCTTCCAGTGATTGCCTTGGCATACTGGACATGGACATGGGGGCAGCTTGTTTCTCAATGGACAATCTTTTTTAAAGTGCCCTTGCAAATCACACTGGTAACAAGCCCTACTAGGTGATTGGCCTGCTCCATTTTCTGTCCTCTCTGAACCACCAAGGTGTGTTTGTCTGAGGACCATGACTAAGGCTGCGGCCTTTCTCTGATCTTGCTTTTCCTTTTGGTCCTGTTCTTCTTGGTCCCTATTATAGAACGCTGAGGTTGCCAGGTATAATAATGCCTCCAAATTTTGTTCAGGGCCCAGGGCTTCCTTTTGGAGCTTTCTCTTGATATCTGCAGCTGATTGGGTAATAAATTTATCTTTTAGAATCAATTGACCCTCACTGAAGTGATTCGGGTGACAGGGAAGTATATTTTCTTAAGGTCTCCCATAGCCATTCGAGGAAGGCAGAAGGATTTTCTTCCTTTCCATGAGCTATGGTGGACATCATTGAATAATTCATGGGCTTTTTCGTAGTTCTCTTTAGTCCTTCTAGAACACAGGTGAACAGATATTTACTACTCCAGTCCCTATGATCTGAGTCAAGGTCCCAGTGGGGATACATACTGGGGGTAGCTTGCTGACTACTAGGGAATTTGTCCCTTTCTTCAGCTGGCATTCTATCTTTTACTTGACTAAGATACCATGTATCTCCAAACTCTCAGGCTGCAGCTAAAGCTTCATTCTTTTCATTAAAGGCCAGGGTTTGATCTAACAGTAGCATGACATCTCTCCAAGCGAGGCCAAAGGTTTGTCCTAGACCCTTTAGGACATATATGTACTTATCAGCATCATCTGAAAACTTCCCTAGGTCTGCCTTGATCTGTTTTAAATCATAGAGGGAGAAAGAGACATGTATACAGCTTTGGTCAAATTCTCTTCCTCCAACAGCTTGAAGGAGACATAACTGATAGCCTGGGCAGGGGGCGTTGTGGTCCCTTGGAGATTTCTTTGCTTATTTCCTTCTGGGTGGGGGAGATTAGAGGAGGCTGATCATTAATAGGAAGGGGAGCTATAGGGAGGCTAGGATATGGGGGTAAGCTGAGAGGTCCTCTAGTGGGATGTAAGTTGCAAACTTTGCATAATTTTGTATTCTCCTTCAATGAAAATAAAGCTTGCATATAAGGTATTTCACTCCAGTTGCCTTCCCTCTTACAGAAAAGGTCATGCTGCAGGATAGTATTGTAATTTGTACTTCCCTCAGGTGGCCATTTTTCCCCATCACAGAGAGAATATTGGGGCCAGGCCATAGTGCAGAAAAAAATGAGCCACCTGTTTTTCAGGGTTTGTGGGTCAAATTTGTCTCAATGGCTTAGGATGCATTTCAAGGGTGAGCCTGTTGATGACTGAGTGTTTCCAAACTGAAAGACAAAACTACCCATGGTTTCAATTTGTTTTGTTTCTCCCCCTGCCCAAGAACCCACAACGATCCCTGGACTCTGCTTATCAGAATAGTTAAGCTCACTGATGCAGCAGCAGAAACACTAGTTTTCCTCCCAGAACACAAGGAGGACCAAGGGAGGTCAGACTTAGTGGCCCTTACCGACACATTCTTGAAAACCTGCAACCTTGCCTGTCCTCCTAGACCCAAAGAGGACAAAGAAAAATTGGATTTAGTGGCCCTTACCAATGCATTCTCAAAAACCTGTTAGCGTCTTAAGCATTCTCCTGTTAGGATCCCTAAGGGAGGGAAGGGATGTCCAGGGTTGGAAGAGTGACACTTTTGTGTTCACTTATACGAATAGGAAGGATAGAATTTCTAAGGCTCCCCCTATCCTGGCTTCAAGAATAGCTTTTGTTAGGCCTGTTAGTCTGAGGAGGGATCCTAACATTCCAGATAGTCCCCCATGATAGGGCTTTGGGCAAAGATTATGTCTTTCTGATCAGTGAGCCAGGGTGCCTAAAGAAATAACAGAGTCCTGTAGTTTATACTAGAAGTCATTCTTATAGGAGAAACTAGAAAATCACCAGAGACAGGGAGTGATTTTTAGAAGTAGGATTAGCCTCAGAGAAGAGAGGCAAGATGAAGTTTGTCTGGCAAACTTCATTAGGACCCAGGAGGCAAGGGTCAGGATAGATTGGATAGATGTGTGAGTCTCACTTGGGTGACATGCCTTTCAGAGATCTGCTCATGGCTGCAGGGTTAACTAACTTGTTGTCGGGACCCCAGAGCTGAATGGCTTTCCTCTCTGTTGATCCTGGGCTCAGCCTAGAAGTACAGGAAAAGTGGAAGCTGATTCCAGGCAAACCAATGCTCCCAACTCCAAAGAGTCAGGGTTTGTTAGAGAGCCTTTTCCAAGAAAGCGTGACACCCACTTCTTTAGTCTGGTGGCCACACTAGTTGCTTTTAACTGGCTGACAGGTGCCCGGTATTTAGCCCCAAAATTCTAAGGAAAAATAGGACAGAATAGCAAGAGAAAGGGGTCTGACGATACTCACTGCTTGGTGATAGGTGATAGTCTCACCACTTGGTGATAGGTGATGGTCTCACTACTTGGCAATAGTCTCACCGCTTGGTGATAGTCTCTTTGTGGTTGCCAAAATGTGTCTAGAATTGGTGAGTTCTTGGTCTCACTTACTTAAAGAATGAAGACACGGACACTTGCAGTGAGTGTTACAGTTCTTAAAGATGGTGTGTCCAGAGTTTTTGCCTTCAGATATTCAGATGTGTCCAGAGTTTCTTCCTTTTGTTGGGTTCCTGGTCTCCCTGACTTCAGGAGTGAAGCTGCAGACCTTGGCGGTGTTACAGCTCTTAAAGACAGCGTGTCTGGAGTTGTTCATTCCTCCCAACCAGGCTCAAGCATGGTGGGCTGCAGGACCCAAGCCCTGCCCTACAGGGCAGCGGCTGAGGCCCAGAGAGAATTTGACCACTGGGAGGGCAGGCCGGCGGTGCTGGGAGATGGGTGTACCCTCTGCAGCTGCTAGCCTGGGTGCTAAGACCCTCACTGCCTGAGCAGAGGCACCGGCCAGCCCTTCCGAGTGTGGCATGCCAAGATGGCCCACCCAGAACTCTGGCTGGCCCAGGACAGCCTCCTGCAGCCTCAGTTCCCACCCACGCATCTCCATCCACACCTCCCTGCAGAGGGAGCCAGCTCCAGCCTCAGCCAGTCCAGAGAGGGGCTCCCACAGTGCAGCAGCAGGATCAAGGGCTCCTCAAGTGTGGCCAGAGTGGACCCAAGGCAGAGAAGGTGCCCAAAGCAAGCAAGGGCTGCCAGCACACTGTCACCTCTCACCAAGTCTCCAGCAGCCATCTTGGGCCAGGAAGCCTGAGGCAGACAAAAAGGAGGCAGATTCAGCATCCAGCTGCACAGGGATCCCTACAGATGTCCTGGCCACAGACCTTGAGTCTCTCTTTGGCCTGGATGTTCTGCGACTGCAACTTCATGAGAAGATCCAGGAGGCCTGGGGCCAGGGCAGTGCCAAGGAGCTGTCCCCTGCTGCCCTGGAGTAAAGGCGGTGGAGAAAGAGGGAACGGGACTGGCAAAAGAAGAAGCGAGAGGAGCTGTGGGCAAAATAGAAGACCAAGAAGGCTGAGGAGGTTACAAAGGCCCTGTAGGCAGTCAAGCCAACCCCTGAAGGGGCCTGCAGGAAGCTGCAGGAGCCTCCAGGACTGATCTTCAACAAGGTGTAGGTGAGCAAAGAGGAGTCAGCCAGCAAGTAGCAGTGCAGAAAGAAGAAGCAGAGTGTGAAGGGAAAGGAAACTTACACCACTGACAGGGAGGAACTACCTGCAGCTGCTGAAGCATCTGGATGAGCTGAGTGGCCAGGGTGAGGGGAAGGCACAGCAGCTGTAGGCCAAGATGAAGTGGACCAATCTCCTGTACAAGACAGAGGATGTGATGATCCACCACGATGATTGCCTGCTGCAGGAGGCCCTGAAGCCCAAGGAGAATCACAGCGCCCAGCAGCACAGCGAGTGGGAGAAGCGCAACTCAGGCGTGGTAGAGAAGATGCATCAGTGCCAAGACCTGCTGGCAGCAGAACCTGCACAAGAAGAAGGTGGCCCACATCCAGCACCGAATGCTCAGAGCCCACAAGAACTGTATCCTGCTGCAGGACCTGGAGCTTGCAGGCCTAGCAGGAGGGCCTGGCCTGGCCCAGCCTGGGCCTTTCCCATGTTGGGCTGCCATCTTCCATCTTGTGAGGCTCCAGGGGACCCTCTCAATCCTTGATGCTGGCTATTCCCAGGATCTCCACGGACCTCGGTCACTCCCTGTGAAGGGGACCCAGTCGTTCTCTGCTGAGTAGTGAGGTCTCAGATCACGCATATGAAAGAGAATATTTCAGCATCATCCTTGAAAATGCAGCCTGGGTCCATCAGACCCAGGGAAAGGATGAGCCAGACTGCTGGGCTTGAAAGCTTCCCGGAGGTCTGCAGAGTCAGGAAGGAGGAACAACGGTCACTGCCCCTTCTCCTCCTGCCTGTGTTCTCAGGGGCCACAGGACTGAAGAGGGTGGCCTTTGTTGCCAGGCCACGTTAGTCCACAGCTCGCCAGAAAGGAGGACAACCCTGAGGTGTGGTGAGTGGGCATGTCCAGGCATGGTGCCTACTGGGGCAGAATGCCTGGCTCCTCCCCCATCTCTTGACTTTGGCCTATGGAGGTCTCATTCCTTTCTGTTCCTCAATGACCAGAGGCGTTTCACCTCAGAATTCAGAGGGAGCAAGGGAACTGTACCTTCCCAGGGTCAACACCTGTGAATTGGGCCACGTGCATTGGACCAAGGGAAAAGAGAAAGAAAGAATAAAACCTAGAGAGAGAGTGAAGCAAATGGAAGATAAAAAGTGAGATGGAAGATTATATCCAAAGCTTCAGGCAATTAAAATGAATGCAGGTTGACTAAACTCAGGTGAATTGTAGTGATATATGGATGATAAAGCTGTAAATAAAATTCCGTTGATGAAACTTTCTGGTTAGGAGACAAAGATTGTAACCGAAAGGGAGCTGGTCTGTTATTAGAGTAGACTGAGATGAAAAGGCACTGTGAAAGTTCAAATGTCCTATGGTTATCAGCTTGATCTAAGGGACAGACACAACAGTATATGAAAAGAGTACATAGTCTTTTCAAGCATATATGGAAAATTGATGGAAATTGACCACTTACTTTGTCCAGAAAAGAAGTCTTAAGATATTTCAAGGTATCAGTGAAGTTATCTGACCATATCCCAACCTAGTTAAAAATTTTTGAGCTAATTATCAAAATTTCTTATTTGGAATTTTTAAAACACACTTACAAATTACCTATGAGTTGAAGAATTCCTAATGGGTGTTAGAAATATTTGAGACTAAAAGATAATGGAAATGCAAGAAAAAAAAGAAATTGGAGGAAGATGGATTTAAACAACTCTTACTAAGTTGAAAATTTACTTCTTTCCTTTTGTATTTTATATTGCTATATCATAATTGTACATAATTTGGGGTGCATATGGTAATTTGATACAGGTACACAATGTGCAGTACTGATCAAATCAGGGTGATTAGGACATCCATTACCTTAAACCTTTGCTTTTAATATTTGTGTTGGGAACATTGCAATTCTTCTAGATATGTTGAAGTACATTTTATTGTTAACTTTAATTTTTTTACTGTACTATAAAATACTAAAACATAATTATATCTTCTAACCATATTTTTGTACTCATTAACCACCTTCTCTTCATTCTCTCAACCCCCCCACCCTTCCCAGCCTTTGGTAACCATCATTCTACTCTCTCTAGCTCCATGAAATGAAATTCCATTTGTTTTTGTTTGTTTGTTTGTTTTTTGAGACAGAGTCATGCTCTGTTGCCAAGCTGTACTGCAGTGGCGCGATCTTGGCTCACCACAACCTCTGCCTCCTGGCTTCAAGTGATTTCCTTGCCTCAGCCTCCTGAGTAGCTGGGACTACAGGCACGTGCTACCATGTCTGGCTAAGTTTTTTTTGTATTTTAATAGAGATGGGGTTTCACCATGTTAGCCAGGATGGACTCAATTTACTGACCTCATGATCTGCCCAGCTAGACGTTCCAAAGTGCTGGGATTACAGGCATGAGCCACCGTGGCCAGCTGAAATCCACTTGTAAGCTCCACATGTAGTGAGAGCATGCAATGTCTGTCTTTCTCTTCATGGCTAATTTCAGCTAATGCTCTCTTATTCCATGTATGTTGCTGCAAAAGACAAGATTTCATTATTTTTTTTATGGCTGACTAGTCTTCCATTTTGAATATATACCACATTTTCTTTATTCGTTTGTCCGTTGAGGGCCATTTAGGCAGATTCCATATTTTGGCTATTGTGAATAGTGCTGATTAACATGAATGTGTAGATGTCCTTCAATATACTTATTTCCTTTCTTCATGACATATTCAGTAGTTGAATTGCTGGATCAAATGGCAGCTTTATTTTTAGTTTTTTTGGGAAACTCTAAGTGTAGAGGTTTTCCATACTGAGAAAATTTATAAACTGAAAGGAAATATACATGGGTATTTCTATCAAAAGTCTTCCTCAAGTGTAACTTCCATGAAACATTTATTAATTAGCAAACTGGATCAAAAGGCAGACTTCATGTATAGGTTGATATTAGTGCATCGAAAGAGAAGGGTTAAATTGACAATTCAAAAGCTTTGGAGAATTAATGAATATTTTTTATGAATTGTTGCATAAGAAATTGTACCAAAGTTAAGTAAGAAGAAAGGTTTATTGGTATCTTGTGATTCTAGTGGTTAAGACCAATAATACAAAATATTAGATACTCTAAACACCTGACAAAATAGCAATTGGATAGAAGACAGGTATTCAGCATGTTATCATCACCTTTTTTCTTTTTTGTCTGTATCCTTTCCATGCATTAAGGCAAAAAGTCCATCAACATATCCCTAACCACACTCTAAAAAAAAAAAATCATTAATCACAATGCAATAAAATTATATATTTTCAACATAAGACAAAAAATTAAAAACATAAACCCTCTGTATTAGGAATTTAATAACATTCTTCCAAATAAATGTTTAGGCTGATAATTAAATAAAAACTTTTATTAGAACTTTAATCAATTAGAAACAGTCATTAAAGGCAAATCCATATAGAAACCTTTAAGGAATGGCTGAAGTAGTATACTGAGTAAAAGTTGCATAATAGAAACATTTATTATGCATCAAGAAAATAAAAATCCAATGAATTATGCATTGAACTTGGGAAAGTAGAAATAACTAAAGCCAAAAGGAAGCCAAATAAAATAAAAAGGTGGACTAATAAAAACATAAAAAGAAAAGGAGAACATAGCTATTAAAATATTTGGCAAAAGAATTTAATTTGTCCCTCAAAGCAACACCAATTAGTCCTGCTAGAATTGCATTTTCATTCTGCCATAATACCTTGATCTGCCTGAATTGCAGTGAAAATATTCTTCTTGTTGATGTAGAATGGAAATCAGATCACATTTAGGCTACATCAAAAGGAGAAGAAAGGTTTATTATTATACAACTGATACAAAATACTCAATTCTCCAAAGCTTTTGAATTCTCAGTTTCACCCTTCTCCTTTTGATGCACCTAAATTTGACTGAAGTGCACTCTTGTTTCTGCTGTCTGGTTCTCCAGCATCCTCAGCTGTGCTTTGGTCTGCAGCTCTCTGCTGTCTCTGAGTTCTACAACACTGCCATGAGGCTTCCATGAGCTGTGATTATACCACCCACCGCACTCCAGCCTGGGTAGCAGAGCTAGACTGTTTTTCACAAACAAACTAAAACTCAAATCCTGGAAGGGCCAGTGCTTGGTTAGTGTTAGGGTTAGGGTTAGGGAAGGTTTTTTTGTGCTTAAATTCTGGCTTCACCAATCATGAGATATGGAGATTATTTACTATTCCTGGTCTTTGTTCACAAACAGAAAGTTTAGGTGTATTGTGTCCATAGGTCACCTTATGCATAAAAGAGTTTGATGATGTTGAAATACTAGTCTATCAAGATTAAGAAAATAATATTCTTTAATATCATATATATATATATATATATATATATATATATATATATACACACACACACACACACACACATTTTAATGAGGTCCTCAGGGTATTAACCACCCAAATAAAGGTGATTTCCATCAAGGGCTAGATATCTCTCTGACTGCATGGCATGTAATAAATCAAATATCATGGATAGGAAAAAATGGAATTTAGGAATTTTTACAGCCTGGGAAAGGGAACTTAGCTGCAATTTGAAGGGGAACATAAAGTGTGTGGTGAATGCTGCTCTGTGTTTTTACTGTGGGAATTCATAAAAGGAATCAGGCTTAAAATATTACCTCCCTGAGGCTATAACCTCCAACTCAGATGTTAAGGAAAAGATCATTTTCTCTCCTCCCATGTGTCCAGAAGTGGTGCCGACACACATGTCAAGCTTGTAGGTGGCCATAAGTTGTGAATCAAATAGTTTCTTCCTGATGTTTCCCTTTGGTGTGGTCACATGAACATGATATCTTGGAAAACAAGTACCATAAATAAGCCATGTTTGGGTTAGGGCCAGGGTAGGATTTTGTGCTTAAATTTTGCCTTCACCATTTTGTTCATATACTTCAAATATTTCACTATTTTGTTCATATCCTTCCAAAAAGATTTGAAGTAAATTATTACAAATTACAAATTAGAAATGGACATATACATAATTTTAAATTCTGGGGTACATGTGCAGAACGTGCAGTTTTGTTACATAGATATACATGTGCCATGGTGGCTAGCTGCACCTGTCAACGCATCACCTACCTTGGGTATTTTTCCTAATGTTGTCCCTCCCCTAGCTCCCCTCCTCCTGACAGGCCCTAGTGTGGGATGTTCCCCTCCCTGTGTCCATGTGTTCTCATTGTTCAACTCTCACTTATGAGTGAGAACATGCAGTGTTTGGTTTTCTGTTCTTACGTTAGTTTGCTGAGAATGATTGTTTCCAGCTTCATCCATTTCCCTGAAAAGGACATGAACTTATCCTTTTTTATGGCTGCATAGTATTTCATGGTGTATATGTGCCACATTTTCTTTATCCAGTCTATCATTTATGAACATTTGGGTTGGTTCCAAGTCTTTGCTATTGTGAATAGTGCCACAATAAACCCACGTGTGCATGTGTCTTTATAGTGGAATGATTTATAATCCTTCGGGTATATACCCAGTAATGGGATTCCTGGGTCAAATGGTATTTCTAGTTCTACATCCTTGAGGAAACACTACACTGTCTTCCACAAAGGTTGAACTAATTTACACTCCCACAAACAGTGTAAAAGTGTTCCTGTTTCTCTGCATCCTCTCCAGCATCTGTTGTTTCCTGACTTTTTAATGATCGCCATTCTAACTGGTGTAGATGGTCTCATTGTGGTTTTGATTTGCATCTCTTATGACCAGTGTTGAGCATTTTTTCATATGTCTTTTGCCTGCATAAATGTCTTCTTTGGAGAAGTGTCTGTTCATATCCTTTGGCTACTTTTTGATGGGGTTGTTTTTTTCTGGTAAATTTGTTTAAGTTCTTTGTGGATTCTGGATATTAGCCCTTTGTCAGATGGATAGACTACTAAAATTTTCTCCTGTTCTGTAGGTTGCCTGTTCCTTTCGCTGTGCAGAAGCTCTTTAGTTTAATTAGATCTTATTTTTCAATTTTAGCTTGGTTGCCATTGCTTTTTCTGTTTTAGACATGAAATCTTTGCTCATGCCTACATCCTGAGTGGTATTGCACAGGGTTTCTTCCAGGATTTTTATGGTTTCAGGTCATATATTTAAGTCTTTGATCCATCTTGAGTTGATTTTTGTATGAGGTGTAAAGAAGGGGTCCAGTTTCAGTTTTCTGCATATGGCTGGCCAGTTTTCCCGACATTTAATTAAGAACGGAATCTTTTCTCCACTGCCTGTTTGTTTCTTGACTGATATCATTAAATGCGAATGGAAGAATGAAATATGGTCTAAATTGTTAAATACGGTCTAACTAAAATATGTACTATGTTAAATACGGTCTAACTAAAATATGTACTATGTACATATGTACTATGATGTACTATGATGGTTGACTGTATATGTCAACTTGACTAGATCAAGGGATGCCCAACTAGCTGGGGAAACATAATTTCTGGGTGATTCTGAGAGGATGTTTCTGAAAGAGATTAACATTTCAATCAGTAGACTAAGTGACGATCTGCCCTCTCCACTTGGGAAGGTAGGTATTGTCCAATCAACCAAAAGCCCAAATAGAATAAAAAGGTGGAGAAAGGGAAAATTTACTCCTAGCTTGAGCTGAGACATCCATCTTCTCCTGCTCTTTGACGTAAAGCCCCTCTGTTTTCAGGTCTTCAGACTTGAACTAGAACTACACCACCTGCTTTCCTGGGTCCTGGCTTACAGACAGCAGACTGTGGGACATTTCAGTCTCTCAAATCCATGAGTGAATCTCCCATAATGAATATCTTTCCTTTTAAAATCATTTACTTACATGAATTTAAGGGGTACAAGTGCAATTTGTTACAGGCATAGATCTCACAGTGATCAAGTCAGGGCTTTTAGGATATTCATCACCCACATAATGTAGATTCTACCCACTAAGTAATTTCTCATCTTCTACTGTTTTTGTACCATCCCACCCTTCCAAATCTACAGTATCTATTATAGTACTCTCTACATCCATGTGTACAGATATTTTAACACCTACTTGTGAGAACATGTAGTATTTATGTTTCTGTGTCTGACTCATTTTACTTAACAGCCCCCAGTTCCATCCATGTTGCTGCAAAATACATGGTTTCATCATTTTTTTATGGCTGAATAGGATTCCATTGTGTATACATACCACATTTTCCTTATTCCATCCTCTATTGATGGTAACTGAGGTGGATTCCATTTCTTTGCTATTGTGAATGGTACTGCGATTAGCTGTTAAGTTCAGGTATTGTATGATATATTTATCTGTATATATTCTGTTGGTTCTATTGCCCTAGAGATCCCTGACCAATACATGTATCTAAGTCATTTGGGGATACTCCTTTTTTTAAAAGAAAAAGTTGCATTTTTATCAAAACAAAGTTTACAAACCCATCCATAGCAAAGACTTGGAACCATCCTAAATGTCCAACAACAATAGACTGGATTAAGAAAATATGGCACATATACACCATGGAATACTATGCAGCTATAAAAAATGATGAGTTCATGTCCTTTGTAGGGACATGGATGAAGCTGGAAACCATCATTCCCAGCAAACTGTCGCAAGGACAAAAAACCAAACACTGCATGTTCTCACTCATAGGTGGGAATTGAACAATGAGAACACATGGACACAGGAGGGGGAACATCACACACCGGGGACTGTTGTGGGGTGGGGGGAGGGGGGAAGGATAGCATTAGGAGATATACCTAATGCTAAATGACGAGTTAATGGGTGCAGCATACCAGCATGTCACATGTATACATATGTAACAAACCTGCACATCATGCACATGTACCCTAAAACTTAAAGTATAATAATAATAAAATTTAAAAAAAATTAAAAAATAAAAATAAAATAAAACAATAAAAAAACATGAACAATGATCACAGTTGGAAACCTTTTAGTAGACTTTTCCTGGGATGATATAGCAGGCATATGGTCTACCTCAAGACAGTTGACCACAGTGGGAGCCGTGTCCATTGAAAAATTGTCTTTGCAAAATGATGCTTATGTTTGCACACTGAAGTGCACTCTGGCTTCTACTCTCTGTTTCTCAGGTACCCTCAGCTGCACCTCGGTCTGCAGCTCTCTGCTGTTTCTGAGTCATACAAGGCTTCTGGGCCAGTTTGGTGCCCACAGTGGGTCTAGGAGGCTGCTGTGTACCAAAGACCAAGTGGGAGGGAGTCTCAGCTTTAGGGCTCACTGGTCCTTTATTGCAGGAACTGCACTGAAGAATTCTGAAGTGTTAAGGGCTGATGCTCCTTGAGGATAATTTTGAAAATATGTAAGCTTCTGACAATAATAACATATTCTCTGCTTTTCCCTTTGCAAGAGTCTTTGGTAGCCAGGGTTCCATGAAGTCTCTGTTAAGAGACTGAGGTCTCAGCTTGTCCTGAAGATTTGGCCAGTCAGGTAATTTGCACACTGAGATTCACCTTTCTCTCCCCATTGTACTTCATTTGCCCCTCATTTTTCTTCCGTGGAATTTTATTTGCTGAAAATGTGTTCATGAACAAGTTTTATTGTTTCAAATTTTGTTTCTTATAAGCCTGGGCAAATACAAAGTTCTTTTGTAATTTATTAATAAAAATGTAAAATGTTAATAATAAACCTATAAAACATAAGTAAATTGGAGAAGAATGATTATATATACACATATGCACACCTACATAACTTTATATTTATATATATGGAATGCACACAAACCTCTTGTCCAACAAAACAGACTAAAATAGAAGAATCTAGGTTGGACACAGTAGCTCATGCATGTAATCACAACAATTTGAGAGGCTGAAGCAGGAGGATCACTTGAGCTCAGTTCCAGACCACTGTGGGCAACAAAAGAAGAACCTATTTCTACAAATAATTTTAGAACATAGCCAAACATGGTGTGCACACCGGTGGTTCCAGCTACTACACAGGAGGCTGAGGCAGGAGGATCACCTGAACTGAGGAGGTTGAGGCTGCAGTGAGTTGTGATCACATAACTGCTCCCCAGCCTCAGCAACAAAGAGAAACCCTGTTCCAAAATAAATAAATAAATAAACAAACAAACAAATAAATAAATAACACAAGAATCCTTATGTCCAGATTGGTCAAGAGAAGATACAGTCAATTAAGTAAACTTTCACATGAAAATTTAGGTTCTTCCAGAAGTCAAAGACCAAGCTTTATTTTTTTTTCTTTGCACATGGATTAATCTGTGATCCTGAGTGGGAAAGATTAAGGGTTCCAACATCAAATGTTTTTATTTGTCCTCTGAAACTTCCTCTTTACTTAGAAAGGAAGAGGACAAAACGTCATAACCATTTGATGAGAAACAAAAGACAATCACTAATTATTCTTTATCTACTTTCTGTTAAGTCAGCTATTTTCCTAGCCTTGTGAAGGATAATTTTTATTTATGAATAACATTCCCATGGCTTTGTATCAAAAGCCCCTACATTATGCAAACGCTTGTGTTTCTTGGCTTCATATTATGTAAACTATTAGAAAACTATTGGAAAGAGATGGCCATTTCTTCTTCTTCTGGTTCATGCCATTCTCCTGCCTCGGTCTCCCAAGTAGTTGGGTCTACAGGTGCCCACCACTACGCCTGGCTATTTTTTTTTTTTTTTTTGTATTTTATTAGAGATGGGGATTGACCATGTTAGCCAGGTGATGGTCTCGATCTACTGACCTCGTCACCTTCCCACTTTGGCCTCCCAAAGTGCTGGGATTACAGGCCTGAGCCACCACGCCCAGCCGGCCACTTCTAAAACTAGTTGGGGCATATCATTTAAGGCTATTGGTTTACTGGGGTTTTAAGACATAAAACTCAAGAAAAATGTAAAGATTCTAAATCTGGTATATTAAGACACAACTAGTTTTATATTAAAGTTATTATCGGTAATTAAATTTAAATGGTTTCAATTAAAATGGAACTATACTTATTAGAATGACTATAATCAATAAAAGAGAAAATGAGTGTTGACAAGTATGTGTAGAAATTGGAATACTCATATGTTTATGAAATGGTTCAATGGCTACAGAAGACAGCATAGAAGTTCCTCAAAAAGTGGAATATTACATGACCATATGATCAACTCAGGTAATCCTGAGCCATCTACAAGTAGCATAAAAAAAGAAAAGCAAACACAAGAAAGTCTCAGTGAATAATAAAGTTGCTGCTTTTAAGTTGGCAAGATCTTCCTAAGAGAAGTTAGTAGAATATTATTTGGGGACAAAATCACAGATAGAAATAAATGTTTCCCAGTTCTTAGTTCCTACTCCCAGGGAGACATGGGATTGGCTGTCAGCCATGATGAAAGAGAATCCTAGATTTTACTTTTAGAGCTGGAATTTAAATGAATAGCCAGTGATGGCCCAATAAGTGATTAAACAATACTACTCATATGTATACACCCAGAATAACTAAAACAAGGACTCAAAGATCTCCCTGGACATATATGCTCAAGGCATCTTTGTTCATAATAGTCAAGAGATGCAATCAACCCAAAGTCCATCAACAGATGAGTGGATAAGCAAAATGTTGCATATGCATAAAATAAAATAGTATGCAGCCCTAAATAGGCATGAAGTAATTGACACATGTTGAATGTGGACAAACCTCAAATACATCATGCCAAGTGAAAGAAACCAGACACAAAAGGCCTCATAATGTATAATTCTGTCTGTAGAAAGTATTCAAAATTAGTCAATACATAGAGATAAAAAGTAGATTATAATTGTCAGGGATGGGGAGGAGGAGAAAGGTCTGGGAATTGAATGCTAATGGCTATGAAATTCATTCTGGAATGCTGAAAATGCTGTGGCACTAGAGAGAGGTGATTGTTGCACAACACTGGGAATGTATTAAAAGATAGTTCTAAAATTTTGCATATAATGAAAAACTCCTTTCATTATTTTCTACTCTGTTTCCCTTTTCCCAGTAGGGCTATGTAAGTAAAGAATGCACAAGACAGACATGTAAACTCAGAAAATATTAAAACATCTATAAGCAGCACAAAAATAAATGGAAAAGCAAATACAAGAAAGTGTTGGTGAATAATAAAGTTGCTGCTTTTCAGTTAACAGGATTTCCCTGATAGAGTTCAGTAAAATATTATCTGGGGATAAAATTGCATACGGCTCACAAAGAAATGTTTCCTAGTTCTCCCAGGAAGGTGTGGGTGTGGTTATCAGATATGATGAAAGAGAATCCCAGATTGCACCTTCAGAGCTGAAACATAAATAGCCGGTGATGGCCATACAAAGAAGAAGCCAATACCTCCAGAGAAACATGCACTCAGATAGACCAATACAATTCACCCCACCATTCTCATTTTGCTGTTTGCAGAGTGTCTTTACATGGAAGTCTTGTGTAAAAAGCTATTGATGTTGCCACCATGGCATGGCAGCCCACCTGCCCATTTTGTCTTATGCATTACCACCGTGAGGATTCTGAAATGAATTCCAATCAAATTCATGTTGGGAAATCACTCAGGTCTGGGGACTTTTCCCATGCTTGACATTAACCCAATAACACCATAACCTGTCACTGCAATGAATCATTGGCAAATTACCTGACATGTGCTATTGGTTTCTTCCAAACTTGTTTTATAAATAGCAGATGGAAATGATTAGGGAGTTCACACTGGCTATGTTGTCTCTGTGCAGTCGACTACGTCTAAACTCTTTACATAGAGGGTTGTGCTCTGAGAAACTGGTAACCCGACGTGATCCCAGAGGGGAAAATGAAGGTACAGCAGCCCTAAAATTACAGATACAGTTCAAAGAAAGAGATTTATTTTCCTTTAGAAAATGGTTGCTTTCAGAGCCTGCTCCCATTTGCAATCTAACCCAATTCATCAGAAAAATAGTTTGCTGAATATGTTTCTGACTATTTCAATGTGGATTTCTTCTATCGTTAAGGACATATAAGTTTGTTTTATATTAATATATTAAGTTTTTCAAAAAGCATGAAAAAGATGAACAGGTTGAAACATACAAAATATCTTTGCTCTTACAGAAATATTACCTAGGAATTGGAAAAAAAAGTATTTTCTTTTATCCATTGTATTTTCTGTTCTCACAAGTGCCGCATACGTAGAATGTGGTGGTGATGGTGGTGGTTTGGTTTTCATCTCTAGACAGACTTCACAATGTCCTGTTAAGCTCCCAGAGGCTATGGTTACCTGATTGGAAATGAAAATGAAAGATGAGAGTAAAATTTCCCTCTAATCCAGTTTTGTAAACAACCTAATTGAGGAAACGATGATAACAGGTGAAGTTTGTTTTTCTGGTTCTGAGTTTCTCTCTACGTGAAGGTTCGAAGCTAATGTTCTTAACATAATAAATTGAGCAAAATTGGGAAAAACTTTGCCATAGTGTGGCATGGGTTGATGCTTTAATTAGCTGATAACTTGATTCAAATATGTAAGCATGTTAAAAGTCTGTTTTCCACATAATAACTGAACTTTTCATATAACCTGGATGAAATGAGATATACTATGTCAATAAAAACATCAGCAGCTTACTTACTTATGAAACAGTATTCAGAGTCAGCTGCAGCAGCAATTCCTTTCTTTAAGATTAATTTTCTTCTGCTCTCTTTCCAATCTCCTTTCTTGGTGACTTATGTCTTCCACTGTGTTTCTGAAAAGATTTTTATGTATGTATGTATTTATTTATTTTTTCAACTTTTATTTTACTTTCAGGAAATGTATGTGCAGGTTTGTTACAGAGGTATATTGCATAATACTGAGGTATGAAGTATGGATTCAGGTAGTAAACATGGCACTCTATAGGTAATTTTTGAGTCATTGCCCCCATCCCTCCCACCACCCTCTAATATTCCACAGTAACTATTGTTTCCATGTTTATGACCATGAGTACATAATTTTTTAGCTCCTATTTATAAACAAGAACATTCTATTTTGTTTGTTTTTTTATAAGTGAGAACATTTGGTTTTCTGTCCCTGAATTAACTTACTTGGGATAATGGCCTCCAGCACCATCCATGTTACTACAAAACATATGTTTTTATTCTTTTTCTTGGCTGCATAATATTCCATGGGGGGTATAAGTATCTTTTTTTTTTTTTTTTTTTTTTTTTTTTGAGAAGGAGCTTCACTCTTGTCACCCAGACTGGACTGCAGTGGCATGATCTTGGCTCACTGCAACTTTCGCCTCCCAGATTCAAGCAATTCTCCTGCCTCAGCCTCCCAAGTAGCTGAGATTACATGCACCTGCCACCAGCTAATTGTTTGTATTTTTAGTAGAGGCAGGGTTTCTCCATGTTGGGTAGGCTGGTTTTGTATCACATTTTCTTCATCCAGTTCACTGCTGATGGGTATCTAGGTTGATTCCATGTCTTTGCTATTTTGAATAATGTCATAATTGCCATACACTTGCATGCGTCTTTTTGGAAGAATGATTTGTTTTCTTGAAAAGGTTTTTAATGATGAAAATGGACCCAGTACACTTCTGGAAATTCAGAGCTTTGTAAATTACTTCATTCATCCCACCTGTCTTATAAAACCTTCAAAGTTGCTAAAAGAAAACAAAAGAGAAGGCTTTACTGCTTCTGTTTTAGAATCAGGAATGGAAAAGAAAGTTTGTAAGTATCCCAGAGCACTGGAACTCAGAGTGGCAGCATGATAATAGCCCAAAACTTTTGTAGAGATCTAATAAATTTGATCAATGTTATTGGTCTATTGCATATATTCTTGCCATTGGAAAAGCAAAAGCCTGCAGTCAGATCCTTACAATGTATTATTGGATAACTTGAAGCCAATATTCATGATTACCTACCTCATGTAGCTGGCTGGGTGGAGAACATTTTAATTTTTCTGCCACATTCAGCTGTCAGGGGCAGTTTGAGAGCCAGCAGGGAGTTCACTGTGAGCTCTGCAAGGTTTTTCCAGGTTAGTGACAAGGAGAGGGAGCCAAGTGAGACAGAGATTGAAATAAATGACTATGGAGCTTACACCGGGGATTTGCAAAGTGAGAAAATGAGGCAAGTGTGGGAATTATGAAAAGATTGAGAAGGTAGTGCAGTGACCCAGGTTGGAATATACCATTCAAATGGTGGATTCTTGTTGCTAGAAGGAAGATGAGCTAGAAAGAGAAACAGGTGATGGCCAGAGAACTGGTGGTAAAATGGAAATGATGAACAAGTGAAAATGACTTAAGGACAATTTTTAAAAATAAGTTGCAGAATCTTCTTTCTGTTCCTTTGAGAATGGGAAGCCACTTTCTGAGGAAGAGCCACTGTGGACTTCACTGACTTGTTTCCATCTGGTGTCTTCTTATACTAGAAAAATTTCCTAACTATCTGCCACCTTTGGACAGCTGTCTAGGTTGAAGCAGTGATGCATGTTTTTTTCCTATTTCAAATCTCTTTGGTGGTTTGGGGGGTAGACTGAAGAACATGCCTTCTAGAGGCTGTTTCGCAAAAGTAACAACCATCATTTCTGCAATAACTCCAGATGGACATGATGCTTCAAGCATGCCAGAAATGTTTGAGGACTCTCAGATAAATCATACTTACTTTCTACAAAAACATACAGAATTGGCCTTTAAGGTGATCTTTTTATTCAGCTGGGAATTAGCTGCCTGTTCATTGAGATAAATGGAGAAACAACAGAACACTTCTTTCTTCTTCACTACATGCATTTGTTCTCTTGGAGTGGTAGTCGGTAATCAAGTCTGAAATCCAAAAGGCAGAAAGCAGAAATATATGTGTATATATATATATATATATATATATATATATATATATATATATATATCTGAAATTATAATTCTGTACTTAAAATATTACATCTATATATTTTACATAACTATTTTTACATATTACAAAATAATTACATAATTACTTTTATGAATTAAAAATATTACCTCTATTTTTTATAGGGTATCCTGTGGCATTTAAACATATGTATACAAGGTGGAAGGATAAATCAAACTAATTACTGTATGTATCACCTTACACCCTTCTCATTTTTGCAGTGAGATTATTTAAAATGTACTCTCTTAGCAACTTTGAAGCATAAAATACATTATTATTAATTATCACTACTATGCCATGCAATAAGTTTTAAAAACTCATGATAGTAAATACATGTAGCCTAAAATTTAGCATTTTAAACATGTTAGAGTATGCAATCCAATGACATTAAATACATTTTCAATATTATGGAGCCCTCAACACTGTGTAGATCTAGAGAAATATTTTGAATTAATAGAAAACCTTAAAATAAAAATTTGTAAAGGTTTTAAAATAAAAATTATTAGAGTAGTAAAACAATTAAAATGAAATAATACAAAAGAAAAAGTTTAATAAAAATGTGTATTCAGTAGTCAGTAGTGATCAGATATTACCTTCACTATCTTTTTATTATTGAGATATTTTACAATATCTCAGTGGCAGCAGTGACCAGTTTTGAAGCTGGCCTCTCCCAGCCCCTAATTTAGGAGTAGAGACAAAGATTCACTGCTATGGGTCATCAGTGACCAGGGGTCATCTTGGGTGGTCAGTGGCCTCTCACTGTGAACAGAGTGTGATATGGAATGAGGTGGCCTGACTCCCAGCTTTATACCTGAGCTGACTGATCATGAGAGCAGTTTCAATTTTTCTTATTTGCAGCACCAAAAGCTGTAGTTGGATTTGTCTACCAATATAAATAAGAAATGTTGAAATGCATAACTTTTTAGGACCAAGATGTCTGCATGCTGAAGGATATATCATGCTCCCTTTGGATCTCAAGTTGCAATTTGTCAAAAATAGTCTTTCAGGAATAGAATGGTTGCTATGAAACCCACTGGAGGGATTTCTATGCAATTTTTGAAGCCATACATGCACAGATACATGAAGAATCACCCATGGCAAAAGGCCAGGGACCTTACTGGTATGTGGAATTCTCAAATGTCTCCTGACCCACCAGGGGTTTTATGCAAACAAGATACAGAATGAGCAATGAAAAAATTTATTTAGAAAAATAACGTTCCACTCAGAACACTAGCATACTTTCACAAAAAGAGCTTCCATTCTTCAGTTTTCATTAACAGAGACCCGTAGGTGTGTTTCTCATTCTTATATTAGACACTGTTCTGTGTGCCTCATTTTGTTTTGTATATAGTAAGAAGTCAAACATAACCTGGAATTAGCAAAAAAGTTAAAAATAAAATCATACAAATGCTTAAAATTTGAAGAGTGAAATTGTAAGAGTATTCATTTTAAGAGTTAAATGTTGATTCCATGAAATTTAATATTATTTGAAATTTATCAGGGGTCTTCAACATAAATAATATATTTTATTGTGAACTGAAGGCTACTATGCAAATAGCAAAATCTGTCATCAAGAATATTGAGAAACTAATGTTTATTCTCCTAAAAACTCTGAGAACAGATTTATATAATATGCAGTCATTTTTTTTTTCAAATTTCAAATGTCCTCTTTTCAGAAGCACTGTTTGTCAGAAATTTGAATCTGAATAGCTTCCAGATATCCATTTACATTTCCAAAAAATAACATATGTTCCAAATATGTAGATTTGGAATAAGGAACATTTCTTATATGGCAAGTTTAAGGAATACTACCAAAAAATGCATTAGATGTTTTTAGGTTTTGATCGTAATGTTGTTCAAAAGGTCATATGAAGGACACTTTTACAGATAGAGCTATGAAAAATACTGTGCTAAAATTGGAGAAGAAATCAGAGTTTCAAGATACATGTTCCTTTAGAAAACTAGCAAAGAGAATCAACCCTTAGAAAAATTATCCTCTTCAACTCCTCATTAGTTAGAAGCCCCATAGGCACTGCATCCACATTTAAGAGTTGAATAGTATTTGCTGCGTATCTAAACCCTTAGGAAAACTCCCCCTCACAGACCTCATAAGGAATTAGCTCTTCTAAAATTTATATTGGACTTTCAGCCTTGAAATATATAACAGAATACATTCTTTTTGTTCAACTTACCCTGTCTGTGAGGTTTCATTACTGTAGCTATAGGGAACTCATGGACAGGTGATATTAATCTAAATAAAATAACTTTTATTTAACCCAATCCAAAATATTGTTATTTCAACATGTTATCAAAATAAAATATGAATGAGGTATTTAATGCACTTCTATCATATGAAGAGTTAAAAGTTTGTTGTGTATTTTGAACTTACAGCATATCATGGCTGAGACTGCACACATTTCAAGTGTGTGAAAGTCCCATGTAGCTAGGGGCTCTCATATTGTTGGGGGTTGGGGGGCGGCTAGCTCTAATTGATATGGAGAGGAGGCAGGGAAATAATAGTTAGAAAAGGGTGGGTTACCTGGCAAGAGTTCCACCCTTAAGCCTGGATCCAGGGCCCTAAATGAGAACTTCACATCCCTATTTTGCTTCCCAAATGTTGCCTTTTCCAAAACCACCTGGCCCACCCCATTCCCAACCCTGTACCCATAAAAACCCCAAGCTCCACTGGCATGGTAGCAGAGGGGAGTGACAGAGAAGAATAGAAGAAAAGAGGTAGCCAGACATCGGAGAGAAGCAGCTTGACCTCAGAGGGATAGCTTGATGGCAGGGCTTCGGAGAAGAGTTTGGCTGGTGATGGCTGAATTCCAAGGGAAGATGATCTTCCCACTCCATCCCCCTTCCAGCTCCTTTGCCTGCTGAAAGCCACTTTCATCACTCAATAAAATCCTACATGTTCACCACCCTCCAGTTTTTTCATGCAACCTCATTCCTCCTGGAGACTAGACAAGAATCTGTGTGTGGGTGCAAGATGCTATCACACTGATTCTCCACTGAGCTATTTAACCCTTAAGCCATGCATGAATGGCAAAGCTAAAGTAGTGCACTGCAACACATGCCCTCTGTGGCTCCAGGGGTCACAGGCAACCTCTAGATGCTGCTATGGGGCCAGTATGGGATGTGTTTGCCCCAGCTCCTGCAACTACTCACCTGTGTACTCCCCCTCCTGCAAGGGGTTTGAGAGCTGTGGTTTGATTAAGCAAGCCATCTCTTCCTGAGTCCCACAAAAGGATCAATGGAACTGTTTTGTCTCCTAATAAGGGTTTCTATTCAACAGTTTCTCCCACACAATAGGCAAGCCATAAATCATCCTTGTTAGAACACACAAAGGAAAAACACCTACCAGGCAGCCACAGGAATCACACGCAATGATCATGCAGGAAAACAAAAAATACATATTTTTACTTTTTCCCTTTTATTCTTTTTTTAAAAAGTGCAGCCCACTGCCAGTGTGCATGTAATTTTAAATAAGCATACTCTTTGAGGCTGAAGCAAATCTGACAGATTTTCAATGTGAAAATAAAATATAAAAACTGTTCTTGGAGTTATTTATCAAGCAAACTAACATCAGAATAGTCTGAATCATTAGAATCATCTATTTGAGAAAAATAGGATTCACCAAATGAGCCTTTGTCTAACAACTGTTGGAGAATGATGTTAATATCACATATAGTAATGCTACATTTTCTAGGATTTGACACTTTCAGTTGTTGAGAATCACTGTATTTTGTAAATGGAAATATGACTACTACAAACAGAATGCTATAAATAGAACTATGTCTTTTGTTTCCAAAGTCAATACACTAGGGTGATGCAAAAGTAATAATAAAAGCAAGATATTTCATGGCAAAGTTATCTCAGGATAAATGCTACAACAGCAAGTGCCACCAGCAAGTATTATCAGCAGAAAAGGGTTTAAGGACAGAATATTCTTTGAACAATCACAATTCAGTCACAACAAAACTTCCCACAAGACAACCTGGGAATTATTTTATAGCTCTTTTGGCTGTGGGTGACTCTTCTTCAATTGGTGGATTTTTGTCCTCTTTTGTGGAGAATACCATGCAGATACCTACACTGGCTGATGCCATCCAAGGTCAATCTTCATGCCTACAATTTTATGCCACTTGAACCCAGGAGGCAGAGTTTGCAGTGGGCTAAGTTTGCCACATTGCACTCCAGCCTGGGCAACAAGACGGAAACTCTGTCTAAAAAACAAACAAAAAAAAAACTGGGCATGGTGGCTCACACCTGTAATTCCAGCATTTTAGGAGGCAGAGGCGGGCAGATCACAAGGTCAGGAGATCAAGACAATCCTAGCTAACATGGTGAAACCCCATCTCCACTAAACATACAAAAAAGTAGCTGGGTGTGGAGGCAGGCACCTGTAGACCCAGCTATTCAGGAGGCTGAAGCAGGAGAATGGCATGAACCTGGGAGGCAGAGCTTTCAGTGAGCTGAGATCACACCACTGCACTCCAGCCTGGGAGACAGAGTGAGACTCCATCTCAAAATAATAATAATAAAATAAAAACAGCAATAGATTGGATTTGGTACTATTTTGAATGATTAAAAATTATATGTAATTGTAAAAAAATTAAAAACCCATGTAAATTAAAGCACATAAAAATATCACATTATAAATAAATTTTTCATATTTCTAAAAGTTGGGTTTTGCTTAAGTATCTAAATATCTAATAAAAAGTAAGAGATCATAAAATTATAATTAATAAATACTAAATTTTGAGAGTGGAGCCAAGATGGCTGAATAGGAACAGCTCCAGTCTACAGCTCCCAGTGCGAGCAATGCAGAAGACTGGTGATTTCTGCATTTCCAACTGAGGCACCTGGTTCATCTCACTGGGGAGCATCATAAAGTGGGTGCAGGACACCGAGCATGAGCAGAAGCAGGGCAAGGCCTCATCTCACCTGGAAAGCACATGGGGTCAGGGAATACCCTTTCCTAGTCAAAGAAAGGGGTGATGGACAGCACCTAGAAAATCACATCACTCCCACCCTAATACTGCATTTTTCCAACGGCCTTAGCAAATGACACACCAGGAGATTATATCCCACACATGGCTCAGAGGGTCCTATGCCCACGGAGCCTCACTCATTGCTAGCACAGCAGTCTGAGATCAAACTGCAAGGCAGCAGCAAGGCTGGGGGAGGGACGCCTGCCATTGCTGAGGCTTGAGTAGGTAAACAAAGAAGCCAGGAAGCTCGAACTGGATGGAGCCCACTGCAGCTGAAGGAGGCCTGCCTGTCTCTGTAGACTCCATTTCTGGGGGCACAGCTTAGCCAAACAAAAGGTAGCAGAATCCACTGCAGACTTAAATATCCCTATCTGACAGGTTTTAAGAGAGTAGTAGTTCTCCCAACACATAGCTGGAGATCTGAGAACGGACAGACTGCCTCCTCAAGTAGGTGGCTGACCCCCGAGTAGCCTAACTGGGAGGCACCCCCAAGCAGGGGCAGACTGACACTTCAAACAGCAGGGTACTCCTCTGAGACAAAACTTCCAGAGGAACAATCAGACAGCAACATTTGCTGCTCACCATCATCTGCTGTTCCACAGCCTCCACTGCTGATACCCAGGCAAACAGGGTCTGGAGTAGACCTCCAACAAACACCAACAGACCTGCAGCTGAGGGTCCTGACTGTTATAAGGAAAACTAACAAACAGAAAGACATCCACATCAAAACCCCATCTGTCTGTCACCATCATCAAAGACCAAAGGTAGATAAAACCACAAAGATGGGGGAAAAAAACAGAGCAGAAAAACTGGAAACTCTAAAAATCAGAGCAACTCTCCTCCTCCAAAGGAATGCAGCTCCTCACCAGCAAAGGAACAAAGCTGGATGGAGAATTACTTAGACAAGTTGAGAGAAGAAGGCTTCAGACAATCAAACTACTCCAAGCTAAAGGAAGAACTTCAAACCCATGGCAAAGAAGTTAAAAACCTTGAAAAACACATTAGACAAAGGGCTAACAAGAATAACCAATGCAGAGAAGTCCTTAAAGGACCTGAAGGAGCTGAAAACCAAGGCACAAGAACTACATGACGAATGCACAAGCCTCAGTAGCTGATTTGATCAACTGGAAGAAAGGGTATCATTGATGGAAGATCAAATGAATGAAATAAAGCAAGAAGAGAAGTTTAGAGAAAAAAGAATAAAAATAAAGGAATAAAGCCTCCCAGAAATATGGGACTATGTGAAAAGACCAAATCTATGTCTGACTGGTGTACCTGAAAGTGACTAGGAGAATGGAACCAAGTTGGAAAACACTCTGCAGGATATTATCCAGGAGAACTTCCCCAATCTAGCAAGGCAGGCCAACATTCAAATTCAGGAAATACAGAGAATGCCACAAAGATACTGCTCGAGAAGAGCAATACCAAGACACGTAATTGTCAGATTCACTAAATTGAAATGAAGGAAAAAATGGCAAGGCAGCCAGAGAGAAAGGTCGGGTTACCCACAAAGGGAAGGTCATAACACTAACAGCTGGTCTCTCAGCAGTAATTCAACAAGCCAGAAGAGAGTGGGGGCCAATATTCAACATTCTTAAAAAAAAGAATTTTCAACCCAGAATTTCATATCCAGCCAAACTAAGCTTCATAAGTGAAGGAGAAATAACATCCTTTACAGACAAGCAAATGCTGAGAGATTTTGTCATCACCAGGCCTGCTATAAAGGAGTTCCTGAAGAAAGCACTGATCATGCAAAGGAACAACCGGTACCAGCCACTGCAAAAATACACCAAATTGTAAAGACTATTGAGGCTAGGAGGAAACTGCATCCACTAATGTGCAAAATAATCAGCTAACATCATAATGACAGGATCAAATTCACACATAACAATATTAACCTTAAATGTAAATGGGCTAAATGCTCCAATTAAAAGACACAGACTGGCAAATTGGATAAAGAGCCAAGACCCATCAGTGTGCTGTATTCAGGAAACCCATCTCACGTGCAGAGACACACAGGCTCAAAATAAAGGGATGGAGGAAGATCTACCAAGCAAATGGAAAACAAAGGAAGACAGGGGTTGCAATCCTAGTCTCTGATAAAACAGCCTTTAAGCCAACAAAGATCAAAAGAGACAAAGAAGGCCATTACATAACGGTAAAGGGATCAATTCAACAAGAAGAGCTAACTAACCTAAATATATATGCACCCAATACAGGAGCACCCAGATTCATAAAGCAAGTCCTGAGTGACCTACAAAGAAACTTAGACTCCCACACATTATTAATGGGAGACTTTAACGCCCCACTGTCAACATTAGACAGATCAATGAGACAGAAAGTTAACAAGGATATCCAGGAATTGAACTAAGCTCTGCGCCAAGCAGACATAATAGACACCTACAGAACTCTCCACCCCAAATCAAGAGAATATACATTCTTCTCAGCACCACACTGCCCTTATTCCAAAATTGACCACATAGTTGGAAGTAAAGCACTCCTCAAAAAATGTAAAACAACAGAAATTATAAGAAACTGTCTCTCAGACCAGAGTGCAAACAAGCTAGAACTCAGGATTAAGAAACTCACTCAAAACTGCTCAAGTACATGGAAACTGAACAACCTGCTCCTAAATGACTACTGGGTACATAACAAAATGAAGGCAGAAATAAAGATGTTCTTTGAAACCAATGAGAACAAAGACACAACATACCAGAATCTCTGGAACACATTCAAAGCAGTGTGTAGAGGGAAATTTATAGCACTAAATGCCCACAAGAGAAAGCAGGAAAGATCCAAAATTGACACCCTAACATCACAACTAAAAGAACTAGAGAAGCAAGAGCAAATACATTCAAAAGCTAGCAGAAGGCAAGAAATAACTAAAATCAGAGCAGAACTGAAGGAAATAGAGACACAAAAAACCCTTCAAAAAATCAGTGAATCCAGGAGCTGGTTTTTTGAAAAGATCAACAAAATTGATAGACTACTAGCAAGACTAATAAAGAAGAAAAGAGAAGAATCAAATAGACAAATTAAAAATGATAAAGAGCATATCACCACCAATCCCACAGAAATACAAACTACCATCAGAGAATACTATAAACACCTCTACACAAATAAACTAGAAAATCTAGAAGAAATGAATAAATTCCTCAACACATACACCCTCCCAAGACTAAACCAGGAAGAAGTTGAATATCTGAATAGACCAATAACAGGTTCTGAAATTGAGGCAAAAATTAATAGCTTACCAACCAAAAAAGTCCAGGACCAGATGGATTCACAGCCGAATTCTACCAGAGGTACAAGGAGGAGCTGGTACCTTTCCTTCTGAAACTATTCCAATCAATAGAACAAGAGGGAATCCTCCCTAACTCATTTTATGAGGCCAGCGTCATCCTGATACCAAAGCCTGTCAGAGACACAACAAAAAAAGATAATTTTAGACCAATATCCCTGATGAACATCGATGCAAAAATCCTCATTAAAATACCAGCAAACCAAATCCAGCAGCACATCAGAAAGCTTATCCACCATGATCAAGGAGGCTTCATCCCTGGGATGCAAGGCTGGTTCAACATATGCAAATCAATAAACATAAACATAATCCAGCATATAAACAGAACCAACAACAAAAACAATATGATTATCTCAATAGATGCAGAAAAGGCCTTTGACAAAATTCAACAACTCTTCATGCTAAGAACTCTCAATAAATTAGGTATTGATGGGACGTATCTCACAATAATAAGAGCTATCTATGACAAACCCACAGACAATATCATACTGAATGGGCAATAACTGGAAGCATTCCCTTTGAAAACTGGCACAAGACAGGGATGCCCTCTCTCACCACTCCTATTCAACATAGTGTTGGAAGTTCTAGCCAGGGCAATCAAGCAGGAGAAGGAAATAAAGGGTATTTAATTGGGAAAAGAAGAAGTCAAATTGTCCCTGTTTGCAGACGACATGATTTTATATCTAGAGAAACCCATTGTCTCAGCCCAAAATTTCCTTAAGCTGATTAGCAACTTCAGCAAAGTCTCAGGATACAAAATCAATGTGCAAAAATCACAAGCATTCTTATACACCAATAACAGACAGAGAGCAAAATCATGAGTGAACTCCCATTCACAATTGCTTCAAAGAGAATAAAATGCCTAGGAATCCAACTTACAAGGGACATGAAGGACCTCTTCAAGGAGAACTACAAACCACTGCTCAGTGAAATAAGAGAGGATATAAACAAATGGAAGAACATTCCATTCTCATGGGTAGGAAGAATCAATATTGTGAAAATGGCCATACTGCCCAAGGTAATTTATAGATTCAATGCTATCCCCATCAAACTACCAATGACTTTCTTCACAGAATTGGAAAAAACTACTTTAAAGTTCATATGGAACCAAAAAAGAGCCCACATTGCCAAGTCAATCCTAAGCCAAAAGAACAAAGCCAGAGGCATCATGCTGACTTCAAACTATACTACAAGGCTACGGTAACCAAAACAGCATGGTACTTGTACCAAAACAGAGATGTAGACCAATGGAACAGAACAGAGCCCTCAGAAATAATGCTGCATATCTACAACCATCTGATCTTTGACAAACCTGACAAAAACAAGAAATGGGGAAATGATTTCCTGTTTAATAAATGGTGCTGGGAAAACTGGCTAGCCATAGGTGGAAAGCTGAAACTGGATCCCTTCTTTACACCTTATACAAAAATTAATTCAAGATGGATTAAAGACTTATATGTTAGACCTAAAACCATAAAAACCCCAGAAGAAAACCTAGGCAATACCATTCAGGACATAGGCATGGGCAAGGACTTCATGTCTAAAACACCAAAAGCAATGGCAAAAAACCCAAAATTGACAAATGGCATCTAATTAAACTAAAGATCTTCTGCACAGCAAAAAAAAAGTACCCTCAGAGTGAACAGGCAACCTACAGAATGGGAGAAAAATTTTGCAACGTACTCATTTGACAAAGGGCTAATATCCAGAATCTACAATGAACACCAACAAATGTACAAGAAAAAAACAACGCCATCAAAAAGTGGGTGAACGATATGAACTAACCCTTCTCAAAGGAAGACATTTATGCAATCAAAAGATACATGAAAAAATGCTCATCATCACTGGCCATCTGAGAAATGCAAATCAAAACCACAGTGAGATCATTAAAAAGTCAGGAAACAACAGGTGCTGGAGAGGATGTGGAGAAATAGGAACACCTTTACACCGTTGGTGGGACTGTAAACTAGTTCAAACTTTGTGGAAGTCAGTGTGGCCATTCCTCAAGGATCTAGAACTAGAAATACCATTTGACCCAGCAATCCCATTACTGGGTAGATACCCAAAGTGTTATAAATCATGCTGCTATAAAGACACACCCACACATATGTTTATTGCAGCATTATTCACAATATCAAAGACTTGGAACCAAGCCAAATGTCCAACAATGGATAAAGAAAATGTGGCACATATACACCATGGAATACTATGCAGACATAAAAAATGATAAGTTCATGTCCTTTGTAGGGACATGGATGAAACTGGAAACCATCATTCTCAGCAAACTGTTGCAGGGACAAAAAACCAAACACTGCATGTTCTCACTCATAGGTGGGAATTGATCAATGAGAACACATGGACACAGGAAGGGGAACATCACACACCCGGTCCTGTTGTGGGGTCGGGGGAGGGGAAAGAGATAGCATTAGGAGATATACCTAATGTTAAATGATGAGTTAATGGGTGCAGCACACCAAGATGGCACATGTATACATATGTAACTAACCTGCACATTGTGCACGTGTACCCTAAAACTTAAAGTATAATTTAAAAAAAAGAAAAAATCAAACAACCTCATCAAAAAGTGGGTGAAGGATATGAACAGACACTTCTCAAAAGAAGACATTTATGCAGCCAACAGACGAATGAAAGAATGCGCATCATCAATGGCCATCAGAGAAATGCAAATCAGAACCACAATGAGATACCATCTTACACCAGTTAGAATGGCAATCATTAAAAAGTCAGGAAACAACAGGTGCTGGAGAGGATGTGGAGAAATAGGGACACTTTTACACTGTTGGTGGGACTGTAAACTAGTACAACCATTGCGGAAGACAGTGTGGCGATTCCTCAAGGATCTAGAACTAGAAATACCATTTGACCCAGCAATCCCATTACTGGGTATATACCCAAATGATTATAAATCATGCTGCTATAAGGACACATTCACACGTATGTTTATTGCGGCACTATTCACAAGAGCAAAGTCTTGGAACCAACCCAAATGTCCATCAACGATAGACTGGATTAAGCAAATGGGGCACATATACACCATGGAACACTATGCAGCCATGAGAAAGGATGAGTGCATGTCCTTTCTAGGGACATGGATGAAGCTGGAAACCATCATTCTGAGCAAACTATCACAAGGACAGAAAACCAAACACCGCATGTTCTCACTCACAGGTGGGAATTGAACAATCAAAACACTTGGACACAGGGTGGGGAACATCACACACCAGGGCTTCTTGTAGGGTCAGGGGAGGAGGGAGAGCATTAGGAGATATACCTAATGTAAATGAGGAGTTAATGGGTGCAGCACACCAACATGGCACATATATACATATGTAACAAACCTGCACATTGTGCACTTGTACCCTAGAAGTTAAAGTATAATTAAAAAAAAAGAAAAAATAAATAAATAAATAAAAACTGAATTTTATGAAGTTATTTAAATAAAATTGGAGCTTTCAAATTATGTTTTATACATGAACTTTAGTCTAAAATTTAATATTTTAACATTCACTTGGTAGCTAAAATGAGGAATTATGATCACAATTTCTATGTAATATCCATGTAATATATAGAACTCCATATATATGTATATGGAACACAGGTATACATGTACACATATATGTGTATACGTGTTCTATATATTTCTATTTTTCACATATATAGAACACATATCTATATTTCTGAACATATTATACACAAATATCCATCTATGTTTATACCTGCAATATAATTTTTTAATATTGCAACATGTTTCTCAGTGACCTTGTGCAGCTTTTTGGAGACAACATGCTAATTTGTGAGTACATCTAGAACCACAATATAGAAAACAAAGAGAAGCAAGTAAAATTTACTGGGTGGTGCTGGGAAATATTTTGTTTTGTTTTGTTTTGTTTTGTTTTGTTTTGTTTTGTTTTGTTTTTTGAGGTGGAATCTTGCTCTGTCACCCAGGCTGGAGTGCAGTGGGTGCAATCTTGGCTTACTGCAACCTCCACATCCCGAGTTTAAGTGATTCTCTTGCTTAGCCTCCCAAGTAGCTGGGATTACAGGTGTGCACCACCACTCCTGGCTAATTTTTGTATTTTTGGTAGACACAAAGTTTCATCATGTTGTCCAGTCTAGTCTCAAACTCCTGACTTCAAGTGATCTGCCTGCTTTGGCCTCCCAACGTACTGGGATTATAGACATGAACCACTGCACCTGGCTTGAAATAATACTTTTTATTCAACCATCCCCTGCATATGAGGTTTCTAGGTTTTTCTAGAAAGTGAGTGATTGCTTAACAGTCTAGGTGGTCAAACCTAGGATATTATGTGGATGCTTATATAAATATTTATAATGTAACTACTTTTCAAGAGAAATGTCATTCTTAGCCAGAGCTTACATTATAGAATTCTATTCTGCATTTTCACTCTGAGATCAAGTGTTTGACAAATAAGCACTTTTTTTTTTTTTGCCATTCACCTAAACATCTCTGCAACTCAGATCTTTCCACATACCAAAGCAGTAAAGCAATGTCCATCTCAGAAATGCCTAAGATAAAACACACAGATCTTAGGAGCATTGAAACAAGTCACCTCTGGTTTCAGGAACGTTTGTTGGTCAAGACTTGGAAACGTTTTTGGAGACATGAAAGGTGTTAGTCATGAGAACATATGCTCAGGGCTGCAGTTACACGATATTTGAGTTGAGCCCTGGCTCCCAAGTGACAGATTCCTGTTGTCCATCATTAATCCCATATGCATTTAATTGTTGACTTGTGTTTGTGATTCACAGTGTGTTCTAAGGCATGGGCCCTGGGTTAGGGACATTTTCTGTGCAGGTGTATGAACCATATTGCATTATGGGTTTTGGGATTTAGAAGCATAAACCATAGTTTAAAATATTCTTTTAAAAAATGTATTGATATATAATATTTGTACACATTTATGAGATAAGTGTCATATTTTGTTACATGCATAGAATTGTGTTAATGATTAAGTCAAGATATTTAGAATATCTTTAAGCTCTGTAATTGGATCTAATTTTCATAGTCAGTATTTTTTTTTTTTTTTTTTTTTGAGATGGAGTCTTGCTCTGTTGCCCAGGTTGGAGTGCAGTGGCACAATCTCGGCTCACTGTAAGCTCTATCTCCCAGGTTCATGCCATTCTCCCACCTCAGCCTCCCAAGTAGCTGGGACTACAGGCACCCGCCACCATGTGCAGCTAATTTTTTGTATTTTTAGTAGAGACAGGTTTCACCATGTTAGGCAGGATGATCTCGATCTACTGACCTTGTGATCCACCTGCCTTGGCCTCACAAAGTGCTGGGATTACAGGCATGAGCCACCATGCCTGGCCTCATTTTTAAAAATAGTATCTAAAATAAGGTAGGCTTTCCCTCTTAGAATTGCTCTGAGAAATAAGATAAGTACACCTTCCTAGTCTCTGAGGAATAAAAGATGACTTCACAGGAAAGATGTGACTTCAACTAAATCTTAGAGATTAAGATTATCAGGGTTTGAAGCAAAGAAAATAGCACAAAGGAAACAGTGAGAAAAGTAGAACTTTAAATTCTGCAATGACTTTTAAGGAAATATCCTAAAATGTGGAGAGGTATTTCTTGGCTAATTTGAGCACAGGGTCTCATACGCAGTTCCTGACATCTAGTAAGCATTCAGTGAATGCTTCCTACAATCAGTTATTCAATCAATCAGTCAATCAATGCTTGAATAGATAACAGGCTTCAATTTAATCTCCCCAGTAAACCTGTGGTCATATGAGCAACTGAAGGAGGGAAATATGTTCACATGCATATTTTAGGTGTCCAATTTTGGTTTAGGGGTCTGGAAAGAGATTGCATTTAATGAAAGCTCTTTTTCAGTGTTTGGGAGCTGGAGAGGAAAGAGCAAATAGTAAGGAGATTTAGGGACATCTAATATCCTAGTACTTCCATTACGAAGAACCAGAAATTGGGAAGTTTAAAACAGCAGAAATGTGTGGTCTTGCAATTCTGGAAGCCACAATTCCAAAATTCTGGGGAGAGGTCCATTTCTGGATTTAGCATTCAGCAGCACAAAATAAGAAAGATGGTAAAGATTAACATATATTGGGAATAATGTTGCTT
This sequence comes from Homo sapiens, assembly GCF_000001405.40. Classification (NCBI taxonomy): domain Eukaryota; kingdom Metazoa; phylum Chordata; class Mammalia; order Primates; family Hominidae; genus Homo; species Homo sapiens. Next base: position 17,222,417 of record NC_000024.10, read on the forward strand.
GTGCAGGCAACAATGGTATAAGTTGCCAGCAGTTCTTTATTTAATGGTACAAGTTGCCTTAGACATGCAAGAATAAAAGGAAATTACCATGCCCCATTGGGAAGATGAAATCCGTTGACTTCCAATTTTATAAAAAGATGTTGCCAGGGTTGGTTCCATCTGGAGGTTCTGAGGAAGGAATCCTTCTTAGATTCCCTCCTAGCTTTGTGGTAGCCAGCAATCTGTGGCATTCCCTGCCTTGAGTGTGGGTCACTCCAATCTCTAACTCTTCATCACGTGGTGTTATGTCTATGGATCTCTGTTTTCACATTGCAGTCTACTCACTGGAACATTGGTCATATTGGATTTAAAATCTACCCTATTCCAATATGACCTCATCCTAAACTAATTGCATCTGTAATGACCCTATTTTCAAATAAGGTCACATATTGAAGTACTAGGAGTCAGTACTTCAACATATTTTGGTAAGTGGGGGATACAATTTGATCCTTGAAAAGGAGGATACAATCCACATATCTTGGTAAATAACATGGCATGAAAAATGTCAATTTGTGGAAAATTATAAATAGTGCCCAGGTCTCTAAGTGGCCATGTAGATGAATTCGATATTAATGGAAATAGAGATCATCAGAGAAACCATATGTGTGGCATCCACTGGGTTTAGGAAGCCTAGAATCCTTTAAGAACCATTAGCAACAGGGAGTTGAACTTAGAAGATGCCAAAGCTCTTTGTGATCCACTTAATATAATTGTCTTATTTCTTCAATCAAGCAATTATTGCACTGTGCAAGTGCACAAAGAGAAAATGGTGTTACCTTATGTACTAATATGAAAAAGTGTCCAAGATTTATTGATGTATGACAAATGTATGGTACATAATACATTATACATAAAGTGCATTGTACATTCAAATGCAATGTACACAATGGATTGTGCATACAAGACATTCTACATACAAATGCATTGTACATCATGCATTGTACATACATACAATGATACATATGGTACATTCACATATATGCAAAATAATAATGTAAGTGGAATATGAATATATACTTTTGTTTTATATTTATACAATATCTTGGTGTGGGAAAAATAGGTGTTGGAAACTTTGACAGGAGAAGTGGGAGGAGTACTGAATATCATTTTGAGCCTCAGAACTTGGTACTGTTTTATAGCTTTCATTATGTTTAATTAACAGTTGGCTTGAAATAACTATTGACCCTGTATGTGTTTTGTTGAAATACTACTGAATCATCACCCTGAGGCTATGTGCATGTCGTTGCACCATGATTTGTAGAAAGAAGCTGAGATTGAATAATTCTGTGGCTGCATGAGTGGAGAACACCTTCCCTATCCTGACATACACTCTTTAAGCCTGTGAAGCTCACTTAAAGTCTAAACTTACAGCACCATAATGTCTCAAATAAAAGGTGAAGTAACAGGTGCATTTTTGGATTTAGAATCCAGCAGTGAAAAGTAATGAAAACAGTAAAGATAAAAATACATTAAAATGTAATATTGCTTGTGCATGCAACAACATGCAAGTTGCCAGTAGTTCTTTCCTAACTTCTTTATTTAATGATCCAAGTTGTCCTGGATATGCAAGAGGGGAAGGAGATAACCATGACCCTTTGGGAAGCAGAGATCCCATGCCTTACACTTGTACATTACACTGGTTTACAGCCAGGACTGTCTGTGTCATACTGGGCTTTGAACAAATCATTTATCTCTGAAGTTCCTCCCTTTGCACAGGTCCATCATTGGATGGAGTAAGTTTTACCACACAGCCAAGGCTCTGCTGTCTTGCCTCCCTCTGTCTTCCCTCTGGAAGACCACTTTATGTTAAATGAAATGGAAGATATTTGCTAAATTCCCAAGCAAATGTACAGTTGAAATGTGAAGGTGAAAGCAGCAAAATAGGACTTTAAATATGAACTCTGCACCTTCACTCTCATGAGTGGAGAGAAGGATGGGAGAAATAATTTGAATTCAGGTTGGTGAATTGGTGCTACATTAAATTATAATTCTGTAAAATGCCTACATTTTAAAACACTGTTGACTTCAGTAATGTTCTTCCACCATCAGAGACTTATGTTCCTAAAGTTAGGGTTTCTCACTGTGATTTTAATATTAATGTGTACTTAAAATATGCAGTTTTACATAGTAGGAAAATAAGGCACATTAAAGATTTATACCATATTAATAGGATCATAGCCAAATTCCCCCACTCACTCATTGATATGAATTACAGCTTCACGTGAAGTTTCAGAGTTATACACAATATGAACTGAACTACTTCAAAATGGTGACTGTTACTCCAATTGGAAGGCAAAGGGGTGAGAGGACATTGCAAAGATGTAAAAAAAAAAAAAAGTAGGGTACATTTCAAATCCAAGTGAAAATTAAGGTTATACATGTTAACAAGTTTCCATTGGAATTTAGAGATAACTCCTTGGCTCTCCAAAACACAAATTAGATAAATTGCCAGTTCTCCTGGCATTCATATCATGATCTAGTTTGTAAGTCATCATTTTAAATCCATTTTGACCCTGTTTTATTGCTTTCATTAAATAAATCTCAAAATTAATCCAAAAGGCAAACTAATAAAACAAACTCACATAAACCAACATGCAGAATAAACAAGTGTGAGTAGATTTATTCTCTTATCTTCACATTTGTATGTGTTTTGTGATTGCTGTAGTTAATATTAATTCATTTAAGCCCCCTTAGTTTTCAGTCCTGGTCTTCCATTTCCTTCATATTCAAAGGCAGCTACTTTGGTGAGATTGGTATTCATCATTCCCATTGTCATCTCTTTATAATTTTAATTAAAAAATGTATATCAATTTGTACACTGTTACAATTAGCTCTATAAGGATTTGTTTATTTAATGTTTTTCAAGCTCTAACCACATTGATGAGTATTTTAAGAAGCCATTAATTGGTAAGATTATTATGTCCGGCCAGGTAGCATTGCTCACATCTGTAGCCTCAGTACTTTGGGAGGCTACTTTGGGAGGATCGCTTGAGCCCAGGAGTTTGAGACCAGCCAGGGCAGCATAACAAGATCCTCCCTCTACAATTAATCAAAAAAAATTATCTGGGCATGGTGGCACAAGCCTGTGCTCCCAACCACATGAGAGGCTGAGGTGGGAGGACTGTTTGAATCCAGGAGGTTGAGACTACAGTGAGCTATGATTGCACCGTTGTACTCCAGTCTGAGTGACACAGTGATACCATGTTTCAAAAACAAAAATAGTTAAAGATTCCCACCAAAAATAATTTAGAAATGATAATTTTAAAAATTAAAAGATTATTATGTCTAAGTCACTTGCTTTTTTTTTTTTTTTTTTTTTTGAGATAGAGTCTTGCTCTGTCACACAGGTTGTAGTGCAGTGGTGTGACCTCATCTCAATGCAAGCTTCGCCTCCCAGGTTCAAGCAATTCTTCTGCCTCAGCCTCACGAGTAGCTGGGATTACAGGCCTGCACCACCATGCTTGGCTAATTTTTCTATTTTTAGTAGTGATAGAGTTTCACCATATTGGCCAGGCTGAAGACTGGTCACCATATTGGCCACAGGCCAAAGAACACCTATGGCTACCAGAATCTAGAAAGCCAAAGAAAAATCCTTCCCTAGACGCTCAGCGGAGAGCATGATGTCTAGTGATGTGTTGATTTTATACTTCTGGTCTCCAGAATCATAAAAATAAAACCATAAAAATCCTTCTCTAGAGGCTCAGTGGAGAGCAAGGTGTCTGATAACACCTTGATTTTATAATTCAGGTCTCCAGAACCATTAAAAAAAAAATGTGGTGTTCTATACCACCCAGTTTGGACCAGGCACAGTGGCTCATGTGTGTAATTTCAGTACTTTGGGAGGCTGAGGTAGGAGGATTACTTGAGCCCAGGAATTTAAGACCAGCCTGGGCAACACAGAAAAACCTAATTTTTGCAAAACATTAAAAAAGTTGGCCAGGCTTGATGGTATGCACCTGTAGTCCCAGCTACTTGGGAGGCTGAAGAAGAATAGCTCAAGCTTGCGAGGTTGAGGCTGCAGTGAGCCATGATCACACCACTGCACTTCAGCCTGAGAGACAAAGCAAGATTCTGTCTCTAAAATAACCAAACAAATAAACAAACAACAACAAAAATTCCCACCCAGTTTATGGTAGTTTGCTGTAGCAGCCCTAGCAAACTAATAACATTGATCTACATGTCTTCTTATGCATAGGGTAGAAACACCTCTAAGGAGGGAAGCTAGAGGTCCAACTTCTGAGCCAGAGCATATAAGTCATTGTTTTTCAACTTTAGTAAATAATCGTATATATCTCTCCCTATTGCTTGTAGCAATGGTTATTTCAAAAAAAAAACAAAAAACAAAAAAAGGACGGAATCACTATTCTCATGTAATCTTACACTTCACAGAGTTAGACTTTACCTTTTTTTATTTCTTTATATACACATTTTTTAAATTTACAAATAACTATTTATTTATAATGTACAAAATGATATGTTGATATATGAATGCATTCTGAAATGGCTGAATCAAGCTTTTTAACACATCAGACATCTCACCTACTTATCATTTTGTTGTAGCAAGAACTTTGTGTTTTGTTTTGTTTTTGAGACAGGGTCTTGCTCTGTCCTCCAGGCTGGAGTGCAGTGGCATCCTCATAACTTGCTGCAGCCTTGACCTCCAGGGTTCAAGTGATTCTTCCACCTCAGTCTCCTGAGTAGCTGGGAATGCAGGCATACACAACCACACGTGGATAATTTTGTTTATTTTTGGTAGAGTTATTGTCTTCCTATGTTTCCCAGGTTGAATTCAAGATTCTGAGCTCAAGCAATACTCTCACTTCATCTTCCCAAGAGGCATGAGCTATCATGACCATCGTGAGAACATTTAAAAATCTATTATTTTAGCAATTTTATGGTAGACGATACATTGTTATTAACTATAATCACCGTGAGTACAATAGAGCTCTTGAAATTATTCCTCTCATTTAACTAAAGTTTTGTGTCTTTTGACCAACCACTATTCTACTCTCTGCTTCTGAGTTCAACTGTTTTAGATTTCACATATAAGTGAGAACATGCAGTATTTATCTCTCTGTGCCTGGCTTATTTCACTTAGCATAACGTCCTCCAGGATCATCCATGTTGTAGTGAATGACAGAATTTCATTTATTAAGGCAGAATAGTATTCCATTGTGTTTAGGTACCACTTTTTCTTTTCCATTCCTCTATTGATAGACACTTAGTTTGATTATCCTTCTTATCTATTGTAGACAGTGTTGTGATGCATATGGGAGTGTTGATTGAAATTCCTTTCGATGTATACTGAGTAGTGAGATTGAAGGATCATATGGTAGTCCTATTTTTAAAGACTTTACATTTTGTTAATTATATGTATGTAATTATAGTATGTCTTTCTTTCATTAGAGAGATGCACAACATCTTTCCATATGTTTATTGGATGTTTCAATGTCCTGTTAAGTAATTTGCTTATTCTCATTTATGTCCTATTATCATTTTGTCTAATGTTTTAAATTCTCTTTTAAAAACTATTTACATATCACTGGTTTTATTCTTTTGCCTTTTATATCCATTGTAAATTTATTTGCACATTTCTTGTTTTCCAGATGTGTTTAGGTAGACTTTGACCGGAATTTTTTTTTTTTTCTTTCTTTTTTTTTTTTTTTTTTTTTTTTTTTTTTTGAGACGGAGTCTCGCTCTGTCGCCCAGGCTGGAGTGCAGTGGCGGGATCTCGGCTCACTGCAAGCTCTGCCTCCCAGGTTCACGCCATTCTCCTGCCTCAGCCTCCCAAGTAGCTGGGACTACAGGCGCCCGCCACTACGCCCGGCTAATTTTTTGTATTTTTAGTAGAGACGGGGTTTCACCGTTTTAGCCGGGATGGTCTCGATCTCCTGACCTCGTGATCCGCCCGCCTCGGCCTCCCAAAGTGCTGGGATTACAGGCGTGAGCCACCGCGCCCGGCCTTTTTTTCTTTTTTTTGAGACAAGTCTCACTCTGTTGCCCAAGCGGTGGTGTAGTGACACCATCTTGGCTCACTGCAACCTCTGCCTCCTGGGATCAATCAATTCTTGTGCCTCCACCTCCCAAGTAGCTGGGATTACAGATGCATGCCACCATGCCCAGCTAATTTTTGTATTTTTAGTAGAGATGGGGTTTCACCATGTTAAGCAGAATGTTCTTGAACTCTTGACTTCAAGTGATCCACTCACTTTGGCCTCCCAAGTGCTGGGATAACAGATGTGGGTCCCCACACGTGGCTGACCACAAGATTTTATTTCAAAATCCATTTTGCCATTCTTTACTTTAAGATTTGCACATTTTATCTTCTATTATAAAAATTATTCAAGTCATACATTAAAATTTTTTTTCAAGTTTTAGTTACTTAATGTATATTTACTTTATTGTGGTATCACATTTGAGTAGCTGTTTTGTTTTCCATATGGAAACCAATTTCCCCACATTTATGGAAATTGCATAATTTCATCTTTTATTTATAACACCATGTCTCTATAATGCATATGCATATATCTCAATGACAGTCTGTGTATGCATCTCATTCTACGCTCTCAAATTTTTAATTATCTTTATATTCTTAAAATAATTTGCACTGTATCAATTTGCTAGAGCTTCATAATAAATTTATTTATGATTACCTAGTCTAGTCCAAAGAAAAATTTGCATGATGAATTCTGTTTCCAAAGATGCCCCATTCTCCCAACCCATAAATTCTTTAGCAATGTTGCCTTCACATTAAATGCTGCAGTCTTTTCTTGAAACTGAGCTGGTTCTAGGCTCTGTTTTGATCAGTAAAATGTGATGAAAGTGAAACTATGTCATTTCCTAAGATGGGATTCCAGAGATCTGCAGACCTCACCTTTGTTGCTGTGAACACTCCTTCTTGGAACTCAGCTGCCATTCTGTAAGGACGCTCAAGCTATCATTAGGATAGAGTCACACGGAGAAGAACCATAGCCTCTGACCAGCAGCCTCAGCTTTGCTGTCTACCACCAATCTCTCAGCTGGACACATGAGTGAAGTCTTTTTAAACCCTGTACCCCAGACAAGCCATCATTTGAAGCAGCTAAATAAATGCCCCAATGTAACCACCCAACGGGTTCACCTTGCCCTCTTACTAGACAGAGCCAATTTATCGACAGGGCAATTGCAGTGGAGAAAGAGTAATTCACACAGAGCTGGTTGTGTGGAAGACCAGAGTTTTAATATTACTCATATCAGTCTCCCAGAGCATTCAGAGATTGAAGTTTTTAGGGATAATTGGGTGAGTAGGGGCTCAGGAAGAAGGGAGTGCTGATTGGTTGGGTTGGAGATATAATCAAAGAGGGTCGAAGTAAGGTTTTCTTTCTGTCTTCTATTCCTGGGTGGGATTGCAGAACTGGTTGAATGAGATTACTGGTATGGGAGGTATCAGCTGGTAAATCCACTACAAGGTCTGCAAAATACCTTAAGTACTAATCTTAGGCTTTATAATAGTGATGTGCCCAGGAGCAATTTGGGGAGGTTCAGACACTTGAAGCCAGAGACTGCATGGCCCCTAAACTGTTATTTCTAATTTTGCAGCTAATCCTTAAGTACTGCAAAGGCAGATTGGTTCTCAGGCAAGGGAGGTTTTTGTTTGTTTGTTTGTTTTTTGTTTTTTGTTTTTATTTTTGGCGGGGGTGAAGGGGAAAGGAAAGAACTATGATCAATTTTGTGTGGGACTTACACTATAAACTAAATTCCTTCTCAAAGTTAGTTCAGCCTATGCCTAGAAATGAGCATGGACAAGTTAAATGCTAGAAACAAGATGGAGTCAGTTAGGTCTTATCTCTTTCACTGTCATAATTTCCTCAGTTACAATTTTTGCAAAGGCAGTTTCAGCAACCATCATCATGAAAAGTAGAACCTCCTCCCCCACTGTAGCTGATCTCAAACCCTGATCTATACAGGTTCATGAAGAAATAGAGTGGTTGTCTTCAGTCACTAATTTTTAGGCTCATGTATTACATACCAATTGGTAACTGAAACTATTCTATTTGATTTTTTTTTTTTAAATGACATCTCCATCTTTAGCCCTGGCTGGAGTGCAGCGGGACGATCTCAGTTCACTGCAACTTCTGTCTCCCGGTTTCAAGCAATTCTCCTGCCTCAGCCTTCAGAGTAGCTGGGGTTACAGGTGCCTGCCACCACATCCAGCTAATTTTTGTATTTTTAGTAGAGACTGGGTTTCATCATGTTGGCCAGGCTGTTCTCAAACTCTCCACCTGAAGTGATCTGCCCATCTCAGCCTCCCAAAATGCTGGGATTACAGGTGTGAGCCACCATGCCTGGCCTCTATTTGAAATTTATCTGGAGTTGCATCTCATGAATAGATGTAAGATCAAGACTGATTTGCCTCTAAAACATTGAATATCCCTATCTCTGCTTATGGTACCATTTTCCTGAAAGAAAAATTAGTTTTCAGTGCCTTGGCCTTGGATTACAGACTTATTTACTCATTGGCAAACTTCATCAACCCTTTTACTATTCTAATGATGACATTATTTATACTAATTTCTTGTATGTTATTTTGTATTATTCTGCAGCTATATAATGATAATATTTTCTTTATCTTTATAAACAAATAACCCTTCCTATTTCTCTTACATTTTGAATGTCAGGAATCCTAATAGAGCACTGAGTAATAAAAGGTGATTATAAGAATCAGTGTCTTTTTTACTTTGAAGCATAGAAATGTATGCACATTTATATGAGTGTTTGAAGCTTTCAGTATCAGATTTTTTAATGGTTTGATAGAACACATTTATGATTTTTAGATTTACTAGATTTTTGATGAGAGATTCTATTTTTCTAATGGAAACTTGTCTTTTGAGAGTTTTGTGTCATTGTTCATAAATTCAAAACATTTAGGGTGGTCTATTACATTCTAAGGTGTTGTAATAGATTGGTGAAGAAAACCAAATAAAGTTTCTACTTTCATGAACTTTTTTTTCTTCCTGGAGTGAACAAAGGAAAAGAATGTGTAAAGTAAGTAACTTGTGTGGCATTTTGGGAATTGATGCTTGCTATTGAAACATAGAAAAGTGCATTGGCTTAAGTGGGTGGAAAGCACTGCAGAGGGGAGCCAGACATTGCATTGAAGAGTGGCCAGGGTCCCTTTCCTTGGGGAGGTGGTGTTGGAGCAATGATTTGAAAGTGGTGGTGAGAAAGTTGGTAAAGCAGGTATCTGGGGGACTAGGTCACTAGGGAGTGAAAATACCAAAATTAATATCCCCAAATTGTTCCAGGAAGATCCAAGGATCCAGGAGAGATGAAACTTATTGAACAAAAACATACATAGGATACCAGATTCAATACAGAACCAAGAGTAAGCCTTTGGGTGATGCTGAAAATCATGCATGGTCAAACTTCTTTCATTAGCAATTCATGGGTCTATCATTCCCACACCTGCTGCTTAAAAAAAATGCATTGTACTTTAAGCCAGCCATAACTTTATGGGATAATTATTCCAATTAGAACATTTTTCTCTGCCTAGCATAAAATTTTCACCATTTTTTCTATTACATTTAATCAAACAAGTAATAACTAAGTGCATCTGTAGTTTGGAAAATAAAATGAAACAAAAGGAGAAGGAGTAAAAGTAAAAATTCTAACCGTCCCTTTCCCCACAATAATAACCCCATGCCTGATACATATATTAGGAATTTGAAGAATCTCCCTGAGTCCTGCTACATCAGCACTTTTGGGATTAATCCATGGGTGTTGAAAGGAATGAATTGTATGTTTGGGGAAATGATTCAGATTACCTTTGCTAATTGTTTCTTTGAAATCCTGAGTATTTCAAATATGTTCGAATTAACATGAAATACCGGTTTCTGAGGAAATATGATTAAAGTCTCTAAATATAAATAGGCCTTTTCAATTTGTTTTTTAATTTCTACAGTGATTGCTCCATGGTTATTGAAGTTTCTTAAAGAATCATACTACATATAGTTATAAAATAACTCTCTTTTCTCAGTTACATTTTCATCCTGGGTTTTATATTAATTTAATAGTTACACTATTTTCCTGAAAGAAAAATCAGTTTTCTGTGCCTTGGTCTTGGATTACAGACTTATTTACTCATTGGCAAACTTCATCAGCCATTTTACTATTCTAATGATAATATTATTTACACTTTATTTGTCACTGTTTACCTGGGATAATATTTCTATTGCTTTATTTTCAACTTTTTCTTTGTTATTTATGTTTTAAGTATTTTTAAATTAAACCATATAGCTGGATGGTGCTTTTCTTATCCAATATAAGAATGTTTTAATTTTGATGAGTATCTTATTTAGTTTGCATTTGTTAATGTATCCATTTTATCTCATGTTTTCTTTTATATTCCAACTGGCATATGAGTGTTTCTTTTGTCATTCCTTTTATTATTTTTCCATCTGTTGTTCTTGCTAGACTGAGTATGAGTAAAGTGGTCTTCTTGTGCCAGATGGCTATGTGTGAACTTATTTACATTCACATCTGTTGTAGACCTAAAATCAATAAAGCTGTAAATATTCTTTAAAAAACATATTTAGGGCTTAGGTCAATATTAGAAGTAATTATCACATATTCTTCAATTTGTGGAGTTTTTGGAATAAGCCAAAATCCTTTAACACCTAAAAAAGGATAGCATACTAATGTATTGATAATTAACACTCAGAGTCAAATTTCTAAGTAATTTTCATTTCTGTCAGTATTCATTAGAATTAAATTTTACTGTGTGCACAAGCCTTAATCTAATCAGAAAATCCATTAAAAAAAAAAAAAAAAAACTTCTCTGATCAGTCATGGGAAGAAAAAATTTGGCATCATTACCCAAAAGGCAGCAAACTGTATGAAATCTAAGACATTGTTTACACTAAACTTATTTTCATATTCCCTGGCACTGCATAATTCAAACCCCCCCTGTGCTAAATGGGATATTTTCATCTTTAACATGAAGAGGAAAAAATATAACCTTTTAAAAGCAAATATTCAGGTGGGAATGTTAGGTGTTTGCCTGAAAAGCCATTCATTTTTGCTTCAGCAAAGCAATTTGCAGTAGAGAATGATTTCCATCTCAGCTAGAAGACTGGAAAATGAGACTGTAAGTGGGAGTGTTTTACCGGGCCTCTTAGCTTTGGATCCCAGTCTTGCCAAGCTACGTGATGATATTTTAGCACTTTTTGTAATCTTGCCCTGATTTTCAGAGGATGTGTTTGGGTTTTCTGCCATTTAGTGCTCTGGTTGGAATTTGAATCTGGATGGATCTTTAGGCAAATTTAAATTTTGGTTTATGAATGAAGAGCAGACCTTTTTATAATGATTCCCAAATTAAACAAAATTCTTCAAATACAAATGGTAATTGGCTTATTTCAATCTCAAAGGAGTTGGCATTCACAGGAAACATTCCCAACTTTCTTGTGTGGGGCAGTCCGTAGAATACAAACATTAGCCAAGCAGAGGCCTCAAAGGCCTGTGTATTTCTACAGTCACAGTGAACTCAACAAAATTGAATTCTGCAAGTTCTTTCTTAAAAGTATGCATTAGCATAGATATAAATAGAATAACTACTTTCCCTTGGAGGTGAAAGTAACTTGCTGTAGGAAAAAAAATATTTTCTCTAACATCATATTAGAAATCTCTTCTCTCTCTTTGACTAAAACTATCTGCCTTACTAATTAAAAATTTGAAGGATGCTGAGAAACGTGGAGCTTTGAGTAAGAATAAAAGAACATTCTAGTATTGAAAGAAGACAGCTTTCAGAGTTTGAAAGAACAACATTCTTAGAACTTGCATATATATACTTAGGAAAATTAAAAATGACCATCTGTGCAAATGGTCATAAACTCAGGTAGCAGTAGAATCCTGGCACAGGGGTGTGAAGAATTTACTCTGAATTCCTGAGCTATTTTCCCTTTGCTAAATCATTTACATCTCTAAGACACAAGTTTCTTTCTTTACCTTTCTTTCTTTCCTTCCTTCCTCTCTTTCTTTCTCTCTTTCTTTTTCTTTCTTTCTTTTTCTTTTTCTTTCTTCCTCTCTTTCTTCCCCTTCCTTCCTTCCTTTCTTTCTTCTTCCTTTCTTTCTTTCTTTCTTTCTTTCTTTCTTTCTTTCTTTCTTTCTTTCTTTCTTTCTTTCCTTCTTCTCTCCTCTTTTTTTTTGAGAAGGAGTGTCACTCTATTCCCCAGGATGTACTGCAGTAGCATGATCTTGGCTCACTGCAATATCCATCTCCAGGTTTTAAGCAATTCTCCTGCCTCAGACTCCTGAGTAGCTAGGATTATAGGCACCCACAACCACACCTGGCTAATTTCTATATTTTTAGTAGAGACTGGGTTGCACCATGTTGACCAGGCTGGTCTTGAGCTCCTGACCTCAAGTAATCCACCCACCTCAGCCTCCCAAAGTGCTGGGATTATATGTGTGAGCCACTGAGTCTGGCCTCAACTTTCTTTTTTTATATTTTATTTTATGTTCTGGAGTACAGGTGCAGGATGTGCAGGTCTATTGCACAGGCACACATTTACCTAGGTTCAACTTTCTCAGTTGTAAAAAGCCAATAAATTATAAGACAGTGTTTGTGCACTTTAGACAGTTACAGAATTATTCATTACTTTGAATGTTGTTCTGAATTTGTGGAGGAACTAGATTTGGATTACTAAAAGTTACTGGTGAGAACATTTATTCAAGAGTAACATTTTGGAAACCCATTGCCTTCCAAGACTGAAGTCAAGTTTCAAGTGCAGCACTGCAGAGAGGTAATGAAACCACTTTTGCAAAATTTATAACACTAAGAAAATTATGACTGTGAAAGAGATCTGTCCTAACTCCATCTTTCCTTTAGTCTCCAAACTGCCCTGGTCATTCCTCGGCATGTGCCAAACTAACTTTGGGAGAACTTCAGTTTGTACTTTAAATGATAATAGCCCTTCCCAAAATTAAACTGCCTTTGTAAAACTAATGAAAGGCCACCAGCTTAGGAGAATGACAGCTGCCTGAAGTGTGCTAATATATAGGTGACATGGTTTGTCTGTGTCCCCACCCAAATCTCATCTTGAATTAAAGCTCCCAAAATTTTCATGTGTCATGGGAAGGACCTGGTTGGAGATAATTGAATCATGGGGGTGGGTTTTTCCCATGTTATTCTCGTGATAGGAAATAAGTCTTATAGGTCTGACGGTTTTATAAGAGAGAGTTCTTCTGCACCTATTCTCTCTTGACTGCCACCATGTAAAATGCACCTTTGCTTCTCCTTTGCCTTCTGCCATGATTGTGAGGCCTCCCTAGACATGTGGAACTGTGAGTCCATTAAATCTCTTTCCTTTATAAAGAGACATACCAGTCTCAGATACGTTTTTATTAACAGCATGAAAACACACTAATACAATAGGTGAAGTTAAACCATTACCATTACCAACCATTATTCTGAAGGTCACAAGATTTGCAAATTCCTGAAATTCTCCTGTAAATAACATTGCTGGGCCAGGTGTCAGAGCCCCAGCTTCAGGAATTGGTCACCTTCAGGTTGATAAGAATTCACCAACAACAGTGTAGGTTTGTAAAAGGAAGTTCTACAAGATAGAAAGAACACCGTAGCAGGGTGCAGGGGGAGAGGAGTACCTTAGTGAGAGAGGACTGAGAGCACTGCAGTAGATTTTTCTGTAGAGGTGTTTATGAAACTTAAAGGGGTAGGTGAAGGGTAATTTTCATGATAAATGATTACATTTGTAGACATTTTGGTGCCTTTATGTGGGCAAATGTTATACAATGAGTTTCAGTTTGCATGCATTTGGAGATGTGTAGAAATTCTAATTACTTATGAAAATTGAGAGTCCTGGAAACAGATGCTACCTTTAGATACCAGGGAAGTTTAATTACTTCTAAATTCCCCAGATGAAGTTTGTCTCTGGATGTCCTGTTTGATGGTCATCAGGTGGTCTTTGTTTTCTTCTAAATTCCTCAGAGAGGGAGTTTTTGTCACAAGGACCTGTTCAATGGTCCCTAGGTGATATTCACTCTTCTTAAACATCACTATTGTAGAACCTAAGACTGGCCTTTTTTGATGTCTTTTCAGATTTTTACATTTCTGATGACCAGATGGCTCCAGACTCAAGATTCATGACTCAGTGATCCTGTGGTCCCAGCTAGAAGGGAACTCAGCACACAAGGACCATCTTCCACACCCCTCTGATTGCATACACAACCAATTGGCAGCATTCATTCTCTAGCCCACTGGCTGTCAAACTGTCTCCACATTTTTGATGAGGCTGATTTGGACAATAATAAAACTCTGGTCTCCCATTTAGCTGGCTCTATGTGAATTAAACTCTTTCTCTATTGCAATTCCCCTGTCTTGATAGATCAGCTCTATCTGGGCAGTGGGCAAGATGAACCCATTGGGCAGTTACAGGAAGGCAGCAGGAATCTTTAGATTAAGACCAGATGTGAGGGCTGCATCATCATGACATGAGGCATGAAACCAAATCAGTCTCTTTTGACCCTGAAGAATTTACCAGGGCTTTTATGCTCCTGCCAAATAGAGTTGAGCCAACTGGCAGGGCATAGAACTGTGAATTCTGCAAAATGGATATGGCTTAGAGAAAAATGGGATGACTATGCAATGATCAGTGATTCCTAGATAAGCTTGTAATCATAATAGATTCACTGTGTGATGTACACAGCAATATGGAGAGACATTGGATTGCAACACAGAAAGATAGCCTCCAAACAAAGAGAGAAGAGAAAACCTCAAATTCATCTTTCAAGGAATTTGGTGCCAGGGTTTTTAAGAGTTTTAGAGTGGGCTGAAGTGTGGAGATGGTTGATTGGTGGGAGACTGCAGGATAGAGTCACGAGTCAGAGAGAGGAAGAAGCTGTGTTCTCATGCTGATCGCATTCCTCTGTGGACATCTTCAAATTGTTGCCAGAATTCAGGGCCTGAAAAACATTTTAAGAAATTCTTAAACAAATGTCTTATGATTCTAATGTCAGAGATATTGCCTATAGGAGCAATGAGGATATAAAACAGTATTAACAATTCTTAAACAGTATTATGATGCTAATGTCAGATATCCTATCTGTAGGAGCATTATGGATACAGATTAGTTTCTAGTGCTACAGGGCTTTTAGCAACAGGGATGTGGGCCAAAGTACAGCCTGATTCATACTTAATTACAAGTGTGTTTATGTCCAGAACCTGACATGCAATTCTTGTTAACCCTGTGAGGATGGTTTCTATAGTTCACAGGACCATGTATTTTGCAACATGGATACAGATGAGAAAAAAATTGAATGACTATGCAATGATCAGAGATTTCCTGATATATTTAGAAATTGTTGTATTATAGACCGAGAGCAAGCTAGCCATGGTTAATGAGCAGCCCCCAAAGACAGTTTCAGTGTCTGCTTCATTGCTTCTGCAAAATTTCACCTTTAGATTGCACTCATGTCCTTGACCCTAGGAGGAACAACAGGTAAATAATGCACCTGGATAGCCCCTGAGTGATACCTCCTGCATCTGTATCAGCTCATTCTAAGAGCAGATTCTGACCTTGAAGCTACTCTGTGTCCTATCAGTTGGCTTGCTCTGCAAGCCTATTTTTGAAACTGCATTTGTAAAAATTATGACAGTGAGAGAAAGCTAATATAACTGACTCCATATTGCTTTTAATCTTACAAGTGAACTGCCTTCATTAACTTTAAAAACTTCATAAACTTTGAAAACTTTATTTTAAAGTTAAAACAAAGATGACATGATTCCTTCTCAAAACTAACCCCTTCCTTTCTTAGGGAGAGAAATAACCTTTATAATACTAATGGAAAGCCACAAGGTTAGGATTATGGGGATGGGGGACCTGATTTCTGATAAGATGTAGGTGTATTTAAATCTTAACCAGCCATTGTTCCCTGGTTTGCCTTTCTGTAGCATCTTACTGCCCAAGAGTCATTTAGCTGGAGGTCAAAAGATTTTTAACTTCCCCATTTGCTTCTAGAGATAGCAACATTACTGTGAAAACCTAAGATTGGTCTTTGAGATATTTTTCAGACGTCTGCTTTCTGGCTAAATGACTGACCTGACATCAGCCAAATCTACCCAGACCCATGAGTCATGACTCATGACTCAACTAGTCTTGTGGCCCTCACCCAGAGGTGGAATTGGCATACGAGGACTGTTTCCCACACCCCTGTGATTTCATCCCCAACCCATCAGGAGTACCTATTCCCTAGCCTCTTGTTCACCAAATTATCCTTAACCTTTCTCCCATTTAGGAAAAAAAATATTACAGCTTTCTGCCAGCAATCATTTAATTTTACATGAACACACTCTTTGAGGTTGAAGCTGGCATGACTGATTTTCAACGTGAAAATAAAAGGTAAAACTGTTGTAGTTATTACTAAAGAAAAATAATATCAAAGTTGTCTAAATCATCAGAATTGTCTATTTTGGGAAAACGGGATTCATCAAATGAACCTTTGGTCAATAAATGTTGGAGATCAATGTTAACATCACACATAGCAAAGATATGTCTTCTAGGATTTGATATTTTCAGCTATCAAGAATTACTGTACTTAGTAAATGGAAATACCATTACTATGAACGGAATGCTAAAAATAGAATGATGTCTTTTGTTTCCGAAGTCAATATACTACAGCGAAGCAATAATAATAATAAAAGCGAGATATTTCATGGCAAAGTTATCTCGGGGTAAATGTTGGCAGAACTGCCAGTGACTATTCTCACCACAAACAGGAAAAGGTTAAAAACCCTAGCTTCTGAGCTGCCAGAGAGGCAGATTTGAGAAATGTCTCCCATTCTTCCACTGGGCTTCCTTGCAATAATTTAACTCTTTCTGTACTACATCACTTTTTTAGTGAATTGATTTTGCGAAGCAGACAAGAAAAACCAATTGAGTAGTTACATTTTCTCTTTTCTTTTTTTAAAATTACACTCTAAGTTCTGGGGTACATGTACAGAATGTGTAGATTTGTTACATAGGTATACATGTGTCATGGCGGTCTGCTGTACCCATCAATCCGTCATCTACATTAGATATTTCTCCTAGTGCTATTCCTTCCCTAACCTCCCACCCCCTGACAGGCCCTGGTGTGTGATGTTCACCTCCCTGTGCCCATGTGTTCTCATTGTTCGCCTCTCACTTATGAGTGAGAACATGGAGTGTTTGGTTTTATGTTCTCGTGTTAGTTTGCTGAGAATGATGGTTTCCAGTGTCATGCATGTCCCTGCAAAGGACATGAACTCATCCTTTTTAATGGCTGCATAGTATTCTATGGCGTTTATGTGCCACATTTTCTTTATCCAGTCTATATCACTGATTGGCATTTGGATTGGTTCCAAGTCTTTCCCATTGTGAACAGTGCCATAATAAACATACATGTGCATGTTTCTTTATAGTAGAATGATTTATAATCCTTTGGGTATATTATATACCCAGTAATAGGACTGGGTCCTATACCACTTGGTCAAGTGGTATATCTAGTTCTAGATCCTTTAGGAATCACCACACTGTCTTCCACAATGGTTGAGCTAATTTACACTCCCATCAACAGGGTAAAACATTCCTATTTCTCCACAACCTTTTCAGCATCTGTTGTTTCCTGACTTTAATAATTGTCATTCTAACAGTTGTGAGATCGTATCTTATTGTACTTTTGATTTGCATTTCTCTAATGACCAGTGATGATAAGCTTTTTTCATATGTCTGTTGGCTGCAAAAATGTCTTCTTTTGAGACTTCTTTTGAAACTACTTATTCTACTTAGCAATTCATCTAACCTTTCATATCCTTTGCCCAATTTTTGATGGAGTTGTTTGTTTTCTTCTGGTAAATGTGTTTAAGTTCTTTGTAGATTCTGGATATTTGCCCTTTGTCAGATGGATCGACTGCAAACATTTTCTCTCATTCTGTAGGCTGCCTGTTCACTCTGATGATAGTTTCTTTTGATGTGCAGAAGTTCTCTAGTTTGATTAGATTACATCTGTCAATTTTAACTTTTATTACCATTGCTTTTGGTGTTTTAGTCATGAAGTATTTGCCCAAGCCCTTGTCCTGAATGGTATTGCCCAGGTTTTCTTCTAGGGTTTTTATGGTTTTAGGTTTTACATTTAATTATTTAATCCACCTTGAGGTAATTTTTGTACAAGGTATCAGGAAGGGGTCCAGTTTTAATTTTCTGCATATGCTAGCCAGTTTTCCCAACAACATTTATTAAATAGAAAAACATTTCCTCATTGCTTGTTTTTGTCAGGTTTGTCAAAGATCAGATGATTGTAGATGTGTAGTGTTATTTTTGAGGCCTCTGTTCTGTTCCATTGGTCTATACATCTGTTTTGGTACCAGTACCATTTGTTTTGTTTATTGTAGACTTGTAGTATACTTGAAAGTCAGGTAGCATGATGCCTCCAGCTTTGTTCTTTTTGCTTAGGATTGTCTTGGTTATGCAGGCTCTTTTTTGGTTCCACATGAAATTTAAGTTTTTTTTTCTAATTCTGTGAAGAAAGTCAATGGTAGCTTGATGAGCAGAGCATCAAATCATAAATTACTTTGGGCACTATGGCCATTTTTGCAATATTGATTCTTCCTATCCATGAGCATGGAATATTTTTCCATTTTTTGTATCCTCTCTTATTTCCTTAAGTAGTGGTTTGTAGCTCTCCTTGAGGAGATCCTTCACATCCCTTGTAAGTTGTATTCTTAGGAATTTTAATCTCTTTCTAGCAATTGTAAATGGGAGTTCACTCATGATTTGGCTCTCTGTCTGTTATTGGTGTATAGGAATGTTTATGATTTTTGCACATTGAAGTTGTATCCTGAGACTTTGGTAAAGTTCTTTATTAGCTTAAGGAGATTTTGGGCTGAGACAATGATGTTTTCTAAATGTACAATCATGTCATCTGCAAACAGAGACAATGTACTTCCTCTTTTCCTATTTGAATACCTTTTATTTCTTTATCTTACCTGATTGCCCTGGCCAGAACTTCTAATACTATGTTTAATAGGAGTGGTGAGAGAGGGCATCCTTATCATGTGCCGGTTTTCAAAGGGAATGCTTTCAGTTTTTCCTCATCCAGTATGATATTGGCTATGGAACTGTCATAAATAGCTGATATTATTTTGAGATATGTTCCACCAATACCTAGATTATTGAGAGATTTTAGCATGAAGGGGTGTTAAATTTTGTCGGATGCCTTTCTGCATCTATTGATTTAATCATATGGTTTCTGTCATTGATTCTGGTTATGTGATGAATTATGTTTATTGATTTGCACCCTAGGTATGAAGCTGACTTAACCTTGGTAGATAAGCTTTTTGATGTGCTGCCGGATTCAGTTTGCCAGTATTTTATTGAGGATTTTTGCATTGAAGTTCATCAGAGATATTGACCTATAATTTTGTTGTTGGTGGTGATGTTGTTGTTGTTGTTGTTGTTGTTGTGCCTCTGCCAGGTTTTGGTATCAGGATAATGCTGGCCTCATAAAATGAGTTACGGAGGATCTCCTCTTTTTCTATTTTTTGGAATAGTTTCAGAAGGAATAGTACCAACTCTTGTTTGTACCTCTGGTAGAATTCGGCTGTGAATCCATCTGGTCCTGAACTGTAATTGATGGTTAATTACTGCCTCAATTTCAGAACTTGTTATTGTTCTATTTAGGGGATTGACTTTTTCCCAGTTTAGACTTGGGAGGGTGTATATGTCCAAGAATTCGTCTATTTCTTCTTGATTTTCTAGTTTATGTGTGTAAAGGTATTTATAGTATCCTCTTATGGTAGTTTGTATTTCTGTGGAATCAGTGGTGATATCCCCTTTATCATTTTTTATTGCATCTATCGGAATCTTCTGTCTTTTCTTCATTAGTCTTGCTTGCAGACTATTTTGTTGGTCTTTTCAAAAAACAGCTCCTGGATTCATTGTCTTTGTTTTTTTTTTTTTTATGGTTTTTCATGTCTCTATCTCCCTCCATTCTGCTCTGATCTTAGTTATTTCTTACTCCTGCTAGGTTTTGAATGTGTTTGGTCTTGCTTCTCTAGTTCTTTTAATTGTGATGTTAGAGTGTCAATTTTAGATCTTTCCTGCTTTCTTTGTGGGCATTTAGTGCTATAAATCTCCATCTAAATACTGCTTTAACTATTTCCCAGAGATTCTGGTACATTGTGTATTTCTTTTCATTTGTTTCAAAGAACATCTTTATTCTGCCTTAATTTTGTTATTTATTGAGTAGTCATTCAGGAGCAGGTTGTTCAGTTTCCTTGTAGTTGTGTGGTTTTGAGTGTGTTTCTTAATCCTGAATTCTAATTTGATTGCACTGTGGTCTGAGATACTGTTTGTTATGATTTCCACTATTTTGCATTTGCTAAGGAGTGTTTTACTTCCAATTATAAGATCAATTTTGTCACAAGGGCAATGTAGTGCTGAGAAGAGTGTATATTCTGTTCATTTGGGGTGGAGAGTTCTGTAGATTTCTACTAGGTCTGCTTGGTCCAGAGCTGAGTTTAAGTCCTGAATATCCTTGTTAATTTTCTGTCCCATTGATCTGTCTAATATTGACAATGAGGTGTTAAATTCTCTCACTATTATTGTGTGGGAGTATAAGTCTCTTTGTAGGTCTCTATGAGCTTGCTTTATGAATCTGGGTGCTCCTATATTGAGGGCATATATGTATAGGATAGTTAGCTCTTCTTGCTGCATTAATCCCTTTATAATTATGGAATGCCCTTTTTTTTATCTTTTTTGATCTTTGTTGGTTTAAAGTCTGTTTTATCAGAGACTAAATTGCAACCCCTGCTCTTTTTTTTCTTTCCATTTACTTGGTAAATATTCCTCCATCCCTCTATTTTGAGTCTATGTGTGTCTTTGCTCATGAGATGGGTCTCCTGAATACAGCACACCGATGGTTGTTGACTGTTTATCCAATTTGCCAGTCTGTGTCTTTTAATTGTGGCATTTAGCTCAATTACATTTATGGTTAATATTGTTATGTGTGAATTTGATCCTGTCATTATTATGCTAGCTGGTAATTTTTCCCATTAGTTGATGAAGTTTCTTCATAGTGTCGATGAAGTTTACCATTTGGTATGTTTTTGGAATGGCTGGTATCGATTGTTCCTTTCCTTGTTTAGTGTGTCCTTCAGGAGCATAAGACACACCTGGTGATGACAAAATCTCTCAGCATTTGGTTGTCTGTAAAGGATTTTATTTCTCCTTTGCTTATGAAGCAGATATGAAATACTGGGTTGGAAACTCTTTTCTTTAAGAATGTTGAAAATTGGCTCCCACTCTCTTCTTGCTTTGTAGGGTTTCTACAGAGAGGTCTGCTGTTATTCTGATGGGCTTCCCTTTGTAGGTAACCTGACCTTTCTCTCTGGCTGCACTTAACACTTTTTCTTTCATTTCAGCCTTGTAGAATCTGATGATTTTGGGTCTTGGGGTTGCTCTTCTCAAGGAGTATCTTTGTGATGTTCTCTGTATTTCCTGAATTTGAATGTTGGCCTGCCTTGCTAGGTTGGGGAAGTTTTCCTGGATAATATCCTGAAGAGTGTTTTCTAATTTTGTTCCATTCTCCCCATCACTTTCAGGTGCACCCATAATATGTAGATTGGGTCATTTCACATAGTCCCATATTTCTTCAAGATGTTTTTTGTTCCTTTCATTCTTTTTTCTCTAATCTTGTCTTCTCACTTTATTTCATTAAGTCGATCTTCAGTCTCTGATATCCTTTCTTCCACTTGATTGATTCGGATATTGATACTTGTGTATGCTTCACAAAGTTCTCGTGCTGTGTTTTCCAGCTCCATTAGGTCACTTATGTTCTTCTCTAAATTGGCTATTCTAATTAGCAGTTCATCTAACCTTTCTTCAAGGTTCTTAGCTTCCTTGCATTGGTTTAGAACCTGCTCCTTTTGCTCAGGGGAGGTTGTTATTACCCACCTCTGAAGCCTACTTCTGTCAATTCTTCAAACTCATTCTGTATCCAGTTTTGTTCCCTTGCTGGTGAGGGTTTGTAATCCTTTGGCAGAGAAGAGGCACTCTGGTTTTTGGAATTTTCAATCTTTTGCGCTGTTTTCTCCCCATCTTCATGGTTTTAACTACCTTTGGTCTTTGATGGGATCTCTGAGTGGACGTCCTTTTTGTTGATGTTGATGAGATTGCTTTACCTTTGTTAGTTTTCCTTCTAACAAGCTCCTCTGCTGCAGGAGTTTGCTGGGGGTCCACTCCAGACCCTGTTTGCCTGGGTATCACCAGAGGAGGCTGCAGAACAGAAAGATTACTGCTGTTTCTTTCTTCTGGAAGCTTCTTATAGAATCCTTCTCAGCCTGGGCTGGGCACTGTGGTTTAAGCCTGTAACACCAGCACTTTGGGAGGCCGAGACAGCAGATCACTAGGTAAGGAGTTCAAGACCAAATCAGCCTGACCAAGATGGTGAAACCCCATCTCTACTAAAAATACAAAAATTAGATGGGCATGGTGGCATATGCCTGTAGTCCCAGCTACTCAGGAGGCTGAGGCAGAAGAATCACTTGAACCTGGGAGGTGGAGGTTGCAGTGAGCCAAGATTGCAGCAGCCTGGGTGAAAAAGTAAAACTCTGTCTCAAAAAAAAAAAAAAGAAAAAGAAAAAAAGGAATTCTCCTAAGCCTGTGAGTGAAAGCCTGGAATGTCTTGCTCTTTTGGCAAAATGTTTTCCTGATTTTTGACCTCTAATCCAGCCATTGACTACACCTTCTCCTGAGATTGTATGTGACTCAAATTCTTTCTGCCTCTCATTTATCTTCTGGAATTTCTGGCTACCTTGCCTGCCCACTGTTTAAGCTTCTAGACATTGATGTTTCCATTACCTGATGTAAGCTTGGGACACCTGGTTGGACCAGCTAGAGATGACAGCTAGCTGGTTTGTTCCAGCCTGTGTTCTGTATCATAAGGGCTTCTTCTCTTGCTTTGGTTTTGTTTCTCTTTTTTTGCTGTTGGTGTTGTTGGTACGAGCATAAGACTACTACTCTTGTAAAAGAAGAGCTATAATAAAGGGGAAACATTGAACCCCAGAGAGATCAACCCACCAAGAGATGACTTTCACATCACTTGCAATATCCATCTTATTTATTGGCTCCAATAATAGCCTTCTCACTACCTTACAGGCTCAAAATGGTAAGAGATCTCCTCCTTTGATGCAAAAAGGGTTCTGTTCCTGGACTGAGTTCAGACGGTGAGTTTAAGCTCCCTCTGTCAAGGTCATATAACTTGTGTTAGAATAACTAACTTGTGTCCATCTCATAAACTGATTAAAATTTTCAATATGTTTAATGAGGGAGAGCTACCACTGTACCTGCGAAACATATGTTTTGTCATATGTTTTTCCCTTTATCTGAGACAGCCAACAATTTTGATCACTTTCAATTATATTTTGTGTGCTAGCTCAGACAATCACGGGGGGCTACAAACAATTCAGGCATAGAGTGCATATGTCTGTGAAATGCTTATTTTGATCTCACTGGATGCTCTCATTTCCTGTCTTAAGTCAAATGATTCTATGCCACGGAGGTCCAATTTGAATATTGAGAACATATTTCAGAAAAATAAAGGACAGTATTTCTACCAGATCATTGGCCAGTATATACTGCCATACAAAGAGTGTTTTTTAAAAAAATATTTATTTATTCATTTATTTTTGAAACAGAACCTTGCTCTGTTCCCAAGGCTGGAATATACTGTTGTCATCTCAGTTCACTGCAGCTTTGACTTCCCAGGCTCAAGTTATCCTACCACCTCAGACTCTTCATTAGCTGGGACTACAGGGCACCACACCCAGCTAATTTTTTAAATTATTATTTATAGCAGAGATGGGGGTCTCACTATGTTGCCTAGGCTGGTCTGGAACTCCTGAACTCAAACAGTTCTCCTACCTCGGCCTCTCAAAGTATTGGGATTTCAGAGATGAGACATTGCACCCAGCCAGAGATTGTTGTTTATAAATATAAAGGAAGAAGCATTTCTGAGAGAATGTTTAATGAAAACTCATTTTTTGACTTTCTAAGGATGGTCAAATCTCCATAAGCAATGTGGTACACATCTGCAGGTGTCTGATTGTTGATATTATTGATTATAGAAAAAGTATCAATTTTGTTTATCTCAATAGCTTTTGGGGGAACAGGTCATGATCAGTAACATGAATAAGTTCTTTAGTGGTGATTTCTGAGATTTTGGTGTACCTGTCACCAAGCAGTGTACACTATACCCAATGTTTAGTCTTTTATCCCTCACCCCCCTCCCACCCATACATCTTACTCCCCAAAGTCAATTGCATCATTCTTGTGCTTTTGCATCCTCATAGCTTAGCTCCCACTTATAAGTGAGAATATATGATGTTTGGGTTTCCTTTCCAGAGTTACTTCATTGAGAATAAAGGTCTCCAATTCCATCCAGATAGCTGAAAATGCTATTATTTCATTCCTTTTTATCACTGAGTAGTATTTTATGGTATCTTTCTATCTATCTATCTATCTATCTATCTATCTATCTATCTATCTTCACAGTTTCTTTATCCACTTGTTGATTAATGGGCATGTTCCATATTTTTGCAGTTGTGTATTTTGCTACTATAAACATGGGTGGGTAAGGATCTGGAAAAAAAATTAATTCATTGTAGTAGAAAGAAACACAGCATAATTCACCATATTAACCTTTTTTTAAGTATACAGTTTAGTAGTGTTCAGTAAATTTACACTGCTGTTCAACAGATCTCCAGAATATTTTCATCTTGCAGAACTAAAACTCTGTATCTATTAAACACAGCTCCTCTCAGTCCTCTGTATCTATTAAACACAACTCCCCTGGGTCTTCTTCCCATGTGGCCTGATAAACACCATTCTGTTTTCTGTATCTATGACTACTATTTGTTTCTTTCTATACACACATGATTTTAAGGTCCTTTCATGTTACTATGGGGATTTTTCATGATTTGCAACTTCTCTCAGTTCTTTACACATAAGGTAAAATCAATATTAACTACTTAATGTACTGTTGCTACAAAATTATGCTCTGGGACACATTAAATAATATATTTGAAAGTACTCTGGATACCAGAAAGTTACTTAGAAATATAACTAGACATTAATTCTATAGAGAAAATGAAATAAGTTTTGTCTGTCCCAAATGTGTCAAATTGATTAGAAATAGCAACAGATTAGTAGTAGAGCCTTGCAAATTTATAACTGATTCTTACTTAAGGTATTTATACTTCTGCTTTGTCCCATACGGATGTCATTAAATGACAACATACAGATTTTCTGTTGCATAAATATACTCTTGATTCTTCAGAGTTTATGACACTGTAAAAAATACTTTTTTTACAAAAAGATATCTGTATACACACACGTATATACATATATATACACACATACATAGATACACACATACATAGATACACATATACACAATACTTATATATGTATATATACACACATACATATATACATATATATACATATATAATATACATATATACGTATATATACATACACATACACACGTATACATATAGGTGTATGTATATCACAATGTATATAGGTATACGTGTGTATGTATATCAGCAACAACATAAGAGAAATGCCCTTTTAATATGGTTGCAAATGCTGCTATGTCAAAAAATATTTAAATATTTTCAAGTTGAAAAATAGAGTTCAAATCTTTGGGAGAATAGTCACCAGATTCTATCATGCTGTAAAATGGGTTATTGATACAGTTCCATATGATGCCTATATCATGAATCTATTTCTCTCTGTCTCTTCTCTTTTGCTCTTTTAATAATCTTAACATGAAATAACTTACAAAAAGATGCAGTCCTATGCATTCCTGTCATCTTCCTGTGTATGCTTCCATAATGTTCTTCTAAATTATTTTTCTAACAGTTTTGTGCTAAAATCTGCTACAGAGATGAGCGAGGGATGCTGGCCACCCATGGAGAAAAATGAGACCTGTGTTCCAGGCTGTCAGCAGACTCCTGGAGGTTTTGCCCATGGCTGTAGTTCAACCTGTGTTCCACAAACATTTGCAATTGTCTGCACTGCTTTGGAGACATGGGCCAAATGGGTTTCCCTCCTGAATAACCAGCTTTCATCTATTTATATACTAGACATCCACAGCATTTCACTTGCAAAGGGTTCTACTGCTAAAAATAGGTAAGTAAATAAATAAATAAACCTTCTCCTGTATAATATGTGAACTTTACATAAAATATAATACAGATTAGCAATGCAAAGCATCCCTTGCACTTTTTGTGGCCATTTAATGAACACACATCAATTCAAGGTACCTCGTTTTATCACCCTTGGAGAGGGTGAACATCCCTGACTATGGTAATCTCAATTTATTCTGCCAACAAATATGGATTGATGAACTTCGTATTAGAAATGGAGCAGCATTTAACCACACAGAGGCCCCTGCCCTTATGTTCACCCATTACCTCATTTCTCTGCTATAGTCCAAGTAAGATTCTAATTCCTTTCCATTAAAATCAAAACCTCTTCCTAGTATTTGTGATACATCACAAGCAACTTATTTATTAAGAGTTGCCATCATTTATTATTTTTTTTTTACTAAATTTATACAATGAACTTGTCTTTTTATGCTCCTAATTAAAAAGAGAGAAGGCCAGGCTTGTAATCCCAACATTTTGGGAAGCCAAGATGGAAGAGTCACTTGAGCCCAGGAGTTCAAGACTAGCCTGGGCAACATGGTGAAACCACATATGTACAAAAAATAAAAATTAAAAAATTAGCCAGTCATAGTGGTGCACACCTGTAGTCCCAGCTGCTCCAGAGGCTGAGGTGGAAAATTGTTTGAGCCTGGGAGGCACTGGTGGAAGTGAGCTGTGATCATGTCACTGAACTCTAGCCTGGGTGACAGAGCGAGACCCTATCTCAAATAAATAAATAAATAAAAAGAGAGAAAGAAGAATGAAATAACAATATAGGATCAGTAAATGCCTGAGGCCAGGCATTTTTAAAAATATGTTTTTATATCTTCAGTGCTTAGTGCAATATCTGGCATATTTAAGATATGTAACACAGATGCTTCTTCACTTACAATGGAGTTACATCCTAACAAACCCATCATAAGTTGAACATGCCGTAAGTCAAAAATGTCATAAGTTAAAAATGCATTGAATACAGCTAATGTACCAAGCATCATAGCCCATCTGGCCTACTTTTAATGTGCTGAGAAGACTCAGATTACCCTGTAGATGAGCAAAATCACATAACAAAAGCTTATTTTATAATAAAGTGTTGCATACCTCTCGTAATTTATTTGACATTACACTGTAAGTGTAAAAAATACTGTGTTGGTACTCAAACTATGGTTTTTACTGAATGCATATTTCATTTTCACCATCATAAGTCTAAAATTGTAAGTCAAACTATCACAAACTGAGGACCATCTGTGTCTGCATGTGAATGATAAATATTTAGACAGCTAAATGGTATATGAATTGGAAGATATTCCAAAATTTTATACATTTACAAAAATGTATGCAATATTATAGCAGATCTATCCAACCTGTTTCAGCAGAACTTCCATTCTTTTTGAGGTGAAAAATTAAATATTTTGGAACAGGTCACTAAAATGCATTAGAAGATCCTTTTGCAATGGGCTGTCCAACTTGAGTTTCTCATTTGTTGGATCACTTATCTCCTGAATATCACAGATACTATATTTTTATTAACATTTTTGTAGAGATGTATCAATTAATGCATTACTTAGCTTAAGTCACTAAAGTGAATGACTTAACGCTTGATCATTCTTCTCTGGGATGAGCAGTCAATTTAGCATTTGATCATGGGTTTTCACAGTTACCTCCGCCACTTTTAAAACCACTTTATACTTCAGAGCTATCTCCTCCCTCACTGTTGCCTAGTGCCAAGGATGCAGGATTTCAATCTAAGTTACTACAAAGTGAGAAGTGATTCTGATTGACCAGAAAATGTTTATACACAACCCCATCCTGGGAAACAATTAGACATCTTTGAGCTTAATCAGTTCATCATTCTTCCAAGTTATGGTTTTAGACTTTTCTCTAAACTCCAAAAATAAAATTACAAATGATATTTAATTAGACATTGTATTAGTCTGTTGTCATGCTGCCAATAAAGACATACCCAAGACTGGCTAATTTATAAATGAAAGTGATTTAATTTACACAGTTCCACATGGCTGGGGAAGCCTCACAACCATGGCAGAAGAGCAAGGTACATCTTACATGCTGGCAGGAAAGAGAGTGCTTGTTCAGGGGAACTCCTCTTTTTATAAAACCATCAGATCTTGTGAAACTTACTATCACAAGAACAACACAGGAAAGACCCACCTCCATGATTCAATTGCCTCCCACCAGTACCCACCCATGACATGTGGGAATTGTGAGAGGCAAAACTGACAACTTATCATCTAATGTGATAGGTAAAAGCCATTCAATTCTTTTAACCAGTAACCAATAACCTCAGCTCAATTATTTTAACCAATAACCTTGAATATTTATTTTCTTATTTTGTACTAAAAAATACATGCACTACAATAATCCAAGCACATTCACCAACACAGGATGATACCACAGCTTAAATGACAAGCAACAGAGACTTCTCATAATCATACTAAAATTGCTATTGGGACTTCCTCCCAGCCACATTTATTTTGTCTTTACAGAGAAGCTCAATAAAATGGAGGCTGCAAACTGAACCCTAAAGTAGCACTGGTCTCTCACATCAGGGCTTTTCCTAATTAACAACATTACACAAAGGATGTTTCAAATTGCAGCAGCACATCCAAAATTAAATGTTAACTTGTCAGTGAAGATGGCTTAGGCATCTCAACAAAGTACAGTGCATATAAAAGAAGTGCCCTCTGTTCACCCAGAGCCCCTCAAGCAAAGGACTGTGTCCATCAAAGTCACTCTTCAAACTGCATTTGAGAAAAGCAACAGCAGAGCATGCAGAGATTGTCATGTGCCACATGCTGCCTGTCTATATCTCTCTTCTTCAGAAATGGGCAGAGCCTGGTGGGAGTTGGGGTCTAGAACACTGAGCTCTGTGAACATTCTCTGTGAGGGAGAAGCCCCAATCCCAAAAGCCAACAAGAAGCAGAAAAATCACAGCTTCCATTTAAGTGGCCAAATGCACAGACAAGTCCAAGGGTTGTACACACCATGAAAATAAAAATGGCCCATGTGTTTGTGTTAGTTGTGCAGTATTGAGCATTTCTTCACTGAAAGAGTCATTTTTTACACCATTGCCTCATCTACATTTTGTTTGCTTGCACATGAAATTCATTGCTTTTTACCTGTTTACCAGATTCTGAGACTTCCATCTTTGTAGTTAGCACTTCCTCCATTTTTATTCTCTGATAACTAATACTCATTCTGCAAGATTCACTTAAACATGACCTTCTCAGGTAAGCCTTTTATAAAATTCTGTCCTCCAGAGTCAGTAAAATGGCCTTCCCAAATCATGATTTTGTAGCTCGCTATTTTACTTGCATTATAGGTATTATATACCTTACAACTGTATTATCATTGGGTTGTGTCTTGTGTCCTGACAGTTACACAATAGGTTAATATGTGTCTTCTTCTTTTCACTCACATCTTATTTCTTGGCATTTGTGTTTCACAGGATTGTTTTGTACAATGGGACCTGAGAATACAACTACTTAGAGATTATCCTGGGTTAAGCGGGGTCCCCTTGAAAGTTTACATGTTGAAGTCCTAAGCCTAGTCCTTGAGAATGTGACCGCATTTGTAAACAGGGTGACTGTAGATGGAATTAGTTAAAATGAGGTCGTATAGGAGTAGAATGGGCCACTATATTCCAATATGACTGGCATTCTTATAGAAGACAGAAATTTAGTCACAGACATGCACACAAGAATATCATGTGAAGATGAATGCAAAGATCAGAATGATACATTTACTAGTCAACAGACACTAAAGACTTCCAGCTAACTATCAAAATCTAAGGGAGAGGCATGGAATAGATGTGTCTCTAATAGCCTTGAGAAAGAATCAACCCTGCAGATACCTTGACCTCAAATTTCTCCAGAACAGTGACGGAAGAAATTTCTATTGACCAAGTGACCTAGTTTGCAGTTTGTAATACTTTGTTTCAGCAGCACCATGGAGGTAATACAGACGCTTAGTTATATTGGAAAATCGAGTCAAGGAGAATGTCCATGTCATACTCCTTATCTTTGAAATAAAATTATTACATTCTTTATTTTTTCTTTTTGTGATTTTGCTGGTTTAAAATCAGAAGAGCAAAGAATCCATTAGGGTCTAAAACTGGGAAGCCAAGCACAGGTCTTTAGTCTGTCTCTTGCTCCAAAGTGTGAGGAAGTTCTCTAACCAAGTAGGAGATGACAGGAGGTTAAATGGCCATGCCAAGTCATGATTTGGGATGAATCACTGAAAAGGAATAACATCTGATATGGTTCCCCAGACTGGTGATTCAAGAAACATATACGATTCCACCCACACCTCACTTTAAAAGAGGTCACACAGTTTTCTTCAGAATTTTCAGCTTTTAATGCTTTACCTAAGAACAAATCTATTGACAACAGATCCTGAACTACATGGTGTTAGATTTGAAGGAAAACTTTTTCTCACTTTCTCATTTTCAAGATTCAAGAAATAACAATAAAAGAATGGAGGAAGTTAAATCTACTAGGATTATCATTGAAGAGCAAAATCCCAGCTTTCGAGAAGCAGTTTCCAAAGATTTAATGAAGATTTCATTGGCTGTGGTTAGATCTTTCAATATGGTAGGAAGGAAATACCAAAAAAAAGTGTTTTGTAGATGTTTAAGTTAACTTTCAACATTTTGGTTCTTTTTTTTTTGACAACAGAATCTTGTTGTTTGGCAACAACAGTCTTGCTCTGTTGCCCAGGCTGGAGTACAGTGGTGTGATGATCACAGCTCATTACAGACTCAAACTCCTAGTTTCAAGCAGTATTCCCACTCAGCCTCCAAGTAGCTGGAAACACAGCTGTGCACCACTATGCCAGCTAATTTTTTTATTTTTTTGCAGACATAGGGTCTTGCTGTGTTACCCAGACTGTTCTTGAACTCCTGGATTCAAGAAATTCTCCCATCTCAGCCTCCTAATATGCTGGTATTACAGGAGCACACCACTGCACCCAGCCTAAAACTTTATTAATCATGGACTCAACAAACATCCATATGTTGATTTTAGAGATCACAGCAAACATCATTTTAGGAATTCAAACGTTGAACATCCACAAATACACTGGCTGATTGACTGTCTGAGTTAGCCCAGGAACACCCAATCTGGACATGTCCACCATGGGCTTGCTTATCCCACAATGGCTAAGGCGACCTCCTTTTGTACTGTAGCATTGCTCTGTGTTGCAGTTCTCCATGAGATGCAGAGACAGGCACTTCCTGGTTTCACTAGGAATATCTCTTTCTTCCAAAGCCCAGCTAAGTACAGGAGAATCCCTTTCTCTTGCAGCAACTATGTTTCTTTCCAAACTTCAAATCTGTCCTGGAACTTTATCAGTAAACCAAAAGCTTCCATTGGTGCAGGTCTTGGGCATCTTCATCTTGGGGTCATGAGCTTCTTATCTGATCCTTATACAACTGGTTGCCTCAAAACATGTGACGTGGCAACATAGTTTTTTGTTATTGTAGTAAAATCCACATAACATAAAAGTCACTCTTTAAAGTCTGCAACTCAGTGGGATTTAGTACATTCACAATGGCATGCAACTATCACCTGTATCTAGTGCAAGAATATTTTCATTGCTCCAAAAGAGACCTCTGAAGCAGTCACTTCTCATTTCCCCTCTCCAGCTCTTGGCAATTGCTAACCTACTCTCTGTCACTATGTGTTTGCCTATTCTGGATATTTTATATAGATAAAATCATGTATGTGTGTTTTGATATGACACTTGTGAAGTACCAAGGAAATAAAGCCACCATGCCTAGGACTGCATTCCACAGTGAAATCGATGGATGATACAGTTTCTACTATTGTGGATAGAAATAAAAGAAATGCCATGGGATAGATGAAAATTGCCTGTGTTTTGAGATTTATATCCATTAACTGATTATACATCATCAGTCACCTGTCCAGTTAAATTTTTGTCAGTCTAAATAATCCAAATACTATCATTGTCTGTACTATCTGACAATTATTAATGTCCCAGTGTCAGTGCAGGAAAACTGACTTATCCAACTCTTCCTTTGCTTTCCAGTTCTCACTTTGCTAGATGTCTCTGTCATTTCTTTTTCCTATTGATCTGCAATTCTCTCACAGATCAAGATCTTCTTTCTTTGGTTTGCTTTAAATCATAAACGCTGAAAAAAGGACATCATCTCTAAAGAAAGTAATTTGTTGGAAGGGAAGTTGTATTATGTCTTGTCACACCAGTAACATTCTGTTGCTCACTGACCTGATCTTCCAAGTGTCTCAAGTTCTGCTTGTACTTGACAGGCTTGAAAAGTGGGAATAAACAGCACTGATGATGTTGAAAATACAAACTACACAAAATAAATATTATTTAAATGGACAACAACCACACTGGCACTATTTTGCAAATGTAAACCTTTCTTTAGAAACTGATTGTATAGAATGTTATATTTTATGTATGGGGGGCGGGGTGGGGGGAATAACATCGAATCAAGCTTATCTGTCTTTTATTTCTATTTCACCAAGCACACCAAGAGAGACAAGTAAAAAGGCTAAAAGAAGAAAAATTATCAAATTGAGCATTTGCTAAGCACTAATCTGTTAAACTAAAATAAGCAAGCTCAGTTGAGTTAAAATTCATTAACTGAGTTTGTTGTCTCATGTGTAATGGTTACTTTAAAATTCTTTTAATGTTTTTATGGTATTCTTCCTTTCCAAGTTTACAAAATATCAGCTGCAAGGGTAAAAAGTATTCAAAATTTTAAAATAAAGCAATGAGTGGATAGAATTTGTTGTTTACACAGATTGTCCAAGTGCCAGGTTGTATTTACAGAGGAAACTGAAGTTATATTTACAAGTGAACTAATTATTTCTTAGCCACTAAAGGTTCTTAAAGTAATGATTCTCATACCATTTTCATAGATTGCCTCCAATACTTTCTGCTATATAGGTGAGAAGACAGATACCTTTAACTCCCTTTTAAACAATAAATGAACTGAGTTTCCATATGAGAGGATTTGCCAAAAGTCCTGAGTTATAAATACTGGATCTAAATATGTATGTCAGGAGAGGCTTCCTGCTATAGGAACAACCCCCAAATCCCAGTGGCTTCATTCAACAAAAGTTCATTTCTTGCTAAGATTGAAGTCCACCATAGGTTTTCTCCCATGGTGGGGAGAGATAGGTGTCCTGTCCACTTTCTCCTTCAAAGACAGGGCTGAAAAGAGCTTTGCCTGTTCAAAGCACATTGAGATCAGCCTGGCTGTCAACATTTAGCTGCCAAACAAGACAGTACAGAGAGCTAAGTTTGGAGAAGTCTAGGTATACATAATAGGTATGTGCCATATATCACTCTTGCCTCAATTCCACTGAAGAGAACTAGGAATAGTCCCTAAAAGCAAGCCATAGGACTCATTGATCATGTCTCCAATTACACCCTCAGTTTTCACCATCCTATTGATTATCTCAGCTCAATTTCTCTCTCTCCATATTGTAGCCCCACACTCACGGTGGTATTAGTATTTCCTAGGTAGTATTAGGAAATATTAGTATTTCCTTGAGATACAGCCTAAATATTAGCATTTCTTTGAGATACAGATGCACATCTATGAGGACTTCTTTGTATTCCGAAACTGCTGTTTATATAATCGTAAGTGAGAGAGAAGAAGCAGGAGATACAAGAGAAAATGTTTTTAATAAAGATCGTTTTACAAATTGAGCAGTAAAATGCCTTTGAGTGCTGTAAATATCTGTGTGTGCCTATAGCAATAAAACAAGGCACTCAAATGATAGTGTTGGCCCTGAAAAAAAAAGAAGCAGCTAGGATACTGGGAACCTGGAGGCTAAACGATGTGGAATTGAAAGTTTATACCTTCAGGGTGCTGTAACCTCAGTCCTGGGGGTTCCCTGTGCCTCCACTCTAGGCCTCTGCTCACCCTACTGATAGCCACAGGAGGCAGCCAAATGGCTAGGCAGATAGGCCTGGGTCCCTGGTGAAACCTGATCTTCAAGCCAAAAACAGCCTGAAGGCTGAAAGACCATACTGCTGGTCCTGGATTAAACCCATGACCCAGGGTGAGATCTTCTGTTCCTATTTGTCCTCCTTTCCCTAATTGATTTCTTTCTGAATAATGCCTTTTAACCAATTGAATGTTGCCTTTTGCAATACTACCTACAGCCTGCCCCTCCCCTATTCTGAGCCCATAAAAAGCCCAGACCCAGCCACAAAGGGAGGAGAGCACCACTTGACTCCTGGTGCAGGAGACCACTCCTTGTGTCCCCTGTCCACTGAGATCTGATCTGTCACTCAATAAAATTATTCTCCACCCTCCTAATCCTTTAATATCCAGCGTATCCTCATTCTCCTTGGCTGTGGTACAGGAGCTAAGGAGCCACAAAGGCAACTACAAGCTATAACACAGGTGAGCTGGACCATGCACTTCCCAGCCATGGGCTGAGCCAGTGCACAAGCCAGACTCTGCTTGAGGGGACAATTGAGTGGCTATCTCCTACAGCAGCTTAGTGTGGCCAAGCAAGGCCTGGTGGGGTGTTGCCGACTAGAGATCCCTGGCTTGCAAAATGACCAAGAAGAAAAATCCTGTATCACTAAATCCTTGGATGCTACTGAGATTCTACTGAACGCTGAGATGTTTAAGATGTTTAATAAAAAAAAAAATTTCTTAAAAGAAAAAAATTGCCTTTATATATACCATGTTAAATACAAACAGCAACTAAATAGAACTTAATAACAGAAAGATCTAATTACAATACTAACAAAAAATGAAAATAGCAGTTATTTAATATTCCTCTAATATCAGCAGCATATTAAATAATTGCTATTTTCATTTTTTGTTAGTATTGTAAGAGACAGCATCTCACTCTGTCACCCAGGCTGGAGTGCAGTGATATGATCATAGATCACTGCAGCCTCAAACTTGTGGGCTCAAGCAATCCTCCCACTTCAGCCTCCCTAATAACTTGTATTAAACGTCTGAACCACCACACCCAGCTAATTAAAAATAAATTTTGTTTTAGCGACAGAATTTTGCTCGCAGTTTGCAGAGATTAAAGAAATGAGCTGCTATGCCTGGACAATTTTTTACTTTTAGAGACAATGTTCTCAATATTTTGCCCAGGCTGGTCTCAAACTCCTGACCTCAAGCATTCCTCCTGCTTCAGCCTCCTGAGTAACTGGTATTAAAGGCCTGCACCACCACATCCAGCTAATTAAAAAGAAATTTTGTTTTAGAGACAGAATTTTGCTATGTTTCCCCAGCTCGTCTCAAACTCCCAGGCTTAAATGATCCTCCTGCCTCTGGAGAGGTAAAATATGTTTGTGCATAATAAAATACTAATTTGTAGTTAGAAATTTTATTGATTAGTTTCACTATGATTGAAAGAAATTTTTTCCAATAGTTATAACGTTTTCATTTATGCAATACATATGTGTATAATTATCCATTTTTCATCTGCTTTCCAATTTTCTACTCTTATGTTTCTTGTGTCAAATAATTGCTTTGACTACACCTTCTGTAACACTATTCATGGTGTGGTGGGGAACATCTTTCAAAAAGTGTGATGTTGCAAGAATTTCCATGTTTTTACTAATAAATAAATTTCTTTCTCATTTCTATTTCTACAAACATGCACATAGAACATTAAAATATGTTTTTCCAATGTGTTTTCTATTTGAAAATAACAAATTGATAAGTGTCTTTTCAGGTTCTATGATGATGTTTATAATTTTTTCTCTATGAATTCTTATCTTTAAAATGAAATCAATATATTTCCGTTTTATAATAAATTTTTTTTATTTCTAGTGTGAACCCCATGTAATAAGCATGCATTAAAAAATGTATTGCTATATTATACTTTCATATGTTCCACTTAGACTTAGTCACATTGGTAAGGTGAGTTGCTTTATAGCTTTCTTTTGAAAACATTCTTAAATATTCGTGCCTGGAATTATATAAAAATCAATAAGTTTTTCTCCTTTTCCTGCATTTTAGAATGATTTTTAAAAACATTGAAATGATCTGTCTTTTGAGGTTCGAATAGAATTTCACCCTTAATCCATTGGTCTTTGGGGGTATTAGGGATCACTCCCTGATAATTTCTTATCTTTCTTAGAAATAATTATACTCAGTTTTCAAAATCTCCTTGGAATCAGATTAGTAATTCATATTTTTATAGATAACTATTTTGTGGAACACAATCCCATAATGCACCCCTCCCATCTGTGTAAATTTCATTGAATTTCTGCATCCATTTTGAGTGAGTGGTAGAGTTACTCAAAAGTTCTTTCAATGATGAGGTTTTCAGTTCTGTTCTTGGATCTCTTTGGTTTGTTTGTATTCAGGGAAGAGATCCATTAGAGATGACTGTGCTCATTCATAAACCACCCATTCAGTCTTTTCTAAAATCTCACTATCTTTTCCTCTTCAGTATTCACAGTCCTTGATTCTTCTACCATAGTGACTATGAGACATGTGTAAATAATCTTAGAGGAAGATTCCATAATGGTGCCAGACATTTGTCCCTCTGCACTTTCTAAATATCAGCATTCTCCAAGCTTCCAGATTGGACACACTTCCTTATTTATTCCAAATGCTTCTCTGCAACAATCTTAATCAAAGCACTTGAGATTTACATAGACTTACATACTACCACATTCATACATTTCTATCCTAAGGTTGTTCTTGTTTTTGTTCCTTAAATTTACTTATACCTCTCACTTAAAACATGACAAAACATACTTTTACATCTCTTTCATGCTATGTTTGTTTTTCTGTAGTCTTATGCTATGATAATTATACAACTTGCTTGGGGGCTCACATTAAGAAAATTATATGCTGGTTTTGTTTTATTTCTTTATGTCATGACTAGGGAGAAAAATCAAAGAAGTTTATAAGCACAGTATGTCTGGGTGAACAAAGCTTTGTGAATTCAGTAGTATGTCTGTGGAATGCATGAAAGCTGAGAACCATGTGGTAGTATACTTAGAATGCCTTAGGGCTTAACATAGATACACTCCCCAGAGGTGTGGTTTTATGAATAAATCTTATTGTCCAGGCAGATTTCAAGTTTATCAGGGTGCAGTGCAAGCCTCTGTGTTGCATGTTTTCTCAAAGATTAAGTTTCAAGGAAACTGCCATTTAAAAGTTTGAATGAAGATAGACACACATACACACACACATACACACACACACACACACATGATTTAATCCCTGAACAACTCTAGGGTTAGGAGTGCCACCTTTCTGTGCAGTTGAAAATGTATATATACCTTTTACTCTTCAAAAACTTAAGTACTAATAGTCTACTGTTGAATGAACTTCTTACTGATAACATCAACAGTCAATTAACACATATTTTATATGTTGGACATATCATACTGTATTCTTAACAATAAAGTAAGCTAGAGAAAAGAAAATGTTATTAAGAAAATGTAAGGAAGATAATATATCTACTATTCATTAAGTGGAAGTTAATCATTTTTAAGGTCTTCATCCTGGTCAACTTCACCTTCAGTAGGCTGAAGAGAAGAAAGAGGAGGGGTTTGTCTTGCTGTTTCAGAGGTGGCAAAGGAGGAAGGAAATCCTCATGAAAGTGGATCCATGAAGTTTAAACCTATGTTGTTCAAGGGCCAATTATGTATGTATAGAGAGAGAGAGAAAGAAAGAGGGAGAGAAAGAGGGAGACAGACAGATATACAGAGATAGATAGATGATAGATAGATAGATAGATAGATAGATAGATAGATAGATAGATATAGATAGATGATAGGTAGATAGGATGGGTGGGTGGATGGATGATGTATGTATGTATGTATGGATGGATAGATATGATTGATTGATGGATGTATAGATAGGTGAAAGAAAGAAAGGAAGAGAGAGATAGGCAACCTCAAGTCTTGAAATCATTTTAAAAGTGACCAGGAAGATCATATATCTTCTAGGATTAAAGAAGGAATATGATTTGTAAGTAATGTCTTGCAACTAAAAAGTTTAGATCACAAATTAGAACCTTGCCTTTGAGCCAAAACTAATAGGATAGAATTTAAATGTGATAAACATGGCATGCTTGTGTAATACTAACATGCAATATGTTGAAGGTTAATCTGGTTGTCCTTCAAATTAAAACGGGTCAGGACTTGACATCATGAATATGAATATCACAGATGTCATGCTAGGTGCAGAAAAGGTGACTTTTGAACATTTCAAGTGGTCTTTGCCCTGGGTATTTCTTCCTCCTTTCTGTCTTTTTTGCATTCACATCAATTTTCTAAGTGTTCCCTGATTTCTTTTTGAATATTACCACATCTCTATTGCATGTAGTCCAGGGTGATAATAATCCCAATTTTTTTTGTCCCCCAGCCTAGGGTGAGCACATGCATATGACATCTTGGGGACATAACCCCTTCCACAAATTTAAATTTTGTTTAGAGGAGTGGAAGCCTTGGAGAGTATTGATCCTCTATACCATGATTGTTTTTATTATTTACTATTTTTATTTTTAGAGATGAGGTCTCACTACGTTACCCAGGCTGGACTCAAACTTCTGAGCACAAGCAATTCTCCTGCCTCCCAAAATGCTGGGACTACAGGTGTGAGCCACCACATCCAGTCTCTCCAAGACATTCTAGCAGCTGAATCTTGCCTGACTAGACTCTTCCACATGGAGGCTTTCATTGTAGTTTCTGCTTTCTTACTCTTGAGTGACCATCCCCAAGCCCAATTTTGAAGCCTCCTACTAATCCTCAGACAGTCAGAAGTCCTTCCAAAAATGCACTCTTGCTTTTCTTACTAAACCAAAGCTCTTTCCTCCAACCAAAGAAGCTCCACTCTTATGAAAATCACAGTTCATGTAGACAACAATGTCCACAGGTTGAAGTTCTCTCTTAATACTGGAGGGAGTTTCATTTATTTGTCATTCTCTATGAATTTTGAGTGTTTATTCCACCTTAGGCATTACTCTGGCAGCTCTGGATACTATAAAACAACAGTCCCCAACCTTTTTGGCACCAGGGACCAGTATTAATGAAGACAATTTTTACATGGACCAGGGGTTTGGGGAATGGTTTCAGGATGATTCAAGCACATTACATGGATTGTGCACTGTATTTCTATTATCATTACATTGCAATATGTAATTAAATAATTATACAAGTCACCATAATGTAGAATCAGTGAGAACCCTGAGCTTGTTTTCCTGCAACTAGATATGCCCATCTAGGGGTAATGAGAGAATGACAGATCATCAGGCACTAGATTCTCATAAGGAGCACAGAATCTGGATCCCTCTCATGCACAGTTCACAACAGGGTTCACATTCCTATGAGAATCTAATGCTGC
Source organism: Homo sapiens (assembly GCF_000001405.40). Lineage (NCBI taxonomy): Eukaryota > Metazoa > Chordata > Mammalia > Primates > Hominidae > Homo > Homo sapiens. The sequence continues at coordinate 17,262,031 of NC_000024.10, forward strand.
TGCTGATCTGACAAGAGGCAGCGCTCTGGTAGTAATGCAAGTGATGGAGTATGACTGTGAATACAGATGAAGCTTCACTCATTTGCCTGCTGCTCACTTCCTGCTATATGGCCTGGTTCCTAAGAGGCCACAGACCCACTGGGACCTATGGAATAAAAGATACAGCAGATAAACACAGCTGCCTTCAAGGAAAAAGTGATCTTACATGCGGAAACAAGTCATCTTATTCATTTAAATTTTGATAACTTCAAGGAATAAAAACTAATTTTAAAGAAGTATCAGCTAAATCCCCTCTAAACTTCAATATTCTACTACAATGGGCACATGAAGCTACAATTATCCCCAGTGTCTGGGGTTGTGGGGGGAATTTGTTCCAGGAACCCTGTGGATACAGAAGTCCATGTGTGGGGGCAGGCCAAGGCCCTTGGATCCCTAAAAGTTTGCTGAAAATCATGGATGTGAGACAGATTAATAGGATAAAAGGCATAAAAATGTATTTGAGTATATGTGGGATTCTTCAGAGTGAAGACCCAAAGATACAGAGGAATTGTCCATTTTTATGCCTTGATTCAACAAAGTATGGACAGCTATGTAGAAATAGGATTGGACAAAAAGGGCCTGATCTAATTCTGGAAACATTAAAGAATTTTTAAAAATGCCAAATTTGCAGTGTTCCCTACCTTCCATCATCTCCATGGGAAAAATTACTTAAATAAGAAAAAAGATTATTTTTCAGCAGGATACTTTTGTTGCCAATCACAGAGATTCCCTGAGAATAATCTGGTTGTCTCTCAAATTAAAAAGTGTCAGGACTTGACCTCATTGCCACAATTAATCACAGCTGATTTTAATGTAATAAATTAGAAATAGGAACACTACAGTGTTTGTTAATGAAACAAAGTGACAATAGAAAGAACATACCAGAAGTAGTTCTTAAAAGTCCTTCTATGCTCTTCCTAGCTGTAGGGTCATTTTATAGCTGTGTACTTTTTAGCACTTTTTGTGTGTGTTTTAGAAACAATTTTATTTACTTCAAGTAAGTTCCATATATTCCACAGTCATTTTTTCTCAGAATTTTATACTTTGATAGTCATAATGCCATAATTTCTTTTTACCAAATTAATTTCAAACGAAATAGTCTTTTTCCTTATGACAAGATTTCAAAATTGATTTTTACCTGAGTATTTCAGTAAATCCACTTAAGGTCCTTAAGTAGTTTCAAGTAGGTTATGTGGGATGTTCAAACAGACAATAATGTTACCTACAATCATGGTTTATTTTTACTATCTCTTGCCAATAATTTTAATTATTGGCCACATTACCACATTAGGTAGCTCTTGTAGAATAAAATTGATGCAAATTGGGTATTCTTGATTAAATTATCGCTACTCACAAATACAGAAGAATAAGTCAACTATATTATTTGTATGTTATATTAGATAGTAGTTTCACATATATATATGTAAAATATAAAGAATTATCATATTCCTGTTTTGCTAAGATACAACAGGTATTCTGCACAGCAAAAGAAACTGCCATCAGAGTGAACAGGCAACCTACAAAATGGGAGAAAATTTTCGCAACCTATTCATCTGACAAAGGGCTAATATCCAGAATCTACAATGAACTCAAACAAATTTACAAGAAAAAAACAAAAACCCCATCAAAATGTGGGCGAAGGACATGAACAGACACTTCTCAAAAGAAGACATTTATGCAGCCAAAAAACACATGAAAAAATTCTCACGATCACTGGCCATCAGAGAAATGCAAATCAAAACCACAATGAGATAACCATCTCACACCAGTTAGAATGGCAATCATTAAAAAGTCAGGAAACAACAGGTGCTGGAGAGGATGTGGAGAAATAGGAACACTTTTACACTGTTGGTGGGACTGTAAACTAGTTCAACCATTGTGGAAGTCAGTGTGGCGATTCCTCAGGGATCTAGAACTAGAAATACCATTTGACCCAGCCATCCCATTACTGGGTATATACCCAAAGGACTATAAATCATGCTGCTATAAAGACACATGCACACATATGTTTATTGAGGCACCATTCACAATAGCAAAGACTTGGAACCAACCCAAATGTCCAACAATGATAGACTGGATTAAGAAAATGTGGCACAGATACACCATGGAATACTATGCAGCCATAAAAAATGATGGGTTCATGTCCTTTGTAGGGACATGGAAGAAATTGGAAATCATCATTCTCAGCAAACTATGGCAAGAACAAAAAACCAAACACCGCATATTCTCACTCATAGGTGGGAACTGAACAATGAGAACACATGGACACAGGAAGGGGAACATCCCACTCTGGGGACTGTTGTGGGGTGGGGGAGGCTGGAGGGATAGCTTTAGGAGATATACCTAATGCTAAATGATGAGTTAATGGGTGCTGGACACCAGCATGGCACATGTATACTATGTAACTAACCTGCACATTGTGTACATGTACCCTAAAACTTAAAGCATAATAATAATAATAAAGCATTTTAATTTATTTTTATGTTTTACTAATATACAGAGTTATTTAGGATATAGATCTGCTGTGTGTAGAACATGACCAACATCTGTTTGAACTCAGCTTCAACATCTGTAAAAATCATATGTTATCTACTGTATAGGTCTGCAATGAGAATGGAATGAAATAACAAGAAAAGCACTTTTCCAGTGTCTCATAAATATTAAGGGGTAAATAAATGACAATTATACTACTAAGGGGTGGTATACTTAATCAATTTTGAACATTATTACTTCATTCCCTGACTTGTATTGAGTTAGGTTTATATACTAAATGGAGATAATTTGCTCATGTGCTTCACTATATTAATGTATTATCAAATGCTTTACAAACTTTTAAAGTTAGAGGAGGTTGGGCAAGGTGGTGCATGCCTGTAATCCCAGTGTTTCAGGAACACGAGGCAGAAGGAACACCTGAGCTCAGGAATTCCAGACCAGAGTGAGAAACAAAGTGAGGCCCCATCTCTAGAAAAAAATACAGAAGAAAACAGAAAATAAAATAAAAAATACCCAGTTGTGGTGGTGTTGGCCCATAGTCCCAGCTACTCAGGAGGCTGAGGCAGGAAGATTGCTTGAGCTCAGGAATTTGAGACCAGCCTGGGAAACAAAGTGAGGCCCCAACTCTACAAAAAATAGAAAAAAAAAGAACAAAGGAAGGAAAGAAGGAAGGAAGGAAGGAAAGAATGGAGGGAGGGAGGGAGGGGAAGGAAGGAAGGGAAGAGAGGAAAGAAAGAAAGAAAAAGAAAGAAAGAAAGAAAGAGAGAGAGGGAGGGAGGGAGGGAAAGAAAGAAAAAGAAAGAAAGAAAGAAAGAGAAAGAAAGAAAGAAAGAGAGAGAGAAAGGAAGGGAGGGAGGGAGGGAGGGAAGGGAAGGGAAGGGAAGGGAAGGGAAAGAAAAGAAAGAAAGAAAGAGAGAGAGAAAGAGAGAAAGAAGAAAGAAGGAAAGAAAGAGAAGGAAGGAAGGAAGGGAGGAAGGAAGGAAGGAAGGAAGGAAGGAAGAAAGAAAGAAAGAAAGAAAGAAAGAAAGAAAGAAAGAAAGAAAGAAAGAAAGAAAGAGAAAGAAAGAAAGAAAGAGAAAGAGAGAAAGATTAGCTAGGTATGGTGGCTCAGGCCTGTATTCCCAGCTACTCAGGAAGCTGAGGCGATAGAATTGCTTGAACTTGCGAGGTCAAGGCTTCAGTGAGCCATGATTGTGCCACTTGCACTCCGCCTGGGCAACAGAGAAAGACTCTCTTTAAAAAAATAAAATATAGAAGAAGAAACGAAAAACAAAAGTTAGAACAAATCCTCACAGCCAGGAAGCCACTCATTTTGTATTATTTTTAATATAATGGGAAAATGATTGACTTTTAATATTTTAGTTTTTTTATGTACAGTTATAACTTACATTAACCTGTTTATTTTGTGCTGCTACACTTGTATATGTAAACTGTATATAATATAAATTACATACATATAAATTGTATCCATTTTAACATTGCATTTCTTATTTCCTACATATAGTCATAATTTAGAGTGATTGGTTTTATTGTGTACTACATTTATATGTATTACATTATATAACTTATATATTTCATATAGATGAATTTTATAAATTTAACATTTCAGTTTTAATTTATTATATTTATTATTTAGATTGATCTAAATTTTATTTGGTGCTACATTTCTATATATATTAATCATATATAAGCTATGCACATACTTTTGTAAAAGTGTTATTACTTTGGCATTTCATTACATCTTTTATTTCAGCAGTATTTGATATGTATCAATTTTGACTCATTGAATATGTCTTTTTCATTATTCATCCTAAGTTCTGCTTCATTTTTCTTTATTTCTATATATATATTTTATTCTTTTTAAAAACAATGAATATATTATCAATTTATTTATCTGTGAGGAATTTTATATCCTAAAATGGGTGTTTGCCACATTTGCACCTGGAACCCTTACCAGATATAACAAATGAGTTCACAGATATTATTCCTCAATAGCTATCTCTATATTGTGTTATTGTTTGCCTGCATTTTGTGTCACAAAAGGGAAGGCAACCTGTCCACACCCACACCACTCTTCATACCCTGGTATAATATTTTTCATTGCAAATGCAATTTAAGAGTTATGCCTGAGTGTGCTTAGGCAAAGGTGACATCTCCCCTGTGTAAATGGCAATGATAGCTGTGATATTTGTTTGTGTGTGTGTGTATGTGTTTGTATGTTTTGCTTGTGATAGTTGAAACTTGGCTAGGGCAAATATAGTTGAATATACATATGGAGGATTCTCCTTTGCAGACCATTATAAATGAGTGTGACTGTTGTGTTCTTTCACATTCACACATATACAGAAATGGATGAAAAGAAGACTGGCCATTCTAATATTGAAAACTCCTGTGGAAAGACTTTTTGTTTCAGATATGAAATCAATATGAGTAATTTTGGGGCTTGTAAAAACTCTCTGATCATTGACATGTTTTAATGGTTTTCATTAGCAAATAGCACCAACATATTGAACCTGAGATTTTACCACCATTTCAGAGGTAATAGGATTAAAAACAGACACCAAGAATAAATTTTTCTTGGTTGAATGCGTAAGAGCTATGGGTGGAAAAACATTAATAAACTTTAATAAAATAGACTAAAGGTCAGCAGACATGCAGTAATGATAAATATGTCCTTTGTTGAGATGTTGCCTTAGGGTCAAAATAAATCCTGAAACAGTAAGATCAGGATAAGCTATTTACGGTACATTTGAATCCAGCCTCTTTACAGAGAAAACAAGTGATAATAACATTTTTGCATTCTAGTTTAGAAGATTGGGAAAGAGAAAATGCTTATTTCTGTATTTCCCCCTTGGTAAATATAAATCATTCTATTATAAAGACACATGCACACATATGTTCATTGCAACACTGTTCACAATAGCAAAGACATGGAATCAAGCTGCTCATCAATGATTGTGTGTAAAGAAAATGTGGTACATATACACCATGATACTATGGCAGCTGTAAAAAATAATAAAATCATGTCCTTTGTAGGAACATGGATGGAGCTGGGGGCCATTGTCTTTAGCAAACTAATATAGAAGCAGAGAACCAAATAATACCACAAGTTCTCACTTTTAAGTGAAAGCTAAATAATGAGAACACATGAACAACAACTATGTAGAGGGAAATAACACAGACTGGGGACGAATGGAGCATGGAGGGTGAGAGGAGGGAGAGGATCAGGAAAAATAATTAATGGGTACTAGGCTTCATAATTGGGTGATGAAATAATCTGTACAACAAACCCCCATGACACAGGTTTCCCTATATAACAAACCTGCACATGTATCTCTGAACCTAAAAGTTAAAAAATATTTTCCCCTTGCTCAAACAACCCAGTAAATAACTCATTTATTGCAATGGCTGATGTTAATAAAACAGCTTCATTCCCTTGAAAGATGCAGGCAGACTAAATGGATGGGAGATGGGCCAGTTGCCCAGAAATTGATCCACAGTACACCAACTTGAGTCTATTTCGATTACAGAAAAAATCAAACATGGCCAAAGTTGCATTATTCCAAAGTGTATTCTAATAGCAAAATAAGGTGGTGGGAGAGCAGGATGAATGTGATAATTCAGAAAGAAACATTTTATCATCATGCAGTCATTAATTATGATCACCAAAATCTTTTCTGAACATCTGCTTCCAATTCAGTGCCCAATTTATAGCTTAAGCCAAAAATTGTATAACCAGAGTGGGCTGCTTGGTTTGGTTTGTACACATAAGCCTTCTGGAAAATATTTTAAAAACTCTTGAAAGCTTGGGCAAATTTTGTAGGGAAGAGGTAAGGGCTATTAAAAATTAAATTCTACCTTTTAACCAAAACAAACTTCTTCCATCATCTTATCAGTGTCTGTGGGCCAGGAGCTTTTTACATAATTTGGCTTGTTTCAGGAAGGATGAGTTAGACTTGTTTTTTGTCTAAAAGTAAGCGTACTGTTTTTGTTTCACATCTATATTTTTTTTTAAAGAAAAATAACTTTTGGCTTGTATGTTACGGAAATCTGATCTCTAACATGTGGTTCATAAAGGAGGACACTTCAATTGTTTAATAATATATGTCACAGTGAACTCATACAAGGATCTATTTGAAAACACCCCTGATACTGTATGTGTGGAGTGTGCTGGTGTTTTTGGATGGAAGCAATGCCAGAGGTATTTTATCTACCAGTATGGGGAAAACACTGATCTAAAACCAGGCAGACTGAAGGCATACTTTCTCACAGCATTTTAAAGGTACACAATTTTTAATGTATACTTTTGAAACTTGGCTAGGGAAAATAAAGTTGAAGATATGTATGAAGGATTATCCTTTGCAGAATATAATAAATGAGTGTAAAAGGTACACATTTTATAATAAATTATTTGTTTTAATGTTTTCAAATTTTCTCACATACAGCATCTTGCACTATTATCTCGTGCACATGTTGACCACACGTTGAAGAATTATGACATCCTAATAAGAAAGAAAGCAGTGAGCAAAGATAGACACTCACTTAGCTATCTAGAGTTTTATTATCCATTCTTATGATCAGACCATGTTAAAAGATGTCTTCCACACCTATATATTAACAATCATTTTCTAAAATAATATATTTCCATATTTGCAATGGAAAGCTATTGCAAAGGTATAGAGACAATCTGCACCCACTCTATAGCTCTATGGTTTCTATTTTTACTTTCTTTTCCACTCTCCCTGTTTTTAACATACCAACTCCTGGAAATATTAATTCTTCATAATCAAAAAAAGTTTAAGCACATAGAATTAATGCATATGCTTAAGATTAGAGATTTTCTAGATAAGAGTTCTAGCTATTTAGCAAAGTATGATGTTATCATATTTTTATAAGATAGAGATTAAAATGGCCAACCTGAGTGTAACAAAACATATCACAAATAGATTCTCTTATGTCTAACAGGTGGTCCAGCTGCAGATAGTCTTCTGCACATTAAAGGTGATGTATTTAGAATGTTAATCTTTCCATGTAAAGTCTCAAACCTGTTTCAGGAACATGGACAGGGATCATTTTCAGCTTCAAGAATAAAATGTATGATAAAATATCTGTTAATTTCCATAATTCATCATACTGGAGGGTTATTGTGTTTCCATAACTGATTATACTATGAAGCCACAAGAGAATGGTTTCCAGTGTTTAAATGTTAACTATTGGAAAAGCAGAATGCTGTCACTAAGAATGGGTTAAAAAATGATCCCCAGACAACAATAATCTTTAGGTGCTTCACTAATAATTTGACTACGTGAACTGACATTTTGATGTTAAGAAAAATAGGAAGCTAGCATTATTTTCATACTCTGCAGATCAGTGATGCCTTCTTGACATGTCAAAACCTTAACCACTGGTGGTAAAGTGATTATTGATGATTGATGATTGATCAGAAACTTCCTGGGGAGATATATCATGGGTGATGAGATCATTTGTCCTTCAATGATGTTTCTTTGAATAAGTGGCTTTTATTAAAAAGCTCAAGATGATAAGCCTTTTCATAATTCTCAGGACAACCAGTTTCATTGAAAATTGATAGACCTTGTTTGGTATTCATGATGTTATTATTATTTACTACTAAAGAGTAGTTTTAGCCTCACAGCAAAAATTGAGTGGAAAATACAAAGATTTCTCACATATGGCTTATTTTGTTTTGTTATTGTTTTGAGACAGGTCTCACTACCACTCACGCTGCAGTGCAGTGGCACAATCACGGTTCACAGCAGCCTCTACCTCCCGGCCTCAGGTGATCCTCCTGCCTCAGCCTCCCAAGTAGTTAGGACTACAGGTACATGCCACCACGCTTAGCTGATTATTATTATTATTATTATTACTATTATTATTATTATTATTATTATTATTATTATTTGGAGAGACAGGGTTTTGCCTTATTGGCCATGGCTGGTCTGGAACTCCTGGGCTGTAGCCATCCACCCCTCCCAATCTCCCAAAGTTCTTAGATTACAGGCATGAGGTACCCTGTCTGGCCACCTATACCTCTCTTAACCCCGTATATGTGCAACCTCCTTCATTGTCAACATCTCCCACCAGAGTGGTACATTTTTTTTTCTTTTTTTGAGACAGATTCTCACTCTGTTGCCAGGCTGGAGTTCACTATCGCAGCTCACTTCCATCTCCACCTCCTGGCTTCAACTGATTCTCCTGCCTCAGCCTCCCAAGTAGGTGGGATTATAGGTGTGCCCCACCACAACTGGCTAATTTTTGTATTTTTAGTAGGGACAGAGTTTCACCATGTTGGCCAGGATGGTCTCAATTTCCTGACCTCGTGATCAAAAGTCCTCAGCCTCCCTAAGTGCTAGGATTACACACCCAGCCCCAGAGTGGTACATTATTTACAACTGATGGGCCCACATGGGAACATCATTATTATCTAAAGTCCATAGTAGTTTATAGTAGGATTCATTATTAGTGTTGCACATTCTGTAGGTTTGGATAGATGTAAAATTGCATGTACTCTTCATTATAGCATGACACAGAATAGTTTCACTGCCCTAAAAATCCTGCTATCCACCTATTCATCCCTTCCTCCTGCCAATTCCTGGGAAGCACAGATCATTTTACTATCTTCATAGTTCTCCAGAATGTTCCTATACAGTATGCAGCCTTTTCAGAGTGGCTTCCTTTATTAGTAATATGCATTTTAGTTTCTTTTGTGTCTCTTAAGGCTTTGTAGCTCATTTCTTTTTGGTGTTGTATTCCATTGTTGGATGCACTAGTTTGTCTATGAATTTACTTTTTGAAGGACATTGAGGATGCAAATTCCATTTTAAGGTAGATAAAATTTGCACTATATTCCCTGGAGCTTGTGTACGCTTGCCTATTCCTTCTTTCATTGTTCTGCTGCTCAGAAAAATTTGAAACTCATAATGATCTTTTGGTTTCCTTTCCTGGTTATAAAGATATAAATCTGAAGCTTAAAAAAAGAGGCTGTTTTTAGCCATCTTAATAATGAGTGTTCAATGATGTCAGTCAACTGTGATTCAAGACCTGAGTAAATTCTCAGTTCTTATGAGGAGTCTGCTGTTCAGCACATTAGAATCTCTTCAAAAGAGTGAGAATTACAGTTATGCAGCTTTGAAAAGGAAATCAGTTAGGTATTATTATCATCATTGAATGCTTTACAGATTGTCCTTGATGACGTGATTTTTGTCCATGCCTCAAAGAGTAAACTGTTAAGCAGGGACAAAATATAGTCTGTATGAATGGAAACCTATGATTAGCAATTCTGAATTTTTATGCCAATTTTAGAAATGTCTGCTAAGGAAGAAAATGGACTTAAGTTAGCACCAGTAGCACGGAAGTGGCTTTCTCAATTGCCAAGCTTTGGGAATAGAAAAATACATAACACAGAGATAAAAATATTTATGTATATTCATAAAACAATGGAGGTGCTGTCATCATTCACAGCCACAGGAAAAGGTTAGCAGCTCAAGCAGAATAAGTAAGAAAAGAGCATTATAGCCAGTCCCGGCTTAATGAATGTAAGAGATGAAGCTACTCAATCATAATATTTGACCGCTATACCTGGATTCCCTATATTAAAAAGGCATTTATCTAATGATCCATTTTAGACTATTAGACTATTTAGAAACTGAGAATGGTGTTGTTGATGGAAAGAAGATGAAAAAATATCTAAGAAGCAGTATTTCCTCACTGTAATAAACCTCAATGAAGGATCGATCTTACAAAGAAAATTGTTAGTTTTGCATTTTGCACCACGCTGTCAAGTTCAGCTATAGGCAGGATAATTTAGCCAAATATCCAGCACTCAAAGTTAATGAACTCAGAACATTTTTTCTTTTATCAAGTGATTTTCACGCAAATAACCGTTTGGTGATTAAAAGAAAATTTTTTATTATTAAACACATGAGGGAATTATTCTGAGAAAATCCGTTACACAATTGATACCTTACTCTAGAATGTATCAATATGTCTGATTAAAATAATCGGTTGAAATTATTAAAATAATTTTGTTCTTTTTCTACCACCATGGGGAAGAGAGAACAGATTTTATCAACCAAACTAGTTCATGAGATCTGTAGCTTTTGTTGGACTATTAAGTGATCCTGAGGAACATATTAAGTCCAGAATGTTTTTGCAGCAACACTCTTCAAGTAATAAAAAAAGAGAAAGGGAGGCGGTAAAATACAAGGAAGGGTAAAAATTAGACATCTAGAATTAGGCTAACAATTTTGAACAGTGCTTGTGTTTGAGTATCTGTTGTTTGATGCCTACATACAGGTTAAACATCGAATTTTTGGAGGCTGTGTTTGAAACACATGCAAATCTGCAGCAATGCACAGAAACAACTATCCACTGTCAGGTCTAAATGAGAACCCTTCTAGTGGCATCAGCTAAAAATATGAAATAACTACTCCCATTATGCTCATGTACTTGATGTAAGACTGTGAACCTTCTTGGATATTATATATGTTCACACCACACATAAACACATACACACACACATACAACATACAATTACTTAGTATAACAACATATATCATTATATAATATGTCAAATACGCTCTAGTAACGTATTTATGTTTATAATTTGATATATTTACACATTTATATTTATATAAATGTAAAAGTAAATATGATATATAAATTTTAATTTTTATATGTATATATATTTATATAGGTATACTTATATATACTTATATATGTATACTTATATATTTATATGTAATTTATATTTTTACATATGTATACTTACACAATATTTACATATGTATACTTATATGTAAATATTATATTAGATACAAGTAAATATATAAATATGTAATTAATGTAATGTTAAAATAATATATAAACATATTTATATTACTCATATATAATAAAAACACATTATAATGTGTATATATAATATATGCATACTTAGATATAAAGCTTATGATATATAAATGAATATAAAATATAAAAGCAGATAAAAATAAATATAATACAAAAATGTTATATTTATACTAATATAAATATTATATTTATACTAATACAAATTTTGTATTTATATTAATATAAATATACTATGTATTTATATTAATATACTATAAATATACTATAAATTTATATTGTATAAATATAAATATATTTATACAATATAAATATTGTTTTCATATTAATATAAATATTGCATTTATGTTAATATAAATATTATATTTATATTAATATAATATAGCATATAAGTATATATAAGTAGAAATACATATACTTATATATGCATATATACTTATATATGTATAAATATGAATATTTATATATACTTTATATTTTTATATATGTATACTTACACAATATTACATACGTATACTTATAAGTAAATATTATATTATACACAAGTAAATAAATAAATATGTAATTAATGTAATGCTAATATAATATAAAAATATAATCATATTTATATTAATATAAATATAATTTATATAAATTATATAATATATTATATAAATTACATAACACATTATATACATTATATACATTATCTAAAACATATACATTATACACATTATATAATACATCATATACATTATATACTTATATAATACATCATATACATTATACACATTATATGTCATATACATTATATACGCTATGTAATATATCACATACATTATATACGCTATGTAATATGTCATATACATTATATACGCTATGTAATATGTCATATACATTATATACGCTATGTAATATGTCATATACATTATATACGCTATGTAATATGTTGTATACATTATACGCTATGTAATATGTTATATACATTATATATTATATAATATGTTACATATTACATATAATTTATATAATATATGTGATATATAATAATATAATAATATACAATATTATTATAATATACAAAATACATTATAATATATAATACTATATTATATATTATATAATATTATATATTATATATTACATTAGTATATATTATGTATTATATATTATATATAATGCATTATAATATATCATATTATAACAATATTATATATAATATACTATATATAATACATAATATAATTATATGTAGTATATATTATATAATATATTATATATGTATAATATAAATTATATATCATATACATTATATAATATATAATATATATTAAAAATATATAATATACAAGATTATATATAAATTATGTAATATATAATCTGAATATATGTATTATATATTATATATACTCATATGAAATTATATACAATATACAGAATTATATTATATAATATATTATGTTATATATTATATATGTATAATATATAATATATAATTATATAAAAATTATATTATATACTATATAATTAATATATAGTATATTATTTATAATATATAATATATAATGTATTTAATATATAATATATAATATACAATAATATATTATATATAATATATTTTATATATAATATGTTATATAGAATATATGCAATATAAATATTTATATATTATGTATTATATATAATATATTATATATATTATGTATTATATATAATATAATATTATATATATTATATATATAATATAATATTATATATATTATATATATAATATAATATATTATATATAATATGATACAAATAATATTATATAACATATATTATATATGATAATATATACTATATAATATAAAAAATTAGGTATAATATATGTATAATTATATATAATATGTAATATATTATATAGTTATATATTATATATTATATAGTTATTATGTATAATGCATATAATATAATATATAATATAAAATTTATATATTATAAAATATAATAATTATATCTTATATATAATTATATCCTATATATAATATAAGATATGTTTTATATATTGTTATATAGTTTATATAAATCATGTATTAGTTATTTATATATAATTATATATCCTATATAATTATACATAGATTATATATTATATATAATTATAAATATTTAAATATAAATATAAATTATATATAATATAAATATATAATTATATAAATTATGTACAATATATAATTTATATAATATATAAATATGTAACTATATAATGTAATGTTACATTATATGACATATATGTAATATAGTTACAACAATTAATATAATGCAATGTTATAAATTATATATATTTAATTTATGTAATATATAAATATGTAATAATATAATGTAATAATGTAATATTATGTTACATTATATTACATTATATTACATTATATGACATATTATATAATGTTATATTACATATAATATATTAATATAATATATAAATATAATATTTATATTATTCCCATATACAAATACAGATTATGATGTGTATATGAATTATATGTGCATACCTAGCTATATTATAATATATAAGTATAAAAAATAAAAGTAGATAAAGATAAATATAATACATAAATGTTCATTTATATTAATATAAATATTATATATAATATAGAAGTAAACAAATAGTACATACACACGTTACCTATATTTATATTACTGTATTATATGAATATTTATATTCGTATTTATATGGAAGAATGCATATAATACACATACATATTGTATTATATATAGTATTTGTATTAATATATGTTAGCAATACATGATATATTATTCTATATATCTATACACGTTAAAATTGTATATGTATTTAACATACATATATGATATTTAAATACATATTTTATAATATATTTTTGTTATATGTTATATATAATCATCACAGATTATATAAGTTTTATATAGATAATATATTTTATACTATAATTGATTTTACATTTTATAGTATAATATTTTATAATGTACATTATATTTAATACATATATCATAGATTATACTACTTATGATAACATGTAATATGAGGTTATATGTAATTGTAATCTCTCAGATATAATTATATTTATATATTACTCTTAAAGTAATACCATCATGTTTTAATTAATAGAATTTTCTTTCAGTGTTACATCATTCACCAAACTACTATTTTTTATAAAAATTGTGTAATCCGCAAGTTATTCATAATCAGTTTTGTGCAGGTTATTTATTCATGAATATTATATACTTATTTTTGCACTGGTATATTTCTATCATCTCTACTGGAATTATTCATTATATTAAGCACTTGAAAGATGCAAAGAAAGCTTTATGCTAAGTGAAATTAGCCAATTGCAAAAGACAGTCTGTGAGATTCTAGTGATATGAAATTGACATGGAATACCTAGAATATGAAATTCCATTGATATGAATTGTCAATCAGTTGTGACAGGAAGGAGATCACTGTTTGCTAGTTGAGTGCAGAGGAATGAAGAGTAGCTGCTAGTAAGTGCAGGGTTTCTTTTGGGGGTGATGAAAATGTTGCGGAACAGATAGTGTTGATGGTTGCACTCCCCTGTGAATATACTAAGAAAACAATAGTACACACTAAAGTATAAACTTTATAACACGTAACTACGTTAAAGCTGATAACATAATAGGATTTTT
Organism: Homo sapiens; assembly: GCF_000001405.40. NCBI lineage: Eukaryota > Metazoa > Chordata > Mammalia > Primates > Hominidae > Homo > Homo sapiens. The sequence continues at coordinate 17,277,067 of NC_000024.10, forward strand.
AGCCATGGTGCCAGGATTTTAGCCATGGTGCCAATGTGTTCAAATGGTCCTATTTAGTGGGTAGCCATCAAACAGCAAAGCCTGCCTCTGAGCAAAAAACCTTCCAGAGCCACCCTATGTCTTTACTACTCAAAGTGTGGTTCTGGAATCAGCAACAGCAGCCATTGCTGGGGGTGGATTTCATTGCCAAACCTCAGGCCCTGAGTCAGAATCTGCTTTTCTGCATGACCTCAAAGGAGTGGTAGGCACATTCATGCTAACACTTGGGAAGCACTGAGAGATACCCCATGTCATCCAAGAATCATTTTGAACTGACTGCACTGCTCCTTCTAATGAGAACTCACTTGCTTTAGGCAGAAGTTTGACCTCAATTAATTTCCTATAGAAACAGGACAGTAGAGCCTGTCTTTTGCCTTCAGATCCCAGGCCACTTCTCTGTGTCACATTTCCACAGCTCAGTTCACCAAGAGGTGGTAGGTGGGCAATGGAGTAGTGAAATAAATCTTATACATGCCTGTAATCCCAGCACTTTGGGAGGCCAAGGCGGGTGGGTCACAAGGTCAGTAGATTGAGACCATCCTGGCTAACACAGTGAAGCCCTGTCTCTACTAAAAATACAAAAAATTAGTTGGGCGTGGTGGTGGGCGCCTGTAGTCCCAGCTGTTCAGGAAGCTGAGGCAGGAGAATGGCGTGAAGCCGGGAGGCAGAGCTTACAGTGAGCCGAGATCGCCCACTGCACTCCAGCCTGGTCCACAGAGTGAGACTCGGTCTAAAAAAAAAAAAAAAAAGAAAAGAAAAGTCTTACTATCCTATAGATGCTATAGGTACTACTTTCCTATAAAAATGTAATGTTACCCATATAGCAGTTTGTGTAGCCACATTTACTGTTAGAAATATGTGTCTTAAACAATTGCCCATCAGTCAAAAAATGGAGAAAGAAACTTTGGTTTATATATCCAATGGAATACTACTCAGCCATAAAAAGAAATGATTTAATGGCATTCGCAGAACCCTGGATGGAACTGGAGACTTTTATTCTAAGTGAAGTGACTCAAGAATGAAAAACCAAACATTGTATGTTCTCACTCATAAGTGGGAGATAAGCTATGAGGATGCAAAGGCATAAGAATGATACAGTGGACTTTAGTGGCTGGGGAGAAAGGGTAGGAGGGAAGTGAGGAATAAAAGACTACAAATTTAGTTCAGTGTATACTGCTCAGGTGATGGGTGCACCAATATCTCACAAATCACCACTAAACAATTTACGCATGTAACCAAATACCACCTGTTCCCCAAAACACACACGGAAATAAAAAAATTTAAATAAAGAAACATGTGTTTTAAGAAACACGATCATGGGAAAATTATTAAGAAAAGAGCTACCCAAAAGAAATTGAAATATATGCTTTAATAAATGTTATCAATTTTAGAGGCTTCAGAATATAGACAAGCCTGAACTTAAATGGGAATAAAATAATATTGGGACTTGTTAATGGTCTCTATCTTGTGTGCATATGGGAATTTGGTAGTGTTCGATATGAATCACCCTCCATTACTCAGGGTTCTGCAGAACTGAGACAATGCCTGTGGACTTCCTTCATTCAAAATATCTTTAACCAAAAGAAAACAAACAAACAAAAATCTAGGATGTGTAAAGACGCTCCATAAATTACATTACTACCTGAAAATGGCGCATATTGGTTTAAAAGGACTATTTCATGTTGAAGTTACTGTTTCTTTATGGAAAATGCTTTACAAGATGATGTTATGTTGAACTTTTAAATTTTCCTGCTTATCCCACTAAAACTAGACTCTGACAGTCTTATTTTGAATATTTGTTAATATGAAGCATGAATTGCTGTCTTATAATGTATTTTCTTAGAAGTATGTGTTCTCGTTTCTCAATTTGTTGTCCTTCTATTTGTTATTTATCTTTCTCAGATAATCTGTTTACTGGCCTTTACAAATAAGAAAACAAAATTAAATAGAGTGAGAAAAAATAATAATGCATATAAAATCACTGCTACTTAACCACCGTTTCTTCAATCTGGAACTATTCACTTAGTTGACTTTTCCACCATGCACCCAAATCCCTTCATCCTAAGTGTTTCCTCTGCCATTATTTAATTCACGTTATTCTCTTTTTTTTTTTCTTTTTTTTTTTTTTTTTGAGACAGAATGTCACTCTGTCTCCCAGGCTGGAATATAGTGAGTGGTGTGATCTTGGCTTACTGCATCCTCCACCTACCCGGTTCAAGTGATTCTCCTGCCTCAGCCTCCTGAGCAGCTGGGATTACAGGCACGTGCTACCACACCAGGGTAAATTTTGTATTTTTAGTAGACACTGGATTTCACCATGTTGGTCAGGCTGGTCTTGAACTCCTGACCTCATCACCTGCCTCAACCTCTCAAAGTGCTAGGATTATAGGCATGAGCCACTGCAACTGGCCAATCCATGTTATTCTTAAGACCTGTTTCCAGTTTTCCAAATGGCTTTATAAAATTACTCTCACATATATTATTCTTATAAACTTTAATTTTTAACAAGTACCAGTTTACCTATTCCTAAATATAGTAAATGTATATTCCTTTTGCTGCATTCAAATATTGAGAGTATCCAAATGCTCTGGTTGATAAAGTGCTCCATGACGTGTTGTCATCTCATCCATTCAAGCTTTTAGAAATACTAATTGAGAACATACTGGCTAGGATGTCTGTTCCGTTCTGAGAAAAGAGACATGAATATAAAAGGCATAATTTTTTTTTTTTTTGAGGCAAAATCTCACTTCATCACCCAGGCCGGAGTGTGGTGGCACAAGCTTGGCTCACTGCAACATCTACCTCCCAGGTTCAAGAAATTCTCATGCCTCAGCTTTCTGAGTAGCTGAGATTACAGCTTAATTTTGGACTTCCCAGCCTCTAGAACTGTAAGGAATAAATTTCTGTTCTTAAAATTTGCTCAGCCTCAGGTGTTTCGTTTTAGCAGTACAAGTGGAATAAGAACCACAAATTTAACCTATTTGTCAAACAATCCAAGTACACAGAATGTATGAAGAAAACTGTGAAAGTCTTTAACATCTCATTCTATGCATTCACAAGGTTTTGCAATATGATGCCTTCAATTAATAATCTGTCATCAATGGTCTTTTATGTCAGCATATGCAAAGAGATCTTGTTTTCTTTTTCAGGATCATAATCTTAAAGCTGCATTGTATGCTTTAATTTGAAATATTACATAATTTGTTGTGGGAATTGATATTTCTATATTGATCAACATAAAGACATTTCTGTATTTTAGCTCCTGCATGTTGTGTAAAGATGACAGTGGTTTTACCTCATGGTGGTAGAGATGATGGAAGGAAGATACCAGAACTTAGTGAGAGAAACCAGATGTCTGAATAAAAGCCATGTTTCTTGCTTACATATCTCCATGATTTTGTTGTCATTTTCTTTGGAAGAATCCTAAAAGGAAGTGAACATAGAAAAGAGAGTGTGTGTGTTGTTCCCCCACTGTATGGAGGGAGGGAGAGCATAAGGAAAAAGAGCTAATTGATGCTAGGCTTAATACCTAGGTAATGATAACAATTTAGCTATTGTGAATTATGCTGTTAAAAACATAAGTGTACAAATATCTCTTCAACTCCTTGCTTTCAGCTCTGTTGGGCATATACCCAGAAGTGGAATTACTGGATCATATGCTAATTCTATTTCTAAATTTTTGAGGAACCACCATACTGTTTTCTACTGTAACTGTAGTATTTTACATTTCCACAGCAGTTTACAAGAGTTCCAATTTCTCTACACCCTTGTGAATGCTTGTTATTTTTGGCTGTTTTTTTTTTTTACGGTAGTTATTCTAAGGGGTGTGAAGTGGTATCTCATTGTGGTTATGACTTGCATTTTCCTGATGACTAGAGATGTTGAGTATGTTTTCATGTGCCTGTGGGCCATTTGTGTATGTTCTTTAGAGAATATATGTTCAAATCCTTTGCTCAGTTTTGAATGGGTTTGTTATTATTGAGTTTTAAGTGTTCTCTCTATATTCTGAATATTAATCTCATAACATATATAATTTGCAAATATTTTATTCCATCCCATGAGTTCAGCTTTTTTAGCTTGCTGATGTTGTCTTTTGATGCATTTCTGCATTCCTTTTTTTTTTTTTTTTTTTTTTTTTTTTTTGAGGTGGTGTCTCCCTCTGCTGCTGAGGTTGGAGTACAGTGGCATGATCTCTGCTCACTGCAACCTCTACCTCCTGGGGTCAAGCAATTCTCCTGCCTCAAACTTCTGAGAAACTGGAATTACAGGCTGCCACCACACCCAGCTAATTTTTGTATTTTTAAAAAAGATGGGATTTCACCACGTTGGCCAGGCTTGTCTTGAATTCCTGACTTCAAACGATTTACCTGCCTCAGCCTCCCAAAGTGCTGGGATTACAGGTGCGAGCCACAGCATACAGACAAAAAAATTGATGAAAATTTTTTTTTTAAATTTATGAAGTCCAATTTTTCTATTTTTTCTATTGTTACCTGTGTCTTTGGTGTTATATGTAAGAAATTCTGACCAAACCCAGTGATGTGGGGCTTTTTCCCCCATATTTTCTATTAAGAGTTTTACAGTTTTACTTCTTACATTTAAGTCTTTGTCTCATTATTCTTCACGCAGAAAATGTGCTTAGAACTTTGTTGACAATGTTGACACTTTTAATTGAAGAAGCTATTCTACAGTCTTATGGATGCCTGACTAGTCTTGTTACTTTGGGCATACCACTTAGGGTTCCAACGTTAGTCAGTTTTCTTAACATGTTGACTGCATATGGATGTTACATATTAAAAAAGCATTTCCACAGCTCCTTCACATAAATTAGCTCACTCAATCCTTTTATCCACCCAAGAAATTCTTAAATACATTCAAATGAATTAAACAACATTAGAGGTGAGAAATAAAGTCTGAATGGGTCATGGAAGTCTTGTCCCAGACCACAAACCTAGTAAATATGAAACTAGAGGATAATAAAATGGAGTAGGAGAATCTCTACATGCCTGCCTAGTGTTTTCCATACAATCATGAGTCATTAATACCCATCCTTTTTATAATTTTCTTTCTTTCTTTCTTTTTTTTTTTTTTTTTTTTTTTTTTTTTTTTTTTTTGATATAGAGTCTTGCTCTGTCGCCCAGGCTGGTGTGCAGTGGCGCTATCTCGGCCCACTGCACGCTCCGCCTCCTGGGTTCACGCCATTCTCCTGCCTCAGTCTCCCAGGTAGCTGAGACTACAGGCGCCCGCCCCCACGCCAGGCTAATTTTTTTTTTTCGGTATTTTTTTTGGTAGAGACGGGTTTCACCGTGTTAGCCACGTTGGGCTCAATCTCCTGACTTCGTGATCCGCCAGCCTCGGTCTCCCAAAGTGCTGGGATTACAGGTGTGAGCCACCGCGCCCGGCCTCTGCTTTTCTAATTTTATAGATAATTAGGTCATAAGTATGGGATGTTTTAGTATAATAAAAGTAGAATCTCTGCATAGTTCATGTATTTGAAATTGAGATAATTTATTACCTAATTTCAAAAGAAGCTTTAAAATTTGACAAAATATTGTAAAGCTCAAGAAAAGAAAACTAAGGAGAATATGAAAATTTTTGCTCAATGTCTTACAGTGCAAGATGAAAAAAAGCTCTAACATATTGTGAAAAAGAGAGCAGTTTTCAGCACTGTTATACTGATTCCCCATACTGGAAAATGTTTGCTTTGTTTTGTTTTTCTAACATTCCATCTGTTGAAAGTCTTGAATATTAAGGGTATAAATTTTATTTATTTTAAATTTCTTAAAATTTTTGTGGGTACAAAAATCAAACCAAAATGGATTAAAGGGTATGGAATTTAGATATTGAAATAAACTGGCATACTCAATGCTTGCTATTCTGATATATTTTCTTCCAAAATTATCTTACATTCAAAGCTCTGGGGATAGTTTGTGGTCTAGTATATTTGGTGTAAATATTCTCAAAATATGTAAATACTTATAAATATATTTATATATTATACAAGTTATACAAATAAACTCTAGCATATTTGATGTAAATTTTTTAGGATGTGGTTCCACATCTTGAAAAATTCCATTGATAGACTTCTGTTTTCCTATTTCAATAAAGCCATAAAGTAGTTCTGAAAAACTTTAAATATATAAAATTAGACACTGAAATACTTTATCTGAAAATGTCCTTGTCCATTAACATAAATATTGTATTTGCTTAGTGGCCATTTTTAAATTTACAATCAGACGGTCATTATTTTCTGAGGTATTATTAACATGATCAAAATAGAATCATTAGTTTTTCATGTTTTCATTTTCAAAATACAGTTCTGAAACACCAACCCAGGGATCATTCTGAAATATTTTTAATATGATCTGAAATCCCAGGTATAAATTACAAACTTCCTAAAAAGTAGAACCATCTCACTCAACTAAACAACATTGCCTTTAAAAAGTGTATGACAATTTCGACTGAAATTCATAATAGAAGATTTTCAAGCAGAAGTCAGTTAAATTTTACTGTGTATATTATCATTTTTATAGAAGTTGGAAAACCTCTAGAGGAGTGAATTAAAGTTCATCCTTTTTGCTTGTAATAAAATACAATAACATCCTGTTTTACCTAAGGAAATGTATTCAAAATAACTTTTAAAGTAAAACTCATAAAAGTTAAAAAAAAAAGTAAAGAACTCTAGGGGGATTGTCTATAATCTCTCCCTCCCTGCCTCCCTCTTTCCCTCCTTTTTTTCCCTTTCTCCCTATTCGCTGTTTTTCCCCAGAAATCATATAACTAGTGTGGCTTAATAAACTTTGGAACTTTTTATTCACCTAGGCTTTCCTCTCCTGAAAAGAACTGTGTCTTGCATCCTGTTCCATTAGCCCTGGTGTGGTAATCTGCAGTGAGCAAGTTGTAAATTCACTTCCTAGCATGGCAATACAAACCATTCTTAAATATCCTTCCTTGAACACAACGGTGTAAACCTCACAACCTCATTCCCAAGTGAGCTCAAGTTCACCATTCACATAGTATTTTTCTAAACAGCTCAAAAGCCTCGATGACTTATGGGCTTTGCTCTAGCAGAGCTAAAATGGAAATATGGATTGTAGCTGTCACTTCAGAGACTCAGAGCTGGCTAGGTTAGTATGGACAGATTTGTAAGTGTCCATTTCCATAGCTATGGACAATAGGTAGTATTTCATTTTGTCTTTCCCCAATGGCTACTCTTACAACCACAGAAACATATGAGTCCATTAGTAGTCTCAAACGCTTCATAAAATTTGGCTTGTTTGGGTCTCCTTTGAAAATGTTCCCCTGAATATGATTTTTCTCTGCAAGTCATAACTGAATATTTTTTACCAGCTGTGCTATATTTGATGCTTCTCTAGGTTCATTAATATCCATAAGGTAAGGGAATAAATATTAATATACTCTGAGTTATCCAGGAAAACATACTGAAGGGTTCATATGATTCATTGTGTTACCTTTTTAGTGCTCTGTGAAATTTTTATTCTTGGCTTAAATGCTTACAGTGTAAAACAGATGCAAATTAACCTGGGATTTACCTAAAATTGGTCTGGCATCTACACTGCATCTCTTGCTAGTGAGGAGAGGGTGGAAGCATGTGATATAGATCAGTCGTACAACTGACCACCACATATAGTATCTTTTCCCAATTTTTCCATCTCTTCACCCTGATTATTATCTTCACCAGGTTTCATGATGCTCAGTGCTCGTGTTTCTGTGTTTGCTGTCTTGTATTTCCTTTTATCATATTTCTCCCCAAATATAAACTTTGGGTTTCTGCCTTTCCATTTGTGTAACGCTTGCATTAGTACTTGGTATGCAGTGGGTACACAATATATGTTGGTTGGATTAAAAAAAAATCAAAAGCACCAAAACTTGTTCCCTCTATGTAAACTAGATTAAGTCATTTGAAAAAATACCCCATAATGGAAACAACTTCTATAATGAAAAAGGGCCACAGAGAAAAAAATGTGTTTGTGTGTACATATGTGTGTGTGTGTAAAAAATTAATATAAGTATGATATATATACATATATGTACCTACACATACAAATACAACACACATATGTATGCATATATATATATACCTCTATATATCCACATATAAGTAGATTGTATTACATACTGGAGACAGATATGTAAGAAATATATATATATCTATAGAGATAGATAGATAGATAGATAGATAGATACATAGATAAGAAATAGAATTCTATCTATCTATATTTGTTTGTTCGTTGTTATTGCAGGGAGGTGTTGTTGCCAAAACATTGACAAATTTCATGTACATAGAAAGTGGCTGGAAGAAAAGAAGTAGAATAACTAACCTCAAAAGAACAGCTGCTGCTATATGCACGGACATTGTAAGTAGAATATTAATCACACTAAATGACAGCTCACTAAAAATTGAAATAGTAGAATACCTTTTTTGTCTTCCAGGGTTTGCAATCAAGGGAGAGAACATTGTAAAGAGCCTGACACAAACTAATTTTTCTAATTCCCTATGAGGTAATTCAGCATAATTTTAATTTCCATTTTATTTACATTAGTCTTTGGAAGGTTTAAATGCAGGTTTTATCTTAGACAATTCCTAGAATAAAAAGTAAATTTCCATATGCCTCTCAGTCCTTAACCAGATCTACCTTTATTAGGAGGAATCGAGAATGAAAAGAAAACAGGAATCTTAGTACCAGTTTTCAAAACATTTAACTGACCTACTTATCTAGATTTTTATATTTAAATGATTCTAGAATATCCAAACGACCAAGACAGAACCTTGCTGGACACAGGAACTCTATTTTCTTGTTACAGTGCCTATGAAATGTGACACCATGCAGACTAATAATAAACGCTTCACTGTACACATACATGTTCTATTGCATGGGAGATAGGTAGAAATCATGGATGTGAATTCAAAGTCATTCATCTTTTAATTGAAATCAGTATTTTGAAGACATGTGCTCACCACTGATATGGCTTGGCTGTGTCCCCACTTAAATCTCATCTTGCATTGTGGCTCCCATAATCCCCACGTGTTGTGGGAGGGACCCAGTGAGGGGTGTGCAATTGAATTATGAGGGTGGTTACTACCATGCTGCTGTTCTTATGATATTGAGTGAGTTTTCATGGTTTTATAAGGGGCTTTTTCCCCTTTTGCTCAGCACTTCTCCTTCCTGCCACCTTGTAAGACATGCCTTTGCTCCTCCTTTGCCTTCTACCATGAATGTGAGTCCTCCCCAGTCAAGTGGAACTGTGAATCCATTAAACCTCTTTTTCTTTTTAAATTACCCAGTTCCATGTATTTCTTCAGAGCAGTATGAAAACGGACCAATACAACTGCGATTTTCATGGCAACATTATTCATAACAGCAAAGATTTGGAAACAACATAGAAGGACATTGACATATGGATGGATCAAGAAAGTGTGTATACATATTTATGTATGTCATGGAATATTAATCAACCTTGAAAAAGAAGGAAATCTTGTCATTTTTAACAACATGGATAGACCTGAGGAATGTTATCCTGAGTGAGATGGGCCAGGCACAGAAAGACAACTTCTGTATGATCTAATTTATTCATTTACATGTGGAATCCAAAATAGACTCATACAAGCAGAGGGCAAATGCAGGTTACCAGCTGGGTGAGGAAGGAGAAATGGGGAGGTAATGGTCAAAGGGTACAAACTTTCATTTATGCAAAGTAAATAAATTCTAAAGATCTACTCTCCAGTGCAGTGCCTAGGACTGACAATGCTGTATTTTATACACAAAACTTACTGAAAGGGTAGATCTTATGTTAAATGTTCATAATACACACAGACATATAAAATAATAATGAGGGAGTGGGAGGAAACTTTGGGAAATAATGGATTGATTAATATATTTATGACTTTGGTGGTCGTGATCATTTCAGGAATGTATACTTATCCCCAAACTCATCAAGTTGTATTTTTTAAATCTGTATAACTTTCAACATGTCAATCATAATTGAATAAAATGGTTAAAAAACACAGTTATTCGTCTTTTAAAACACAACTTTTCTCCAGCTAATTTTCCCATTTCTGTGCAGTAGAATATGAATGTGATAGTGACAATCCATTTTCCAGGAACTAAAAAAGAATGGCCCTCCTATGGATGGGGAAACAGGATGGAAAATGGGTTTATTCTGGAAAATTTTGAGTGAATCCAGAGAATAGAACTTTCACTCTCTCAAAACACCCATCTGTTCAGACATTTATGTGGAATAAATAAAATTTTCATCTTGGGCAAAGTGCTGTTGTTCGTTCCATGGAGGAGACACATTAAAGCTGATTTTATTAGTGATAAAGGAAAAAAAGCAGTGTTTGTTAAGAGAACAAGAGGCTCAAAGCATCGGCAACACACACAGGGGTAGTTCAGAAAGGATTAGGTGAAGAATTAAGATCAGACAGAACCAGAGAACTATTTGAGCCATAAGAGTTAACTCTGTATGTGTGTATCTACTCAACAGATACATCATTACTCAGAAATGGAAATTGATTTTAGAAAAGAGTGTCTTTTATGTTTTTATGTTTTAAGCGTATATTTAAAATTTTTTAGTAACCTCTATAAAAGGCTATAGTGTGGCCAGTTTTCTCTAACAGCTGAGCAGGCAGGACTCCATGACAATGGTTTAGCAGTGACTCAGTGGTTAAGTTACACATTAAAAGCTGAAAAGTGTCTTCGGACATTAAAATGTAACAATAGCCCACCAAGAATTTTACCTAGGCCTTTCCTGAGCCTTGAAACATGACAAAATAATGAAGGAATTCTTAATGGGATCCGTTTAGGATTAAACAAGTTTTATTTGGGGTCTGAAGAAACTCCCCAGACCACCACAAACAAGTTTTAGTGGGGGTCTAACAGAACTCCCCAAACCTCTATGATTTAGCAGGGCGCAAAATAAGGGTAATCACCCCCAGCACTTGGACCCATCTAGATTAAGTAAATTTACTGAGGCTCCAGAGGAAGGTCTTCAGGACTCAGACCTTAGTTGTAGATTAGAATAGTTTATCACTTATGTCTTTAGATGAATGCACACTTACATGTAGATATATAGCTTAAAAAGCATATAAGCTCTGGAAAACTTTGTAACTTGAGTTGGTCGGGTGATATTTTCCAGGTCTTCTCCCTGTATCAGGTTACAAAAGTAAACTCTGTTCTTTCCCAGCTTATCTGCATCTGGTTATTGGGCTGCCAGAATAAGTAGCCTGACCTCACTATGCTCACTATGGGAACGATAACGTCCGTGATTTTTTTTTAACACACAATTTTTTGTCATCCTATTTGAGAATCCTTTCAGGTATTCTGACATTCTTGGCAAACTTTGTATCTGGCAAAGAATTATCCCAAGAATGTGTGTACTAATAATACCTTTGTTATCCATAGGGGTTTTAAGGAAAACAATAATACTCATCAACTTTTTATTTTCTAACAAGAAAAGGTCTTTTTATTTCCTGGCACTTTGAACTTGTCCCTTGTATAATGAAATGACAATTTTGATTTAAGGATTTTCCTCATCAAAATTTCATCCCGAGTTTTCTAATGAATTTTGAATTGAAAAAGAGGCATTATGACTCCACAAACCCTTTAACTTAACATTTCTTAAGGATTGATTGACTCGATTCCTGGTTGCCTCTTTCCTAAGGCACATTTCTCTGTCGTTACTCCCCATTAATTTGAGAAAGAATATCAATTTCTGTTTCTGTCCCACCAATTTTAAATTGTTTGACTCCTTGGGACAAGACTGCAAAGTGGTTGAATCATTCAGTGAGAACCATCACCATCCACTAGAAATGAGGGTGGTAATCTGCAAGAATTTTACTGTTAATGAATATGTTAAATTTTGAGATTATAGGCTTCTAAAATTTTACCAATCACTTAAATGTCTCACTGGAAAAATTAATGCTCTTTCTAAAGTGCCCAGTTCCCTCTATAGATGATATAATTATTGGGCATCAGGAAATCTTCACGGCTTCCCTCACAGTGACTAAGGCAGATTTGAAAACCTAAATTTATGTGTGCATTTGTCAACTAAATATCTTAATATAAATAATATCCAATGCTATTACTTTGCTGCATATCTGATGTTAATAATGAAAAACCGAAAGTGATTAATTCTAAAACACTATGTGTTAATATTTCTGTGTTAAGTTCACTGAAAAGTTTCCTTACATGCCTTCCTTTTAGAAATGGATAAGACGTGGGAATTTTATTTAAAATAAGGGGAAGAAAGGCATATCTTTAACTTCACCTTTGTTTGTTAAATTCAGTGAACACATAACTGAAGGTACGAGATCAGAACATACACCACACCACGGTTGTTGAGTTAATCCTCCATTGCCTTTGGGGGAATTTTATGAAAATTAAAGGTATCCTTGTATTTTGACAATTTGAAGGCCTAGGGAAATAGCATTCAAAGGACTTCTTTAATGTGTAGCCTTCACTGAGAGCTTATTTTAATATAGTTCTGAGTGATTCTGTGAATATTCAAAATCTCCTCTGCACTCAAAATTAAATTTACAAAAAGAAAAACCACTGTGTTGATCTTGTGGCCTAGGTAATCCTATGTTATACAGAATTAAAAAAAAAAAGGCAGGGATTCCCTTCCTATAAAAAGAGGGGAATATCTCAAACTGCACATGTATTTGAAAAAAATGTTTTGACTAATTTACTGAATCAACCCAGCTACGTTATTTAATCCATAGGGAAACTGTTTATGCATTGCTCAGCTAAGGAGAATCAAATAAAAAAAAGTTCATGGTTTATTTTTTTAATGCCTAGTGGCTGATGGCATATCAATTTTTGCCTAAGTTGAATATCTTCATTTTTACTTTAGAATACATTCTGGCATACATGCTGAGTTTGTTAAGACAGAAGAAGTTTTGTTTTATATAAACTAAGTTATATTTCAGAAAAAACTCTAAACCGAAATATAAAATTCATCATTTTTTCCTTTGAGCATTTTTTGTTTGTTTCTTTCTTTGATATTTCTCTGTGTTTATAGTTGAAGTTGGAAGTTATCTCCTGGTACTTAGTCAGTTAGAGCACTCCATCATCTGCCTTTGAAGTCTGAGAGTTACAAATACATAACAATAACTGGTCATAAGACCCAATATTTTACAATAAAAATTATTACAGTAAACTTTAATACAATATGAAAAAATAATCACAAAGCCAGCTTAAAAAACATATGAAACATTACAAATATATGCATAATCTGTGGAAGTTGTACATAATCCTCATCATTATCTTCATCAGCTGTAAAGATAAGTTGCAAAAAAGTTTTGAAAATTAATCCCCTCATTTCTCCTTAACCAGTGAGCCAAACACAAAGTGATTATTAGAATTAGAAAATACTAGAATTTAATGACAATGAAAATGGTACATTTCAAAACTAAAATCAAGAATATTAACATTAAGATATCTTAAAGAAATAGAAAACAAATCTTACGCTCAATAAAGTTGCTTACAACAATCTTTATTGGCAAAGCCTCAGAATTCCCAATATAGAATTTTTTTCTATGAATTGACTGGAGAAAGCTAAAACAAATAGGAAATTTTATGTAGTGTGTTAGCCTGTTCTCATGCTGCTAATAAAGAGATACCCAAGACTGGGTAATTTATAACGGAAGGAGACTTAATTGACTCACAGTTCCACATAATTGGTGAGTCCACACAATCATGGCGTAAGTAGAGGAGGAGCAAAGTTATGTCTTACATGACCACAGGCAAGAGAGAATGAGAGCCAACTAAAAGGGGAAACTCCTTATAAAGCCATCAGATCTTGTGAGATTTAATCACTACCACAAAAACAGTATGGGGGAAGCTCCCCTATGATTCAATTTTCTTGGACCTGGTCCCTCCCATAATATATGGAGATTATGGGAGCTACAATTCAAGATGAGATTTGGGTTGGATACAGCCAACCCATATCATGTAGCATGTCATGGATCCTTATACATGTCATGTAATAGAAGACTGCGGTAAGCCATGAACATTTGTATTAGGCTAATTTGCTATAAACAAATGCAAAAACTTGAGAAAAATGGGATTTCCCATCATCTTGTGATTATAAACAGTTCTGTTACTTTTCAAAGGTTTATGGCCAGAAGAATATCTTTACTAAGTGTGGCACACTTGTTTAAAATGAGAAACATTTGTATTTAACATGTTTTCCTTAAGTTCTATGTTGCAACATATTTGTGTAATTCTTTCTGATTTCCCTCTGCATGTATTGATACAACTCAAAACTGATCATTTCTTAACTTTGAACTTTCTGAATGATTTTCTTTATCTATGTTTGTTTTAAGGCTGCATTTAACCAATAGTGTTTTTGATGTAATTATAATCTTCCTGCTTTTATAGGTGACTTCAACATAAATTCATTTACATTGCCATGAGTGATAGATGTGCATACACTTTCAAACATTAAAAATAGTAAGTTATGCATTAAACATGTTTTATTAATGTTAAAATATGTAGCTTTTAATTACAAAGCATTACATATATACATATGGATTCATGTAAACTCACATAATATGTATAATATATACACACATAAAAATACAATTTAACTTTTTCTGATGTGATCTGCATTTACTTTTGCAAAATATAAACATAAACCTAATTTTTTCACCCCACCTATATTCTACCTATTGTTTTATTGGTAAAAAGTGGTGTTTTAGACATTGTAATATTAAATAATTACTTTGCAGTATATATTCTCATACTGCTAATAAAGACCTACCCAAGACTGGGTAATTTATAAAGGAAAGAGGTTTAGTTGACTTACAGTGCCACAGGGCTGGGGAGGCCTCCAGAAACTTACAGTCATGGTGAACAGGGAAGCAGACATGTCCTTCTTCACATGGTAGCAGCAAGGAGAATTGCAAAGCGAATGCAGGAAAATGCTCATAAAACCATCAGATCTTGTGAGAACTCATTCACCAACATGATAACGGCATGGAGGTAATTGTCCCCATGATTCAATTATCTCCATATGGTCTCTCCCAAGAGAGGAAGGGATTATGAGAACTATAGTTCAAGATGAGATTTCGGTGGGGACACAGAAAAACCATATCACACATCTTGTCTTTCAAAAGACATTTTTATAATACCCTGCAACTACACAATTATTACACCACATTTCCATGCAATTTAAATATTTAGCCCCACACTTTGTATCAATGACATCAGAAATGTCCATCTGGCATTTTGTGTACATTTCTGCCTTCTTCAGGCTGTTGTCCTGTTATCTTATTGTTTATTTCTTATTTCATGGAACCTTTCCTACGTTCAACTTTATTGAACAGAACAAGTAGTCTCTATCCAGTGTTTATTGTTGCTTTTTGTGATGTATTTCTCCAATTATGCTGTCTCTTGGCAGATGGATTGCTAACCATTCCAGTTATTTAACAGCATTATTTCCATAGACTCAGCTGGCTCCAAAATATATTTTCATTGTTTTTGTTTCTGGGTGTTAACATTTGGGAGCTTCTAACTGTCTAAGATAATTTTGTGTTGTCATCAAAGACCAGGATACTTGTTTATGCTGGGAATGCCAGTGTCTTTCTTGAGACCACAGAATTGGAAATCAACTATTGAGTTGAAATTCCAGCTGCAGGAATTATTAGATTGTGTCCTTGGGCAAGTTTCTGAACCATTTTATGCCTCAGTAAAACTGGAATCATGATAGTACCAACTACAGAGAAAATTTTCTGGTGCCAAGGAGATTGAAGTGAGCCATCCACTTAAGATATGACACATTATATAAGCAGAGCTGTAATAGACACATTCAGTTCTCTATTAAATTGCACATTTGCCTTCTGCATATATTTCTGCAGAAAATGTCTAATTTCCACATTTTTTCTTTGTATTACTTTTTTCTTTGAGACTGTCTTATGCTATTGCCCAAGTTGGAGTATAGTGGCACCATCATAGTTTGTTGCAGCCTTGAAATCCTGGGCTCAAGTCAAGCTTCCACCTCAGCGTGTCAAGTAGCTCAGACTACAGACATGTGTCACCATGCCCAGGTAATTTTTTTTTTAACTTTCTGTGGAGATGCAGTCTCACTATGTTGCCCAGGCTAGTCTCAAACTCATAGCTTCAATTGGTCCTCCTAACTGAGCCACCCAAAGTTCTGAGATTAGAGGAAGGCATGAGCCATCAGTATAGGTAAGGCATTTAGAATAGGGGTAGGATGTGATAAGTCCTTAGTGAATATTTCTGATGGCTAAAGTTGATATGTCATTGGGGGTATTTTCATTAACCACCTAGCTGCTGTTTGAATCTTCCAGTGGCAGGAGAACCCACTAAGTGCATCATTTGCGTTTACTATATTTTTGCCATTCCCTCATTTTTAACTAAGCAACCAAAACCTTAATCATTCTTTGTCAGAGGAAACTTATGCAGGGTAGCTAGATGCTGTTAACAGTAAAAGGTCTTCACCTCTTTGGCTAAATTTAAGTGGTTTGATGAGATGATGGTCAATTCCACAGCATCAGATGAGGTGTTAGGATGGATAGCTAGCTAGTTAGATCAACATAGAGACTGAGATTGAGATTGAGATTGAGATTGAGATTGAGATTGAGATAATTTTCTGTTTCTCTGGAGAATCTAGGCAAATACAGGAATGCACATAACTCCTTCCAGCCCAGAGTCCATTGTTGTAGGACAATTCTAGATACAGGAAAAATGACATTTTTATTCATATACATAATCTACAGTTAGGAAAATTTTTTTAGACTAGATCAAATTAGGTGATGAAAACATTCTTTATCTAGTAAACTAATGTACCCTACCTTCCTCTCTCTGAACTGTGTAAATTTGATCTTTGAAAGGCATGGTTGTTCAGTAAAGGGCCCTTCTCAGGAACAATGAAACAATGTTTTTGCAAAAAAGGGAAGGAAAATAACGCATTTTCATTTTCTAAGTTTTTATTTCTTGTTCATGCAAAAAGACAGACATTGTGGCAATTTTCTTTACACAAGCATCTGTCCATGAGCCGTTTACCAACTAAATGAGGGATGTAAAATAGAAATCTTAAGACACTAAAGGGCAGAAAATAAAACCAGATAACAACTCACTTTTAAATTCGATACATAATGTCCTAACGAAATCTCTAATCTGTTTAGGAACCTAAACTTGCAGAAACAAATCTTTTGAATTCTTGAATGTTTTCAACCTGAAAAAAAAATAAAAAGTTACTCTGAAACATGGAAACATATCAAGATTCTTCCATTAGGTAACATATATGAGGAACATTTTTCAGAAAATGGTTATATAATACCGTATCAGCTTTTTTGAGTACTTAATGATATTAAAATTAATTTTAAATTATAATAAAATATGTCATTTGTATGAGAAGTTTAAAGACCAAGAATTATAAACCAGTTGAGATATAATATCCCTTTATTACAAAGGACATTAAAGACAAATATCTGTGTTATGCCTCAAATGCAGCTGTTGTACGTGTAGACAAGTGACCAATACAAATTGAATGTAATGTAGATGTGTATAGACACAGAACACACACATACATACATTCTAACTACTCTATAAAATATTTTTCTGTAAGGAGACTTAGGTATACCTTTACAGCAACTGAGAAATTTGTTGACATTGAAGCCAGTATTTTACAGCATGCAGCCCATTTGGCTCACCTTTGCTGAACTTGATTGTGCTCTTAAAACATTGTCTGGTGGAAGAACTATACAGGAAGGTAGGCATGTTGTTACATTGCTTCAGTGCTCTTTCCAACTACATTTTAAAATTTGCATTTATAATTAAGCAGACGGGAAAAGAATATGCATGAGGAAGTTGATAGAGTCTTGCCACATACCAAATATTCTTGCTAAGTGAGGTATTGTTCAAAGCTCCATCCTCAAGTCAGTAACCATTCAACTCTTACTCTGCTAAATGCTGATAGAATCATCATTTTGCCAATGTACGTATGTTTTCTGTTTCCAATAATTTCCCTAATAATGATCTCTAAGTGCATTTTTAGTTCTGACTTTGATGAATGGTGTCAATGTAAATGAATATAGCAGTCAGGCTAGCAGGAGGAAAAGAGAAATAAAGAAACCAGAATTTTACCTTTTCTTAACTCATTAACATCATTTCAGAGTACATCCTTCTTTTTCTCTGTCATAAACCAGTCTATTTTGTTCAACTACAAACTTGTCATTTTGTAGATCAAAGCGAGTTGAAGGTTGGCAATGTCATCTGGACAAGTTCATATTTGAGTCAGGCCCATTTTCTTGTTTTATTTATCTTATTTAATTTTTATCGAAATGTCATAGTTATCTTTTTTATTTTTAAAAAAGAGGTCATACAGGTCAAACCTAACTGTTCAGTTATCTAATAATTCTCAGAAAAATGAGTAGTCATATAATGTATTAATTTTACTAAAAAGTGTTTATATGTGCCAGGCATTTTGTTAGAAGCTACAAGTAGCCAAAATAACTTGTTTCCTAACAAGTCTCCAAAATTTAATTTCCAGAGGGGGATATTTGGATATAATATATGACATAGATGGCATTTGCTGCCAAATCCTGCTAATGTTTTGGGGTTTTATTTGTTTTTTGTCTTTTTTTTTTTTTTTTTCTGAGATAAGGTTTTGCTCTGTCATGCAGGCTGGAGTGCAGTGATGCAATCATAGGTCACTGCAGCCTCGACATCCTAGATTCAAACAACCCTCCCACCTCAGGCTTCAGAGTAGCTGGGATCACAGGTGCACAACACCATGCCAGTTAATTGTTTTTCTTTCTCTCTGTCTTTTTTTGGTAGAGCCAAGGTCTCACTGTGTTGTTTTCTCTATCTTTTCCCATACTTCATCTGTTTTGGGGCTTTTCTTCCCGTCCTCAAAAGCCCTACAAAGGATCCTGCTGCTTTCCTACCTTGAGTTGATTCAGGGACCCTGTTGTGGAAAGTGTCCTGAAGCTGTCGTGGTGTCTGCCATCTCATTCTCCCCAACCTTTGTCAAGCTGTGTCCCTCCTGAGTTTGATCATTCATAGCACTCTGGCTCCTAATCAAGACCTGGACATCCTAGGTCAATTAGGGAAAATTCAGCCAGGTATACTCTTATCTACAAACTATGATGCCTTAAAATAAGAATCTTAATACCATGACTCACAAAATCATGGAAAATTGGAACGCTGGTAATATTATTGGCAAAATATCTGGTGCATGGGATCAAATGATTTATCCTAGAGAGACAGTCCTTAGCTATTATCCAACTTAAAAAGTATGTCATACCCAATACAAAAACCATACAAAAATCACCACCTTCAGATACAACAGATGGAGAAGAATTATAAAACAAGACAGGGAATTGAGTATGCTTTCACTTTGGGTGGGAACATCATATGGTCTTCATGATGGCATAGATTTAGGGATGTAAATTAAGTTACACATAGCCTTAGTTGTATTTCAGGGTTTTTTTTTAATAGTATTGAAGCTTGCCTTTTTCTGTGTCACTTACGTTTATATTAATTAATATTAAAGGAAGTTAGTAAACAGAAGACATAAGACTACATATGTGCATATATATGTTAATATTTAAATATAATATTTGTTCACATATTTATAATTTATATTTATACTTATAAACACTAGCTGGGCATGATAATATGCACCTGTAGTCCAAGCTATGCAGGAGGCATATGCAGAAGACAATGAAGCAAAAGCATTGTTTGTGCCCAGGCATTTGAGGCTGCAGTAAGCCATGATCATGCCAATGCCTGCCAGGCTGGGTGACAGAGTAAGACTCTCTCTAAAAATAAAAATATAAATTATAAATAATTTATATTGGAAAATTATTTTTAGTTACACTATGACTGTGGCCTCAGCAATTTGCAATTGTAACATGAGTATAATTAATATAATGAAAATATATTACCAGTCTGAGCAACATAGTGAAAATTTGAGACCAGCCTAGGAAACAGTGATATCTCATCTATATAAACAAAACAAAACTAAACTAAAACAATAAAAAAACTAAAGAGCATTAGTTAGGCATGGTGGTGCATGTCCACAGTCCTAGGTACTCAGGAGGCTAAGGCACCCAAGATTTCCAGGCTGCAGTGAGCTATGTTCATACCACGGCACTCCAGCCTGGGTGACAGAGTGAGACCCCATCTCTTCAAAACAAAACAAAAAAATATTTATTGAAGGCAAAATATGCTATATGCTCCAGGAGTCACAAAGTGATGGAGTTCTGATCATGTGTTGGGCTGTTGACTCAGCCTCTCATGTCTTTTACGTACCCACTCACATCAACCCAGTGGGATAAGAGCAAAGACTTTTAAAGCCAAAGGTAATGTGTTTTAATTAGGTTAAAAGCAAAATTATAAATAATTACATGAGTTACTCAAAAAAAAAAAAAAAAAAAAAACAAGAACATACAAGAAACACATTCATGCCCTTAAAAACATAACCACCTTCCTATGTAAAACCTTCTAAGGTTTTTAGGCAGCAAGAATATGTATCCTCAGAACTGCAGAAACAGCTATCCATGGGATAAAGTGATTCTTTTAAGTGGGAACATTGCTTTACCAGAAAGGCTGGGGATTTCAGTTCACTGTGAGGTACAAGTTGGATTTCAGTACACAGATATTTTGGTGTCATTCCTGGTAAATAAAAGCCTATGAACACAAAATGAAATTGTAAACTCCCCAACTGAATGAATGGACCCTTCTTCTCAGCCAAGGGAATTTCAAAGACACCTGAAAAATTACTTCAGGCCATACCTGAAAAATGGGGGAGGGGGAGGTCAGACATGCCTCATTATATTCCTATTTCTTGGGAAGTCAGTACAACTGAACAGCATTCACTTTAAAACAAAGATCTTAATACTGACAGAAGAGACACTTTGTAGCAATATGTTACCAAATTCCAAACTGACTCTAGTATACCATCATATGACAGATAGCAGGCTCTGAAAGGAATAAAAATATTTTACTCCAAAATATATATTTGACATATATTTAAATGGCCCTATAAAGCTGTCTCTTGTAGGGGAAATTTACATTCTGTAGAGAACCCCTTTTTCATTCCAGACTTTTTTTCTGATCCTGAAAAGATTAGCTGAGAGTCTGGAACGTTTTAGGTGTCTGAATAGGAAACATTTGCCATCTATTGCTTCTAAGGGTAGCCACCTATGAGACTTCATCTACATAATAAGAACTTTGTTCTCCACAATCCCTTGTCTCAACCCAGACACATCCTTCTACTGATTCCAGGTCTTGAAATAATAACTTAGGTCTTCCAATCAAATGTCAGTAAGAAAATCTTTGAATCCACCTATGACCTGGAAGCCCCACTTGGCATTGTCTCACCTTTCTAGACTGAACCAGTGTACACCTCACATGGATTGATTAATGTCTTATGTCTCCAGCAAATTTGTAAAACCAAGCTGTAATCCAACCACGTTTTCAGGACCTCTTTAGTTGGCTAAAGAGGTTGCAATCCAACCACATGTGTTTTCAGGACCTCTTTAGACTGCTTTTTGGACCACAGTAACTCATATCTGGCTCATAATAGACCTCCTTAAATATTTTACAGAATTTGGCTCTTTTCATCAACAGTCCATACACAGGTTCTATAGATTCTAGGCTTCTTGGAAGCATGGTAAGACTGAAAATTACATAACCAGAAAATGAACTTTAAGTGAAAGGTATGATTTATGTTTAGATGTAGTTAAATACTATAGAAATCAGTTTTTTGCACAGATAGGAAATTCCTGAAATAGCAGAATAAAATATTTTGAGTTAAATCCAGCAGAAGCAGAAAGGTTTGAATCATGTTTATATGTAGTTAAATATAATAGAAATAAGAATTTTGTGCAGATGGGAAAAGCCTGAAGTAGCACAATAAGACATTTTGAGTTTGATCCAGCAGAAAATAGGCAAGTTTCAGTTAAAGTGGGAGACACAATTATAATATAATACATCTCACTTAGGGAGTTTGGATTCCTCAAACAGAGAGGAAGGAAGTAGACCACAAGTACTAACTACTAGAGTCAGAATAGCAAAAGAGTGAACCGAGGATATCTGGTGAGGTACTCTAAACTGAAAAGCAATGATTAAATTTTTCATTTGCAACCTTAAAAGAATTTTTAAACTCATTAGAGAAACTTAAATAACATGAGAAATGATAAAAAAAAAAAAAGATGACCATTCTGCCGAATCTAAATTAGGTAGCTGCTATTATGATTGTGGAGACAAAAACTAACCATGAAAATGACAATCCATTGCATTGCGAATTGTATTAAGCTACATAGAGCAGTTAGACTTACATAGTAAGACATAATAGAATTCAATCTCCCTTTTACTCATTGAGCAAATGTTAAGACCCTTTAATATACTAGAGATCATGAGAAATACTAAAATTTATAGCTTTGGTATGGCCTCCAAAAGAGACAAAATAATCATAGGAAACAAATAAAACATACGAGACAAACATGAGGTTGAGTGCTCATAATAAGCAACCTTCTATAGGCATTCATTTCAATGAGAAAGCACATTTGTTCTGATGGAGGAAAACACTGTAAAGAGGGAAAACATTAAATATAAGTAAGAAGAGATTAGGTGAGCAGTGCTAGTGAGATTGGAAGAGAAAGCATATCAGAGTACAAGTGAAATGCATGTCTTATTAGCATTGATAGAGTTCAGCTTGGTCAACTGCTGCTGACAAGGAGAGTGTAGCTGGGGAAACACAGGCTGACCCCACCTGTGCAAAACATACAAAAATTATCCAGACATAGTGGCACATGTCTATAGTCCCATCTACCCAGGAGGATGAGGCAGGAGGATTGCTTGAGCCAGGGGTAAGATAATATGGCACCGTGGCTCTCCAGCCTGGGTAACATGGTGAGACCCTGTCTGAAAGAAAAGAAAAGAAAGAAAGAAAGAAAGAAAGAAAGAAAGAAAGAAAGAAAGAAAGAAAGAAAGAGAAAGAAAGAAAGAGAAAGAAAGAAAGAAAGAAAGAGAAAGAAAGAAAGAAAGAAAGAAAGAAAGAAAGAAAGAAAGAAAGAAAGAAAGAAAGGGAAAGGGAGAAAGAGAGAGAGACAGCAAGAGAAAGAGAGAGAGATAAGGAGGGAAGGAGGGAGGGAGGATGGGATGAAAGAAGGAAAGAAGGGAAGAAGGGAAGAAAAGGAGGTGGTGAGGGAGATTAAGAGATGACAGATGAGTGTGGCCACAGTTTGGCTGAAATTCTCAAGAATTACTCAGTGGCATCATGGAAAACTGTCTAATAAAATTGGACTCAAGAGAAAATAAGGTGAGAGAGGAAGTAGATAAGAAAGGAGACAGGCTGGGCATGGTGGCTCATGCCTGTAACCCCAGCATTTTGGGTGGCCGAGGCAGGCAGATCACTTGAGGTCAGGGGTTCGGTTCGAGACCAGCCTGGCCAACAGGGTGAAAATCCATCTCTACTAAAAATACAAAAATTAGCTGGGCATCATGGTGTATGCCCATAACCCCAGCTACTTAGGAGGCTGAGGGAAGAGAATTGCTTGAATCTGAGAGGCAGAGTTTGCCATCAGCTGAGATCATGCCACTGTACTCCAGCCTGGGCAACAGAGTAAGACTCTGTCTCAAAAATAAATAAATAAATAAATAAATAAATAAATAAGCAAGAAGAAGAGGAAGAAGAAGAAGAAAACACACAAAAATAGTTAGATTTGCTATATAATGTGCTATATATACATTTTTTGGAACAGGGTCTCGCTCTGTCATCTAGTCTGAAGTGTGGTGGTGCAATCATAGCTTACTGCAGCCTTGAACTCCTGGGCTTAAGCAATCTTCCTGTGTTAACTTCCTGTGTAGCTGTGAGCACAGACATGTGCTACTACTCTGAGCTTATTTACTTATTTTTTCTTTTGAGACAGAGTCTCGCTCTTTTGCCCAGGCTGAAGTGCAGTGATGTGATCACAGCTCACTGCAGCCCTGACCTCCTGGTCTCGGTCAATCGTCTCACCTCAACCCCCTAAGTAGCTAGGACCACAGGGGCATGCCACCTTGCCCAGCTAATTTTTTGTAGAGACAGAGTTTCACCATGCTGCCCAGAATGGTCTTGAACAACTGATGTCAAGTAATATGACCACCTCAGCCTCCCAACGCAATGGGATTATAGGCCTAAGTGAAATAATTATGAAAATTATTGTATAAATAATTTTTTGTATAAATAATTTATTGTATAAAAATTAGTGTATAAATAATAAGTAATGATTGAATGAAGGAACAGAAATTAACTTGTAAAATAATTTTTTTGCATGGCCAAAACATTTTAACTTATGTTAAATTGAGGAAGAGGCGGAAAACTGTAGTTAGGGATCTGTTGTAGGAATAAAAATACAAGATAATGATGAGGCACACTGTGTGAGGAAAAAGAAGGGATTTCACTTTCTCTGTAAAAACATTATTAAGCACATACTCAATGCTAGAAACATGCTAGAACACAAGGAAATGATAAAGACTGTTTATTTTTTTAAGGAAATATCACTAGGCAGGAGATGCAATGGGAAAACCGTGGAAGATCGGTCAGTCAAAACAGCTCAAAGGATTCAACACTCCTATGAAAACAATGCCACAATTAAAGGAAGAGGGAAGTTGGTAAGAGGAGTTGGTATCAAGAACAGGATGACTAATTTGTTTTGAGGCTTGCTGAAATTTAAGTGGTTACAGGGCAGCTGGTTGAAAATATCTGAGAGAACTTTGGAAATGTGAATATAGAGCAAAGGAAAGAGACCAAATTGCAAATATCTGTTTAGGGAATAACTTGCATGGAGGTGATAATTAACACTTGAGAGATTGGATTAGTCCATGGTAGGAGAAATCAAATGCAAAGCTCGATGAAAAATCAACTCACAAAAAAGCAGATTAGTAGGAGAAAAAGCATACAAAACTTACTTAATCATGAGAATCGGGAGAATCATAGAGTGACTCCTCAATATCTCAACTGAGTACAGAAACCTATATGCTATCTTGAGGTTACAGAAGGAATGGGGGCTTGTATTACCCCAAGACAATCTATACGAAGGGGAGAAGAGGAATTCCATTGAAAGCCAATATGTGATTACTAAGGAGAATGATTGGATCAGGAAACAGAAATTAACAGAAATTTCGATCACCTCTGCAACAAATTACCATAAATCTAGTGGCCATGAGTCTGGGCACAGCATGGCACAACTAGGTCCTCTGTTTGTGTCTCATAGAGAAAAATCGATGTGTTTGCAGGGCTGCGATTTTTACTGGAGGCTTGAGCAGGGAGGAGCAGAAGGGTCCTGCTTCAAGGTTACTGAGGTTATTGGCTGAATTC
Organism: Homo sapiens; assembly: GCF_000001405.40. Classification (NCBI taxonomy): domain Eukaryota; kingdom Metazoa; phylum Chordata; class Mammalia; order Primates; family Hominidae; genus Homo; species Homo sapiens. Next base: position 17,302,459 of record NC_000024.10, read on the forward strand.
AGAACCATTCAGTTGTGCAACTAAGGCCAACATTTCCTGGCTGGCTGTCAGCTAGGAGCCTGTTTTTGCTGATAGTCACAAGTGTGCCTATGTTCTTTCTCATGATCTCTGTATGGCTTTCTCCAGCAAGAGAAGGTTGAGTTTCTCTAATGTTTTCCATATCGATTTTTCTTCTGCCACACAATTGTCCCCACTTATCTATGGGAAATATATTTCATGAATCCTAGTGGATGCCTGAAACTGTGGACAATATCAAACCCTATATATGTGATGTCTTTCCTTGGACATACATGCCTATAATAAAGCTTAATTTATAAATTAGGCACAGTAAAAAATTGACAGTAATAACTGTCATGGTTTGACTGTGTCTCCACCCAAATCTCATCTTGACTTGTTGCTGCCATAATTCCCACATGTCATGGGAGGGATGTGAAGGGAGGTAGTTGAATCATGGGAGCAGGATTTTCTTGTGATGTTCTCATGATAGTGAAAAAATATCATGAGATCTAATGATTTTATAAAGGTGAGTTCCCTTGCACAGGCTCTCTTGTCCTGTAAGGCACAACTTTGCTTCTCCTTCACCCTCCACCATGATTGTGAGGCCTCCCCTGCTCTGCAGAACTGTGAGTCAATTTAAACCTCTTACCTTTTTAAATTACCCAGTCTGAGGCATGTCTTTATCAGCAGCATGAGAACAAATATAATAACTAATCATATATCAAATAATAATCAATTATTCTAATAAAAGAAAAGAATTATAACAATATATTGCAATAAAAGTTAAATGAATATGGTCTCTCCCTTTCTCTCTCTCTCAAAATGTCTTATTGTAAAATACTCAATGTTACTGTGATTTTGTCATGTTACAATACCCACATGATTAGATGAACTGAGGTGGAAAACAGGCATCATGAAGTAGTGTTAGTCTTCTATTGACTTTCTGATAATATGTCAGAAAGAGAATTATCTGGGAGTGGGGCCAATATGGCCAACTAGAAACATCCATGATCAGAGGCTCCCATCAAAAAGAACCGTAATTAGTGTGTGAAGCCTTCACTGGCAACCAAGGTATCTAGATTTTCTCATCAGAACTGACTGGGCAGCTGATGTGCTCCACAAGAAGAAAGAGCAGTGTGGCGTGGTGGTCCACTTGAGAGCCATACGGGGCAAGGGAGCCCTCACCCCTCAGCCAAGGGAGGCAGTGAGTGAGCATGCTGCTGAGCTGGAGAAAATCTGCTTTGTCCACAGAACTGTGCAGCTCTTGGATTGGAAGATCCCACTTGTGAATCCACAACACCAGGGCCTAGGGTCTGAATCCTGGAACCATGCAGATTTTTAATAGCCTCTCAGCTGGAATTGGCCTAAGCCTGCCAAGCTCCCAAGGGGAGGGCCAGCCAGCATCACAGCTGCTGCTGCATGCTGCTTAAGTCCTTTGAGCTCCTTGGGAGAGGGGCAGCAGCCAGCACTGGGACTGATAACTGCCTAACACACAAAGCTCCCTGGGTAACAGAAGGCCAGCATTCATCTCTATTGCTCCAGGCCATGCTTTTTCCCTGCTTCAGCCAGGGATACAGGACCCCAAGAAGCATCCCCCCAGCCCAACACACCAACTGTGGCAGATTGCGGCCAGAGCTCCTCTTCAGGCCTGACCCTGCCACATCGTTTCTCACTGGATGGGGCTCAGGAACTCCAACAACTCTGGCCAGAGACTCAGGGACAACTCTGGCCAGAGCCCCTACAGGGAAGGGTGGTTGCAGTCTCTGTGGACCAGCAAAATTAGTCTTTCCTCCTGGTAGTTCTGAGGGATCCAGGCAGCCCAGATGAATGGGTTTCCCTCATCAAAGCACATCTCCTCCACAAAGGGGTAGTTATATTACTTCACCAAAAAGGTGCTGTTCCCCATGCCACCCAACTGGGTGAGACCCTCTAACAGTGGTAGTCAGGCACTCCATATATACAGGAGCAATCCTACAGGCATCAGATTGGTGTCATCAAGGTCAGAGATCCCAGAAGAAGACCAGGCACCCATCTTCATTGTTTTTCAACCTCTTTGAGTGACATTTCCAGGCACTGGAGTGAACCAGATGAATAAGGCCTGAAGTGAACCGCCAATAAACTGCAGCAGTCCTGCAGAAGAGGAACCTGACCACTGAAAGAAAAACAAACTGAAAGCAACAATCACAGCATCAACAACAACAAAAAGTTCCCAGAAAAAACTCATCCAAGGGTCAGCAGCCTCAAAGATTGAAACTACACAAACTCATGAAGATGAGAAAGAACCAATGAAAAAAAATGCTGAAAACCCAAAAGGCCAGAGTGCCTCTTATCCTCCAGATGATGGCAATGCCATTCCAGCAAGGGTGCAGAACTGGACAGAGGATGAGATGGACAAATTTATGGAAATAGGCTTCAAGAAGATGGACAAATTGACAGAAGTAGACTTCAGAAGATGGACAATAAAGAATTCCACTGAGCTAAATAAGCATGTTCTAACCCAAGGCAAAGAAGCTAAGAAACTTGATAAGAAGTTAGAGGATCTGCTAACTAGAATAACCAGTTTAGAGAGGGACATAAATGACCTGACATAGCTGAAAAACACAGCACAAGAACATCATGAAGCATACAAAAGTATCAATAGCCAAACTGACCAAACAAAAGAGAGGATATCAGAGTTTCAAGACTACCTTGCTGAAAAAAAGGCATGCAGAGAAGATTACAGAAAAAAATGAAAAGGAGAAAATAAGGCCCGAAGAAATATGGTATATCATAAAAAGACCAAACCTACTATTGATTGGAGTACCAGAAGAAGATGGCAAGAAGAGAAACAAGCTGGAAAACAGACTTCAGAATATTATCCAGGGAACTTCCCCAACCTAGCAAGACAAGCCAACATGCAAGTTCAAGAAATACAGAAAACACCGCTAAGATACTCCACAAGAAGATCAACCCCAAGATACATAATCATCAGATTCTCCAAGAATGAAATGAAGGAAAAATTGTTGAGGGCAGCCAGAAAGAAAGGCCAGGTCACCTACACAGGGGAGTCCATCAGACTCACAGTGGACCTCTCAGCAGAAACACTACAAGCCAGAAGATATTGGGGTCCAATATTCAACACTCTTCAGGGAAAATATTTTCAACTCAGAATTTCATATTCAACCAAACTAAGCTTCATAAGCAAAGGAGAAATAAAATCCATTCCAGACAAGCAAATACTGAGGGATTTCATTACCACCAAGCCTTGCAAGAGCCTTGCAAGAGCTCCTGAAAGAAGCGCTAAATATAGAAAGGAAAAACTGGTACCAGCCACTGAAAAAACACAGGATTTACAAATAACTTAAATAAATGTATAAGAAAATAGCAAACAACTCCTTCAAAAAGTAGGTAAAGGATACCAACAGACACTTCTCAAAAGAAGACATTTACACGGCCAAGAAACATGAAAAAAACTCAATATCTCTGATCATTACAGAAATGCAAATCAAAACCACAATAAGATACCATCTCACACCAGTCTGAATGGTGATTGTAAAAAAGTGAAGAAACAATGTGTGCTGGAAAGGCTTTGGAGAAAGAGGAAAGCTTTTACACTCTTGGTAGGAATGTAAATTAGTTCAAACATTGTGGAAGATGGTATGGCAGTTCTTCAAGGATCTAGAATCAAAAATACTTTCACCTCAGCATTTTATTACTGGGTATATACCTAAAGGAATATAAATCATTCTACCATAAAGACACATGCACATGTGTATTTATTGCAGCACTATTTTCAGTAGCAAAGTCATGGAACCAACCCAAATGCCCATCAATGATAGACTGGATAAAGAAAATATGGTATGCATACACCATGGAATACTCTGCAGCCATAAAAAAAAAGAATGAGATCATGTTCTTTGCAGGGACATGGATGAAACTGGAAGCCATCATCCTCACCAAACTAACACAGGGTAGAAAAGCAAACATCACATATTCTCACTCAAAAGGGGAAATTGAACAATGAGAACACATGAACACAGGGATGAGAATAACACACACTGGCACCTCTTTGTCGGGGGTGGGGTGGGGCAAAGAGAGAAAACTTAGAGGATGGGTCAATAGGTGTAGCAAACTACCATGGCACATGTATACCTATGTAACAAACCTACACATTCTGCATATGTATCCCAGAAGTTAAAGTAAAATAATTAAAAAAAAAAAAGAAAAAGAAAGAAGAGAAAGAAAGAAAGAAAGGAAGAAAGAAAGAAAGAGAAAGAGAGAAAGAGAAAGAAAGAGAGAGAGACAGACAGGGAGGGAAGGAAGGAGGAAGGGAGGGAGGGAGGGATGGAGCGAGGTAAGAAAGAAAGGGGAAAGAAAGTAGGACAGAAAGAGAGACAGAAAGGTTATCATCTGCTTTGAATGACCCCGGACCACAGAACCATGACTAGCCCTAATGATTTTCCTAACCACGATTGACTTCTGTTAGCAGAAACCACAAATAAAGGATGACTACTCTATCTCACTCCCTCCTAGCCAGAGATAGGTCCCTACATTTAAGGGCTCATGGGATTAGATTGAGCACACTCAGATAATACAGGATAATCTCCCTATTTAAATATCACAGCCTTAATTATATCAGCAAATTTCTGTTGCCATGTAATTAATATAATATATTCATATGTTGCAGAGATTAGCTTGTAGACATCTCTGGGGGGACATTCAGGTTATTACAACCATGGAAGAGATCATTTGGCCATCAGGATCACAATGCATTCATTGTCTGTAGAAGACTTAACTCACCAAGAAAGTATGCCTCTAGACTGATTATGCCCCTACTTACAAAGCAGCCCTTTGAAGATGGAGGGAAAGTGAAGCATTGCAGATGGAGTAATAATGTTTATGCTTAGGGGAAGTCAAGTATATTCAGATGGTATTATGCATCCCCAAGAGACATGTGTTGTTTCTTTTTCATCATTTCCATAGATGTTAAAGCTATTACTTTTTAAAATATATTTAATTTGCTGGGACTGCCATCACAAAGTACCCCAAGCTGAATGGGTGGGTTAAACGACAGAAATTTATTGCCTCACAATTTCAGATGCTGGAAGTCCCAGATCAACATGTTGGCAGAGGTTGTTCCTTCCAAGGCCTCTCTGGCTTGTAGAAACTGTCTTCTCCCTGTGTCCTCATGTGGCCTTTCCTTTTTGTTGGCATCTAATCTCTTATGATGACACCACTCCAGTTGGATTATGATATGGTTTGGCTGTGTCCCCACCCAAATCTCATCTGTCACCCAGGCTGGAGTGCAGTACTACCATCAAATCTCACTGCAGACTCAACCTCCTGGGCTCAAGGAAAACAGTATGAAAGCAGACTAACACAATGGGCAAGTCAGTCAGACTGCCTGGAAAACCAACTGTGCCGATGTAAAGCTTTGTAACCTCAGTCAAGGCACTTTCTTTAACTGGACATCTCTTTGCCATCTTGCTCTGTCCTCACTGGGTAAATTCAGGCTTATCAAGTCAGCAAATGAGAGATCAGTCCTTGACAGGAGTTTGAAATTCACATTCCTTTGGGGTCAGAAATAAAAATGTGGTCAGTTGTAGGGGGTGTAGCATATTAATGGGTTTGTTTTTGGCTCAGAATACTTATAGGTTGAACATTTTAAAAAATCCACTATGCATAGCAAATAATACGCATTTGTGAACTTATACAGGTCTATTTGTCTTTTTCTTTTGCCCCAGAGCCAGCCTTTCCCTGTATTAGTCTTCCTATGTCTCAGTTGAAACTACTCTTAAGATGTCAGTGATGGGACACTGAATACCTTGTGCATGAGTTTTGTTTGAGAGGGGGGTTAATCCCGTCCTTAGTGTCCATGACAAAGGTGAAAGAGTAGTTATTTGGTAAAATCAAGACAGCAGAGGTTGGGCAGTGCATACAGTGACAAATAAATAACATTTTGGTCCATCTGCCTTCTTGCCACCCTCTGCTCTCCCTTGAGAGTTTCTGGAGCAATATTTGGGAATCTTATCCCTCCCTGTCTTTAAGGATTCTCTCTCTTCCTCCATTGAATCCCTGTTTGGGTCCTCGCTCAGTGGAAATGGTCTCTGGCTCATTGCATTCTATCTTACCAACATTTCCATTATCTTTACATAAAAGCAAACATACAAAACAGAAAAAGCACTCATTGCTGATAGCAATGATTTAAGAGAGGTGACATTTTAAACTCATTGTGTCAACTACACATATGAAGATATTGAACATGATGAATGAAAACTAGATTTCCGTATGAAGGGGCTAAGGATGCTCTCTCTGATGTCTCTCTTGGCATTGGATTTTGCCTACTGATGCCTGCCCACATGACCTGGTCTCACTTCCATCCCCTGCACCTTTATGTCTGATAGCATTCATGTGAAGTCAGAGTACAATATGCCTAGCACAGCAGGAACAGATGCTGAAACAACTGAATGTAATCATTTTTGCAAACACATGCATAGCTACGAAGGTCATGGTTGTTCCTACAGGAATTTGCAATTCCTTCTACACTGTGGAGATTAGAATGACAGGAAGGGGCATTATACTTTCTTTTCCTGGCATGACCACTGTTTTATGGCTGTGCTATGACAGTGTCTCACTTTTATTGCCAAGGAATTGTGCCAGATCCATTGAGCAGTGGAAGCATACTCAAGCCAGCAACTGTGTGTGGCAACTCTAAGTATCTATTGATGTCCTTTCTGACAGCAGGTTGTCTTAGTGACAACCCACATCTCCATGGTATATATGGACTTGCTACCACAAGCTTATAGGTGTATGTTTTTTGCTTTTTGTTCCTGTTGCAGCTATGCTTCTGCTAATATCTTTCTTTAAATTTCCATTGCCATGAATATTGGCCCTATCAGTACTTATTTAAATGGATTTCTCACTGCACCACATCGTGTAGACATTCCTAATATGATACTGCTCATGATGTTATTATATGCTCAATATGTTATTATATTTTCCCCCAAATGCTGATAAAGATAGATTTCCATTTTCATGTTTATGTGACTATATTTGAAAGTGTTTGGAAGGTGATGGAATTGAATAAAAATTAAATGATTTTAAAATCAGTTAACATTCATTACAAAAGAAACACAACTGTATAAATTCTCATTTTAAGTAGTTTTGCAAACAGTAATTGTTCTGCTAATGGATATATTGAAAATTGTTCATCAATTGAACAAAATGATCATTTAATAATGTAACATAATTTGTCACCATTTTTATTTTAAAAGGCATTTTCCTATGACTCAAGCAGCAGTTTCTATGAGTTCTAAACTATGTTTCTCAGTGATCCAAAAAAGAATTGTTTCTGACATATTCTTCAAAGAGAATTTTGAATTTGTGGGCACTGAAAAATGAAATTCTGCTCCAGTGCTGACCTAGTTTGGGTTAAAATAATTTATTTCCCTGTAGAGTTGTTTAAAGGCTAGGAAAAGATAAGGTACTGAGGAAAGGAAGATTGCCTTTAAGAAGTCATTGCAAAATTCATAGAGGCATATAATTATAGAACTTGAACTGAACTTAAAGTCAGTGTAGTCTCATCCCATAATTTTAAAATAAGAAAAAATAATGACTCGAAAGGATGTTTTGACTTTTTTTTTAAGTGGTTTTTACTATTTTGAGGATCACAGAGACTTGGAGCATCTAATTAGAAGTATGAGGCCTTAGAATTACTTGATACCAGGAATTTGAGGCTGCAGTGAGCCAAGATCATCCCATGGCACTCCAGCCAAGGAGAGAGACTGAATCCTTTTCTCAAAATAATAACAATAATAATAATAATAATAATAAGTCTGTCTCTGGAACAATACATAAGCGAATAACTCTCTATGGGATTTTTGGGTCTTTCTATAGATTTTTATCACACTAAAGTTTTACTTGAGAACCTTGAGAATCATCAGATATTCCTGACAAATTTCTTTAATTGGTTTTAAAAGCATGGATTTCAGGATGGAGAACAATGATTTAGGCCTTCATCCCTAGAATTCCATTTAAAACAAAACTTTCTGCTGGGTCCTGTGGCCAGAGTAATCTCAGCACTTTGGGTGGCCAAGGCTTGCAGATGGCTTGACCTCAGAAGTTGAAGACCAGCTTAGGCAACATGAAGATAACCCATCTCCATTAAAAACACAAAAATTAGCTAGGCATGGTGGCACGTGCCTGTGGTCCCAGCTGCTGGGAAGGCTGAGGCAGAAGGATCACCTGAGGCTGGGAGGTCGATGCTGCAGTGAGCCATGATTGCATCCACTGCAATACAGTCTGGATGACAAAAAGAGAGAAATAAAAGCATAAAACAAAACTGCCAGTCTCTGTCTCAAAATATTAACATTTGTATCTCAACAGATTGTCCACTTTCAAATGACAGTTTACAATTTATAACTGACATTAGTTACATTGAAATTATCCATAAGTCCTAATTGGTTTCTTCATTTCTTATTTCTTCTCTTCTTTTTTCTCCTCCTCCTCCCCCCTTCTCCTCCTCCTTCTCTTCTTCTTCTTCTCCTCCTCCTTCTTCTCCTTCTTCTCCATCTCCTTCTTCTTCTCCTCCTCCTCCTTCTCCTTCTTCTCCTTCTCCTTCTTCTTCCTCTTCTTCTCCTCCTCCTCCTCTTCTTCCTTTTCCTGCTCCTTCTGCCCCTCCTCCTCCTCCTGCTGCTGCTGCAGCTCCTCCTCCTCCTTCTTCTTCTTTCTTCATCTTCATCTCCTCCTCCTCTTTCTACTCCTCCTCCTCTCCTCTTTCTTCTTTCTTCTTTCTCCTACTTCTCTGCTGCCTCCTTGTTCTTCTTCTTTTTCTTCTTTTTCTTCTTCTTCTCCTTCTTCTTCCTCCTCCTCCTTCTTCTCTTTTTCTTTCTTCCTCTTTTTCTTTTTCTTCATTTTTTTCATACTCATGTTTCCATTATGGATACTTGTCAACAAGAATGGAAAAATAAATGAATCTTATTTTATCCACAAGATGATCACCATCTCCTGAAGAACAGGTAGTATAAATATTTCAGTGTATAAGAATCTTTCCTGTTCCAAGCTGCTTTGTGTATAGTCTCCACCTTTCAGATCTGAATCCTATTAGAAGGAACATCAATATGCTTAAGGATATTCTCATGATCTTCAAGAAGGTGAAAATAAAAGTATTTTTAATTGATGCTTAAATTTCATAATTTTGGGGGAGGAGCCAAGGCGGCTGAATAGGAACAGCTCCAGTCTACAGCTCCCAGTGTGAGCAATGCCAAAGACAGGTGATTTCTGCATTTCCAACTGAGGTACTGGGTTTATCTCACTGGGGAGTGCCAGACACTAGGTTCAGGACAGTGGGTGCAGTGCACTGTGTGTGAGCTGAAGCAGGGCAAGACATTGCATCACCTGGGAAGTGCAAGGGGTCAGGGAATTCTCTTTCCTAATCAAAGAAAGGGGTGACAGATGGCACCTGGAAAATCAGGTCATTCCCACCCTAAAACTGTGCTTTTCCAACAGGCTTAAAAAATGGCACACCAGGAGATTATATCCTGCACCTGGATTGGAGGGTCCTATGCCCACGGAGTCTTGCTCACTGCTAGCACAGCAGTGTGAGATCAAACTGCAAGGCGGCAGTGAGGCTGGGGGAGGGGCGCCTGCCAAGGCCGAGTTAGTTGTTTGATTAGTTAAACAAAGTGGCCCGGAAGCTCAAACTGGGTGGAGCCCACAACAGCTCAAGGAGGCCTGCCTGCCTCTGTAGGATCCACCTCTGGGGGCAGGGCACAGACAAACAAAAAGACAGCAGTAACCTCTGCATATTTACATGTCCCCCTCTGACAACTTTGAAGAGAGTAATGGTTCTCCCAGCACACAACTTGAGATCTGAGAACATTCAGACTGCCTCCTCAAGTGGGTCCCTCACCCCTGAGTAGCCTAACTGGGAGGCACCACCCAGTAGGGCTGGACTGACACCTCACATGGCTGGGTACTCCTCTGAGACAAAATTTCCAGAGGAACAATCAGCAGCAGCATTTGCAGTTCACCAAAATACGCTGTTCTGCAGCCACCGCTGCTGATACCCAGGCAAACAGGGTCTGGAGTGGACCTCTAGCAAACTCCAACAGACTTGAACCTGAGTGTCCTGTCTGTTAGAAGGAAAACAAACAGAAAGGACATCCACACCAAAACCCCATCTGTACGTCACTATCACCAAAGACCAAAGGTAGATAAAACCACAAAGATGGGGAAAAAAACAGAGCAGAAAAACTGGAAACTCTAAAAATCAGAGCACCTCTCCCCTCCAAAGGACCACAGCTCCTTATCAACAATGGAATAAAGCTGAACGGAGAATAACTTTGATGAGATGAGAGAAGAAGGCTTCAGACAATCCAACTACTCTGAGCTACAGGAGGAAATTCGAACCAATGGCAAAGAAGTTAAAAGCTTTGAAAAAAAAATTAGACGAATGGATAACTAGAATAATCAATGCACAGAAGTCCTTAAAGGACCTGACGGAGCTGAAAACTGAGGCACAAGAGCTGCATGATGAATGCAGAAGCCTCAGTAGCCAATGTGATCAACTGGAAGAAACGGTATCAGTGATGGAAGATGAAATGAATGAAATGAAGTGAGAAGAGAAGTTTAGAGAAAAAAGAATAAAAGAAACAAACAAAGCCTCCAAGAAATATGGGACTATGTGAAAAGACCAAATCTATGTCTGATTGGTGTAACTGAAAGTGACGGGGAGAAGGGAAACAAGTTGGAAAACACTCTGCAGGGTATTATCTAGGAGAACTTCCCTAATCTAGCAATACAGGCCAACATTCAATCTCAGGAAATACAGAGAACACCACAAAGATAGTCCTTGAGAAGAGGAGCTCCAAGACACATAATTGTCAGATTCACCAAAGTTGAAATGAAGGAAAAAATGTTAAGGGCAGACAGAGAGAAAGGTCGGGTTACCCTCAAAGGGAAGCCCATCAGACTAATAGTGGATCTCTCAGCAGAAACCCTACAAGCCAGAAGAGAGTGGGGGCCAATATTCAACATTCTTAAAGAAAAGAATTTTCAAACCAGAATTTCATATCCAGCCAAACTAAGCTTCATAAGCAAAGGAGAAATAAAATACTTTACAGACAAGCAAATGCTGAGAGATTTTGTCACCACCAGGCCTGCCCTAAAAGAGCTCCTGAAGGAAGCACTAAACATAGAAAGGAACAACCAGTAACAGCCACTGCAAAAACATGCCAAATTGTAAATACCATCAAGGCTAGGAAGAAACTGCCTTAACTATGGAGCAAAATAAGCAGCCAACATCATAATGACAGGATCAAATTCACACATAACAATATTAACTTTAAATGTAAATGGGTGATATGCTCCAATTAAAAGACATAGACTGGCAAATTGGAGAAACAGTCAAGACCCATCAGTGTGCTGTATTCAGGAAACCCATCTCATGTACAGAGACACACATAGGCTCAAAATAAAGGAATGGAGGAAGATCTACCAAGTAAATGGAAAATAAAAAAAAGGCAGGGGTTGCAATCCTAGTCTGTGATAAAACGGACTTTAAACAAACAAAGATCAAAAGAGACAAAGAAGGCCATTACATAATGGTAAAGGGATCAATTCAACAAGAAGAGCTAACTATCCTAAATATATATGCACCCAATACAGGAGCACCCAGATTCATAAAGCAAGTCTTTAATGACCTACAAAGAGACTTAGACTCCCACACAATAATAATGGGAGAGTTTAACACTGCACTGTCAACATTAGACAGATCAATGAGACAGAAAGTTAAGAAGGATACCCAGGAATTGAACTCAGTTCTGCACCAAGTGGACCTAATAGACATCTACAGAACTCTCCACCCCAAATCAACAGAATATACATTTTTTTCAGCACCACACCACACCTACTGGAAAATTGACCACATAGTTGGAAGTAAAGCACTCCTCAGCAAACATAAAACAACAGAAATGATAAGAAACTGCCTCTCAGACCACAGTGCAATCAAACTAGAACTCAGGATTAAGTAACTCACTCAAAATCACTCAATTACAGGGAAACTGAATGACCTGCTCCTGAATGACTACTGGGTACATAATGAAATGAAGGCAGAAATAAAGATGTTCTTCGAAACCAATGAGAACAAAGACACAACATACAAGAATCTCTGGGACACATTCAAAGCAGTATGTAGAGGGAAATTTATAGCACTAAATGCCCACAAGAGAAAGGAGGAAAGATCTAAAATTGACAATCTAACATCACAATTAAAAGAACTAGAAAAGCAAGAGCAAACACATTCAAAAGCTAGCAGACGGCAAGAAATAACTAAGACCAGAGCAGAACTGAAGGAAATAGAGACATAAAAAACCCTTCAAAAAATTAATAAATCCAGGAGCTGGGTTTTTGAAAGGATCAACAAAATTGATAGACCACTAGCAAGACTAATAAAGAAGAAAAGAGAGAAGAATCAAATAGATGCAATAAAAAAGATAACGGGGATATCACCACCAATCCCACAGAAATACAAAATACCATCAAAGAATACTATAGAATACACTTCTACGCCAATAAACTAGAAAATGAAGAAGAAATGGATAAATTCCTCCACACATACATCCTCCCAAGACTAAACCAGGGAGAAGTTGAATCTCTGAATAGAACAATAACAGGTCCTGAAATTGAAGCAATAATCAATAGCTTACCAACCAAAAAGAGTCCAGGACCCGACGGATTCACAGCTGAATTCTACCAGAGGTACGAAGAGGAGCTGGTACCATTCCTTCTGAAACTATTCCAATCAACAGATACAGAGGGAGTCCTCCCTAACTCATTTTTTGAGGCCAGCATCATCCTGATACCAAAGGCTGGAAGAGACAAAACCAAAAAAGAGAATTTTAGACCAATATCCTTGATGAACATCAATGCAAAACTCTTCAATAAAATACCAGCAAACCAAATCCAGCAGCATATCAAAAAGCTTATCCACCATGATCAAGGAGGCTTCATCCCTGGGATGCAAGTCTGGTTCAACGTATGCAAATCAATAAAAGTAATCCAGCATGTAAACAGAACCAAAGACAAAAATCACATGGTTATTTCAATAGATGCAGAAAAGGCCTTTGACAAAATTCAAAAACACTTCATGCTAAAAATTCTCAATAAATTCGGTATTAATGGGATGTATCTCAAAATAATAAGTGCTATCTATGACAAACCCACAGACAATATCATACTGAATGGGCAAAAACTGGAAGCATTCCCTTTGAAAATGGGCACAAGACAGGCATGCCCTCTCTCACCACTCCTATTCAACACAATGTTGGAAATTCTGAACAGGGCAGTCAAGCAGGAGAAGAAAATAAAGGGTATTCAATTAGGAAAAGAGGAAGTCGAATTGTCCCTGTTTGCAGATGACATGGTTGTATATCTAGAAAACCCCATTGTCTCAGCCCAAAATCTTCTTAAGCTGATAAGCAACTTCAGCAAAGTCTCAGGATACAAAATCCATGTACAGAAATCACAAGCATTCTTATACACCAATAACAGACAAACAGAGAGCCAAATCATCAGTGAACTCCCATTCACAATTGCTTCAAAGAGAATAAAATACCTAGGAATCCAACTTACAAGGGATGTGAAGGACATCTTCAAGGAGAACTACAAACCACTGCTCAATGAAATAAAAGAGGATACAAAGAAATGGAAGAACATTCCATGCTCATGGGTAGGAAGAATCAATATCATGAAAATGGCCATACTGTCCAAGTTAATTTACAGATTCAATGCCATCCCCATCAAGCTACCAATGACTTTCTTCACAGAATTGGAAAAAAATAAAGTTCATATGGAACCAAAAAAGCGCCTGCATCACCAAGTAAATTCTAAGGCAAAAGAACAAAGCTAGAGGCATCACGCTACCTGACTTTAAACTATACTACAAGGCTACAGTAACCAAAACAGCATGGTACTTGTACCAAAACAGAGATATAGACCAATGAAACAGAACAGAGCCCTCAGAAATAATGCCACATATCTACAACTATCTGATCTTTGACAAACCTGACAAAAACAAACAATGGAGAAAGGATTCCCTATTTAATAAATCGTGCTGCGAAAACTAGCTAGCCATAAGTGGAAAGCTGAAACTGGATCCCTTCCTTACACATTATACAAAAATTAATTCAAGATGGATTAAAGACTTAAATGTTAGACTTAAAACCATAAAAACCCTGGAAGAAAACCTAGGCAATACCATTCAGGACATAGGCATGGGCAAGGACTTCATGTCTAAAACACCAAAAGGAATGACAACAGAAGCCAAAATTGACAAATGACATCTAATTAAACTAAAGAGCTTCTGCACAGCAAAACAAAGTACCCTCAGAGTAAACAGGCAACCTACAAAATGGGAGAAAATTTTTGCAACCTACTCATCTGACAAAGGGCTAATATCCAGAATCTACAATGAACTCAAACAAATTTACAGGAAAAAAACAAACAGTGCAGCCAAAAAACACATGAAAAAATGCTCATCATCACTGGCCATCAGAGAAATGCAAATCAAAACCACAATGAGTTACCATCTCACACCAGTTAGAATGGCAATCATTAAAAATTCAGGAAACAACAGGTGCTGGAGAGGATGTGGAGAAATAGGAACACTTTTATACTGTTGGTGGGACTGTAAACTAGTTAAACCATTGTGGAAGTCAGTGTGGTGATTCCTCAGGGATGGAGAACTAGAAATATCATTTGATCCAGCCATCCAATTACTGGGTATGTACCCAAAGGATTATAAAACATGCTGCTATAAAGACACATGCACACATATGTTTATTGAAGCACTATTCACAATAGCAAAGACTTGGAACCAACCTAATGTCCAACAACGATAAACTGGATTAAGAAAATGTGGCACATATACACCATGGAATACTATGCAGCCATAAAAAATGATGGGTTCATGTCCTTTGTAGGAACATGATGAAACTGGAAACCATCATTCTCAGTAAACTATCACAAGGACAAAAAACCAAACACCACATGTTCTCACTCATAGGTGGGAATTGAACAATGAGAACACATGGACACAGGAAGGGGAACATCACACACCGGGTCGTGTTGTGGGGTTGGGGGAGGGGAGAGGGATAGCATTAGGAGATATACCTAATGTTAAATGATGAGGTAATGGGTGCAGCACACCAAAATGGCACATGTATACATATGTAACAAACCTTCACGTTGTGCACATGTACCCTGAAACTTAAAGTATAATAATAATAAAATTTAAAAAAAAATTTTCAACATTTTAAAATACATGGCTAATTGTGGACAAAATTCACTGTCCACCCCTACTGCCACTTCCCACCCAAAGCAAAGGAAATTCACAACCCAAGATTCAAAATCCCCATAATAATATCCACACATTGACTAATACTATATGAAAGAGAATATGAAATGTTAACAGAAAGATACACTGACAAGTTTCAATGACTTTTGTTGCTTTTAGATGCTATTTATTTATAGATGTTTATATCCTAGAAAAATCAAATATAAGTGTCAACGAGCAAAACAAAGTGAGTTATCCCCAATTTTGGAAAAAAATTACATTCTTAGAATATATGGCAATACATAATGAAATATCACATAATATACAAAAACTCTATTGAGGTAAACATTATATTACTATCAATAATTTTTCTTTGCAAAGTTAAAAAAATCCAACATGGTCTTCATTTCTATGTAATCTGCTTTCAAATTTTTGATGAACAAGTAATATATGTTGTATGGTGGTTTTAAACTTTAATTTTGGGAGCTGAATAAAGCAGTTTCATGGAATTTGTACAAACCACCTGGCAGAAAATAATTATGACCAATTAAGATGAACCCGTAATGCTTTACTTTTTTGGCATTTGCACCAGTAAAAGGAGACCTGCCAAGAAATGAGGGTATTTATTCTATAGAAGGGTTTCAGATTCATGATTATTCAGATTCCATGGTTATGTTGACCAAGAATTACAATTGTATTAGGCATTATGAAATGACTGAAGTCATTGTACAAGGAAAATATATTGTGTACACACTAAGATTTCCCACAAGATGAGGCATTTATTGTTCTGTTATCTGTATCAATAAGGAATACCTGGTGGTGAAATTGGAGACAAGTGCTTTAAAAAAGGCATTTCTACCATTTTTTGGAGGAAGACAATCGTAAAGCAAAATTTGCATGACTGTTTCAAATCCCAGCTATATATTACCTCTGAAGGGGGGGCCCTACATGACCTAAGCTTGATTTCCTTGAGTAGAATTACTTTCAAATATGTTGAGTCAGAAACTACTTAGGGAAATGCAAATTATTCCATAAACAGTCTAGCAAGATCTATGAGATCACCGCCAAAGGATGGCTGGTAGGAGAAAACAAGACAAGGATGTAAGAGGAATTTGACTCTCTGACATTGTTAGTTCCAATGCATGAGTAATAAATAGAAACAAAACCATTGGGTTCTTCTTAAGTCCAACTTTTAATAGGTTAAGTTTAATAAGATCATGACTCCTTGAATGGAGTTCTCTTTATCTTGGCATATCAGAAAATAATTTGGATATCTACAAAAACATTTAGGTAGGTGGGTGCAGTTGCTCATGCTTGTAATCCCAGCACTTTGGGAAGCCAAGGCACGTGGATCACAAGATCAAGAGATCGAGACCATCCTGCCAACACGGTGAAACCCTGTCTCTACTAAAACTACAAAAATTAACTGGGCACGGTGCCATGTGCCTGTAGTCCCAGCTACTCAGGAGGCTGAGGCAGGAGAATCGCTTGAGCCCTGTAGGCAGAGATTAGAGTAAGCTGAGATTGTGCCATTGCACTCCAGCCTGGTGACATAGGGAGACTCCATCTGAAAAAAATAACAACAACAACAACAAAAACACTCTGTTCACCAAAAAACATAAATGAGTACTGATTTTTTAAAGAAATATTTAACTCAGGGCCTGGTGTGGTGGCTCATGCCTGTAATCCCAGCACTTTGGGAGGCTAAGGCTGGTGAATCACCTGTAGTCAGGCATTTGAGACCAGCCTGGCCAGTATGGTGAAATCCCATCTCTACTAAAAAAATTCAAAAATTAGCCAGGTGCTGTGGTGCATGCCTGTAGTCCCAGCTACTTGGGAGGTTAAGGGAAGAAAGCCTTCTGAATCAGAGGAGTGGAGGTTGCAATGAGCCAATATTGTGCCACTGCACTCCAGCCTGGGTGACAGCAAGGCTCTGTCTCAAACAAACAAACAAACAAAAAAAAAAATCTATGCACACACATCTCACAGTTTATTACTCTCAAAATAAAATTATTTTCCTTTTATGTCCTAACATTCATTTAAGATAATTTTAGGCTTTTTTTCTCACTCCATTCTAATGTATTTTATTTAGCTATGATTCCCACCATAAGAGGTGGTAAAGTTGTCAATCAAAAGTGTTTTGTATCTTATAATTTTTGGTAAGCTTTTTGTGAGATTGCTTGGAAAACATACGATTCTTAATAATATTATGTTGCAGAAATAAATACTTTATATTCTTCTATGCAAATGACTCTGAGTTGGACCTCAGGGGCATTGCACATGAACATTCATAAACAAGCCTTCTGAGTAATGCATCAAACATGCAGCCAGAATGTGAGCTATTTCAGGCTATGCATGACACTAGGGCTCCAGATTGGCCTAACTATGACTACTTGATATTTTCCCTGTGCATATCCACCACATCACACATTCTTCAATAAATCATCAGAATACATGAAACTTGCATGCAAAGTTTTGAAATCTATCTCAGTATTTGCATGTCTCAGATAATGTCTCCCTTAAGCTATAAATTACTTCAAGCTTAAATTACAACAATTAAGAAAAAGTTTTAAAATCTTATTTTTATAATCAGTAACACGCATTTTCTTTTCAATATTGATTAATGTTCTGAAGTAGAATGCACTTAAGAGACATCCAATATTATGTTATGACAGATTCTTATGACAACCTGAGGCACCATATTTTAAAAAGATTTTGTTGTGTTTTCTGATTTACATCTTCAGCTGTTCAGAACTCTAATGAATCAATTTGAGTAGATGTAAAACTAGGGAATTATGGCTCTTCCACAGATAATTATGGCTAAAATATAGTAACACAAGTTTGTTAATTTTATATAAATAAATGAAATTTTAAATGACATATCCTGTTGTTTTTAACAGCTGTGATGACCAAATTCTAATTACTTTCCCACATGATCACAAAGAGCTCAGGTAGTTTTAACCATAAGAATTTAATTTTTTTCTTGTGTGCATTTCCACTATATTGTGCATTCTTTAATAAATTATCAGAATACACGAACCTTGCACACAAAGTTTTGAAATAGCCATGTTTTCTTGCAGCACATTGTTGTAAAGCAGTGCCCCTCTAGGGTTATCTATTTTTTGTGTTCACAGCTTTAAATTAAAGATGATGTTCACTGTTTGCCAATGCTTGGAAATAAGGAAGGAAGTGCTACTCAACACCCATTATGTCTAGACAAGTTTCTGCAACATTGCTTGTAGTAGATAATCAAGGCTGTCTACTGAACAAACATTTTTTTGCTTTTTGATTTTTGAAGACTGATATTGTTTAATCAAATACCCTGGCAAACACAGGTTATTCTTAGCTGAGGGCAAAGGATAATGAGTCTTGGCCAAATAAGATAATCTCATTTCCCTTTCTTAAGTGGCCACTTTAAGAAAAAACATGAATGTTATTTATGATTAAAAATGTATAATGAAGTCTGAAGGAAGCAGTCTCTGCAAAGAATTTTGCTGCCATTTGAATTGAAAAAATCCAATCTGTGAAGAAAGCCATTGGTAGCTTGATGGGGATGGCAGTGAATCTATAAATTACTTTGGGCAGTAGGGCCATTTTCATGATATTGATTCTTCCTACCCATGAGCATGGAATGTTCTTCCATTTCTTTGTATCCTCTTTTATTTCATTGAGCAGTGGTTTGTAGTTCTCCTTGAAGAGGTCCTTCATATCCCTTGTAAGTTGGATTCCTAGGTATTTTATTCTCTTTGAAGCAATTGTGAATGGGAGTTCACTGATGATTTGGCTCTCTGTTTGTCTGTTACTGGTGTATAAGAATGCCTGTGATTTTTGTACATGGATTTTGTATCCTGAGACTTTGCTGAAGTTGCTTATCAGCTTGAGAAGATTTTGGGCTGAGACAATGGGGTTTTCTAGATATACAGTCATGTCATCTGCAAACAGGGACAATTTCATTTCCTCTTTTCTTAATTGAATACCGTTTATTTCCTTCTCCTGCCTAATTGCCCTGTTCAGAATTTCCAACATTGTGTTGAATAGGAGTGGTGAGAGAGGGCATGCCTGTCTTGTGCCCATTTTCAAAGGGAATGCTTCCAGTTTTTGCCCTTTCAGTATGATATTGGCTGTGGGTTTGTCATAGATGGATCTTATTATTTTGAGATACATACCATCAATACCTAATTTATTGAGAGTTTTTAGCATTAAGCGTTGTTGAATTTTGTCAAAGGCCTTTTCTGCATCTATTGAGATAATCATATGGTTTTTATCTTTGGTTCTGTTTATATGCTGGATTACCTTTATTGATTTGTGTGTATTGAACCAGCCTTGCATCCCAGGGATGAAGCCCACTTGATCATGGTGGATAAGCTTTTTGATGTGCTGCTGGATTTGGTTTGCCAGTATTTTATTGAAGAGTTTTGCAGCAATGTTCTTCTAGGATATTGGTGTAAAATTCTCTTTTTTTGGTTTTGTCTCTGCCTGGCTTTCATATCAGGATGATTTTGGCCTCACAAAATGAGTTAGGGAGGATCCCCTCTTTTTCTATTGATTAGAATAGTTTCAAAAGGAACGGTACCAGTTCCTCCTTGTACCTCTGGTAAAATTCAGCTGTGAATCCGTCGGGTCCTGGACTCTTTTTGGTTGGTAAGCTATCGATTATTGCCACAATTTCAGAGCCTGTTGTTGGTGTGTTCAGAGATTCAACTTCTTCCTGGTTTAGTCTTGGGAGGATGTATGTGTCGAGGAATTTATCCATTTCTTCTAGATTTTCTACTTTATTTGCGTAAAGGTGTTTGTTTCTTCACAGAATTGGAAAAAAATACTTTAAAGTTCATATGAAACCAAAAAACAGCCCTCATCACCAAGTCAATCCTAAGCCAAAAGAACAAAGCTGGAGGCATCACACTACCTGACTTCAAACTATACTAAAAGTCTACAGTAACCAAAACAGAATGGTATTGGTACCAAAACAGAGATATAGATCAATGGAACAGAACGGAGCCCTTAGAAATCATGCCGCTTATCTACAACTATCTGATCTTAGACAAACCTGAGAAAAACAAGCAATGGGGAAAGGATTCCCTATTTAATAAATGGTGCTGGGAAAACTGGCTAGCCATATGTGGAAAGCTGAAACTGGATCCCTTCCTTACACCTTATACAAAAATTAATTCAAGATGGATTAAAGACTTAAACGTTAGACCTAAAACCATAAAAATCCTACAAGAAAACCTAGGCATTATCATTCAGGACATAGGCATGGGCAAAGACTTCATGTCTAAAACACCAAAAGCAATGGCAACAAAAGCGAAAATTGACTAATGGGATCTAATTAAACTAAAGAGCTTCTGCACAGCAAAAGAAACTACCATCAGAGTGAACAGGCAACCTACAAAATGGGAGAAAATTTTTGCAGCCTACTCATCTGACAAAGGGCTAATATCCAGAATCTACAATGAACTCAAACAAATTTACAAGAAAAAAACAAACAACCCCATCAGAAAGTGGGTGAAGGACATGAACAGACACTTCTCAAAAGAAGACATTTATACAGCCAAAAAACACATGAAAAAATGCTCATCATCACTGGCCATCAGAGAAATGCAAATCAAAACCACAATGAGATACCATCTCACACCAGTTAGAGTGGCAATCATTAAAAAGTCAGGAAACAACACTTGCTGGAGAAGATGTGGAGAAATAGGAACTCTTTTACCCTGTTGGTGGGACTGTAAACTAGTTAAACCATTGTGGAAGTCAGTGCGGCGATTCCTCAGGGATCTAGAACTAGAAATACCATTTGACCCAGCCATCCCATTACTGGGTATATACCCAAAGGACTATAAATCATGCTGCTATAAAGACACATGCACACGTATGTTTATTGCGGCACTATTCACAATAGCAAAGACTTGGAACCAACCCAAATGTCCAACAATGATAGACTGGATTAAGAAAATGTGGCAAATATACACCATGGAATACTATGCAGCCATAAAAAGTGATGAGTTCACGTCCTTTGTAGGGAGATGGATGAAATTGGAAATCATCATTCTCAGTAAACTATGGCAAGAACAAAAAACCAAACACTGCATATTCTCACTCATAGGTGGGAATTGAACAATGAGAACATATGGACAGAGGAAGGGGAACATCACACTCTGGAGACTGTTGTGGGGTGGGGGAGTGGGGAGGGATAGCTTTAGGAGATATACCTGCTGCTAAATGATGAGTTAATGGGTGCAGCATACCAGCATTGCACATGTATACATATGTAACTAACCTGTACATTTTGCACATGTGTCCTAAAACTTAAAGTATAATAATAATAAAAGAAAAAATCATATATATGGTTGTTGTGATTACCCTACAAAAGTAAGATTGACTGCCACACTGAATTTGGTTTGGTTGTTGAAGCTGATAATTTTACACACACGCACACACACGTACACACACATACACACACCAAGGAGATATGAAAAATTTGTTGCTTGAACAATGAGGCTTTCTGGTAAGGGAAAAACATCTCAAGGATATGAAAATAGGTGACACTTCAAGGAAAGACTGACTTGGGGCTTTTAATGTGATAAGGGGCTGGAGTTGGTATGCTTCTGGCTACCACCCAAGGAGGGAAGACCCAAGCTTGTGTACCTGATTACCCTGATGTGAGGCAGAAGAGAAAAGGGAGTGGCTGAAGCTCAGATGCTATCTGCAGTCAAATATCAGAAAAAGGGAGTGCAGGCTAGATGTGGTGGCTCACACCTATAATCCCAGAACTTTGGGGGGCCAAGGCAGGAGGATTGCTTAAGACCATGACTTTGAGACCAGCCTGGGCAATTTAGCAAGAGCTCTCTCTCTCTACAAATACTAAAAATAATTTAAAAATATATATTACTTGGGCACGGTGGTGCATGCCTGCAGTCCCAGCTACTCCAAAGGCTGCAGGAGAAGAATATTTTGAGCCCTGGAGGTCAAGGCTGCAAGAATCTATGATCACAGCACTTTTCTGAATCCTGGACAAGTGAGAAAAGAAAGAAAGAAAGAAAGAAAGAAAGAAAGAAAGAAAGAAAGAAAGAAAGAAAGAAAGAAAGAAAGAGAGAGAGAGAGAGAGAGAGAGAGAGAAAGAAAGAAAGAAAGAAAGAAAGAAAGAAAGAAAGAAAGAAAGAAAAAAGAGAGGGAGGGAGAGAGTATGAGGAAGGGAGGGAGGGAGTATGAGGAAGGGAGGGAGGGAGCAAGGAAGGAAGGAGAAAGGAGGGAGGAAAGGAAGGAGGGAGGGAGGAGGGAAGGAAGGAAGAAAGGGAGGAAGGGAGGAAGGAAGGAAAAGAAGAAGGAAGAAAGAAAAGAAAAAGGACAGAAAGAAAATGAGGTAGAAAGAAAGAAGGAAAGAAAGGAAGAAAGAAAGGGTGTGAGGGCGGGAGGGAGGAAGGAAGAAAAGAAGGAGAGAGGAGGGAGGCAGGAAAGAAAGGAGGGAGGGAGGAGGGAAGGAAGGAAGGAAAGAAAGAAAGAAGGGAGGGAAAGAGAGAGGAAGAAAGAAAGAAGAAAGAGAGGGAGGGAGGGAAGGAAGGAAAGAAGGAAGGAAGGGAAGGAAGGAAGGGAGAGAGAGAAAGAAAAAGAAGAAACTAAGAAAGAAAGAAATGAGGAAAGAAAGAAGGAGAGAGGAAGAGAGGGGAGGGAAGAAGGGAGGAGGGAAGGAAGGAAGGAGTAAGAGAGGAGAGAGGGTAGGAAGAAGGGAAGAAGGAGGGAAGGGAGGGAGGGAGGAGGGAGAGAATAGAGGGAGAGGGAGGGAGGGAGGCAGGGAGGGAGGGAGGAAGGAAGGGAAGGAAGGAAAGAAAGACAGAAAGAAATAGAAAGAAAGTGAGAAAGAAAAAAGAGAGAGAGAAAGAAAGAACAAAAGAAAGAAAGAAAGTGAGAGAGAGGGAGGGAGGGAGAAAGGGAGGGAAAGAGAGAAAGAGGAGAAAGAGAGAGGGAGAGAGAGGGAGGGAGGGAAGGAAGGAAGTAAAAGAAGAAAAGAGAAAGAAAGAAAAGAAAAAAGAGGGAAAGAAAGAAAGATGAAAGAAAGAATGAAAGAGAAACAAAGAAGGGAAGAAAGAGATTGTGAGGAAGGGAGAGAGGGAGGGAGGGAGCAAGGAAGGAGAGAGGAGGGAGGAAAGGAAGGAGGGAGGGAGGAGGGAAGGAAGGAAGACAGAGAGGGAGGAAAAGAAGAAGGGAGAAAGAAAGAAAAGAATAAAGAAGGAAAGAAAATGAGAAAGAAAGAAAAAGAAAGAAAGTAAGTGAGGGAGGGAAGAAGGAAGGAGAGAGGAGGGAGGGAGGAAAGGAAGGAGAGAGGGAAGAAGGAGAGAGGGAGGGAGGAGGGAAGGAAGGGAGGGAGGGAAAGAGAGGAAGAAGGAAAGAAAGAAAGAAAAAAGAAGAGAGAATGAAGGAAGGGAGGAAAAGAGAGAGAGAAAGTAAAACAAGAAAGTGAGAGAGAAAGAAAGAAGGAAATAAAGAAAGAGAAAGAAAGGAAGAAAGAGAGAGAGCGAGGGAGGGAGGGAGGAGGGAAGTAAGGAAGGAGAGAAGAGGGAGGGAAGGAAGGAGGGAGGAATGAGGGAAGGAAGGGAGGGAAGGAGGGAGGGATGGAGGGAGGGAGAAGGAGAGAGAACAGAGGGAGGGGGAAGGGAGGGAGGCGGGGGGGAGGAAGGAAGGAAGGGAAGGAAGAAAAGAAAGAGAGAAAAAGAGAGAAAGAAAGAGAAAAAAGAAAAAGAAGAAAGAAAAAGAATGAGAAAGGGAAAAGAAAGAAGAAAGACAAAGACATAGAGAAAGAGAAGAAAGAAAGAAAGAAAGAAAGAAAGAAAGAAAGAAAGAAAGAAAGAAAGAAAGAAAGACAAAAAAGAGGAAGGAAGAAAGGAAGAAAGAAGAAGGAAGGAAGAGGGAAAGAAGGAAGAGGGAAGGAAGGAAGGAGAGAAGGAAGGAAGGAAGGGAGGGAGGGAGGGAGGGAGGGGAGGGAGAAAGTGGATTCCAACCCTTTATTGCAGCCATGTACACAGATGCATGAAACCGTGCTAACTGGATGTTCAGAAGCCATCAGGTGAACTGAACACCATATAGGTAGAACACATAGCCACCACAGACAAAGGAAAAAACATTCTGAAAGGAGCTGAGAAGTGAGATGAAGAACCCAAGATAATATCCCTGAAGGTTTCACCAAATCAGAAACCGTCTCCCTCTGTTGGTGTATTACATGAGATAAATAAAAATTGCCTTTATTACTGAAGTTAGTCATTGAGTAATCTCTACTTGCATCAAATGACATCCTAGGTTTTTCACTATCATTTTTTCACCTTGTCTTTTTTTCAAGCTTTCTTGATTTCAACATAAAGAGTGACCCATAGTGATGGACCCATAGCGATGTCAGCTTAGTTCATCTCTCCTTGCATTTCCCTGCTTGAAGGATGGCCCCTTGTAACAAGAATTGCAATTAAAATGTTTTGCTTGTGCAAACCGTTTTCTGCAATTTATTTTTATTTTTATTTATTTTGCTCTTTCAAGCTCAGAAGAGTGTGCCTGACATCCTCCAGGTAATATTTCACTTCCCAATGCCTATTTAACAACACAGTGAGTTATAAAAAGCAGACAAATTGAGAAAAAAAGAGAGAATTATGCAAGTAAGAGAAAGATATCAACCCATCTGGAGGTAAGATAACCTTGTTTTGGTTTTGTGTGTTGAAGAGTCAAAGTTAACGAGTAGATGTTTTCGGGACCCACACACACTGGATATTTACATCAAGTACATCACAAGTTTTTTTTGTTTGTTTTATTTTGTTTTTTTTGTTGTTGTTGTTGTTGTTTTTTTCAGACGGAGTCTCCCTCTGTTGCCCAGGCTGGAGTGCAGGGGCGCGATCTTGGCTCATTGCCAACTCCGCCTCCCAGGTTCACGCCGTTCTCCTGTCTCAGCCTCCCAGGCAGTGAGTAGTAGGTACTACAGGTGCCCGCCACCATGCCCGGCTAATTTTTTGTATTTTTAGTAGAGACGGGGTTTCACCGTGTTATCCAGGATGGTCTCAATATCCTGACCTGTGATCCGCCCGCCTCAGCCTCCCAAAGTGCTGGGATTACAGGCGTGAGCCACCGCGCCCGGTCCACAAGATTTATCTCAATATTTCAATTATATAATCTGTGATTTTAGTTAAGATATCAGTAAAGAATAATTATATCATATGTTTTCATGATAAAAATGTCATGATTATTTTGCGAGACACATTGTGCAAACTCATTACTAAGGAAATGACAGTTAAAAATAGGAATGGTAACTAATGGAAAAAGTAAAAGTCACAACTTACTACCATTGATGTTACAGATCCATATAGCTTGTAGTCAGCTTAGTGGATAGACTGCATACGTAACATTTACGTGGTAAGTAAAACTGCTCCCTCAAGTGTGTGTCCTCTTACATCCAACTCTGCATTATGGAAACAGGGAAAGTCTCATGCGAAAACAAGCCAAACCTTTTACAGTTCTGCAATGCACGGACCTGCTGCATAATGCATAACATTTATATTTAACACCTATGTTAAATAGGTGGCTCATCTGTGGCTACATGGAAAAATGGAGTGTTTATTAATTTGTAGACAGGAGACACTTCCAACAACACACAGCTGGAGGCATTGAGTTTTTAAGGCAGCTTCCTTAATACAGCTGTTCTCTGGCTCTTGGCAGTTTAGAGACTGGCCTGCCAATTCATCTTTAGCTGACCACAAATACTGCACATTTTTCAAAGCACTGGAGAGAATGGGTGGTTGATCAACCTAGCAGAAACATAAATTGCAGCTTGAATTAAAGCATTATTAGTAGATAACGGTGATAGGCAGAGGTAGGATGGTTGGTTATTATTTGTCCCCCAGAAGCACATTTGAGTGCATCATAGTTCCTTGCTATGGTGGGCAGTGAAATCCCAATTTGATGTCCTGCAAGAACAGTACTCTGTCAGCGGGTGGTTAGACCACTGAGTGCAGAATCCACATTTGCATTTGCCTTTTGACTGTGTGCGGAAGAAAAACAACTAAAGGCACACTTTGGTCAGTGAGTTTTATTTTCCAATTCCTTAATTCTATTCAGTTATTATAATCATTTTGAACTTTTTTTCAATAAAATAAATTCATGGAGCTGAAAGGCTGCATGATGTTATCAGGAAACAGAATATTTCTTTGGTATCCTGGATGATTAAATGTGAATTTATTTGTTATAATCTTCCTGAAGATTTAATCTGTCTCTAGTCATCTTATAGCAAAGTGCCAGAGAGAATCAGAGCTCTCTTCTAAAGAGAAAAATGAAAAAGGTTACAGACACTACCCCTGTAGCAACCTGTCAGAACAGGAGCATTTCTTGACTTTCAGATATTGTTCTTTTCCTTTCTTGTTTATTTATCCTGCATACCCATGAGAAAGAGCATTAAGATAGGAAGAAAACTCTGCCTGGAGTTTTCCATCTGACTGGTTTCTTCATTTCTTTCATTTTTTGATTATA
This sequence comes from Homo sapiens, assembly GCF_000001405.40. Classification (NCBI taxonomy): domain Eukaryota; kingdom Metazoa; phylum Chordata; class Mammalia; order Primates; family Hominidae; genus Homo; species Homo sapiens. The sequence continues at coordinate 17,329,265 of NC_000024.10, forward strand.
CAGCCATAATATTAGCCCTGATACAGTTTGTGCAAATAATAAATGAGACATGCTTTATTCTTGCATGTATAAATAAGTGAATGAAATTGGCCAACATAGGCTACAAGAATATTCCTGTCCTCCTCTGGACACCACTCCCCAAATTAATCTTGGTTAATATTGTTTTAATTAGAATTTTATCCCACAACTTCCTTCTGATTAAATCCATTCTTCCTTCTGATTAAATCCATTTCTAGTAAAATAAGTGACAATGTAAACTTGGTAAAATATCATTTATAGTTATAAAAATAAAATGAAACATCCCTAAATGCAAGATAAGGAAAAGGGCATATCTTAATACATCTATGTATTTGTGATATTCAGACTGTTCCTTCACTATTTGTTGCTTCAGTCCATGCATGCTCACAATGCTATGAAAGTTTGGTAAGGAATTCTTGTAAAGTGACAACCCAAATTCATAGGGCATTTTTTATTATATAACAACAAATACAAGAACCTAGAGAGCAGGTGTTAGTGCTTGGTTTTTGGGGCTGGATCTCCTTTGAGCATGTCCATCATGGACACCAAGTCATAGTCAAGAAATAGGTGGTGAAAATACAGGAAGAGCAAGTCAGATAGATGAGTTTTGAAACTTATATCTTGGTAATCAATGCTGACCTATTTATCTTTCTTGTTGCTGAACCAGCAGATTAGGCTTCCTTCTCACTAAAAATCCACTTTCCCAAATTAAATGTCACATTTAGTGTGAGGTTCTATATGATGGGTTTATCATGTTATCTCTGGAATTAAATATGAGAGTTGCAATACACCTGGTGTCATGTAAGTATTTAATGAACAAAGTAAGTATTCGGTGAACAAAGAAATTTGTTTCACCTGCAGGGTGACTTCTCAGAGGGAAGAATCATGGGGGCTTTATGCACCAAGCTAAGAGGATTGTTCCCGATTCTACAGCAACAAGGAGAATACAGGGCATACTACAAATATACAGAGTCCTGTTTTAGCAGCATTGCTCTAAGACCTTATGAAAGAGAAAAAAAGAAGTATTTGCACAGTCAAGGCAGGAGAATCTAGGGTCCCTATGAGTGAAGATGAACTGAAAAGAGGGGTGAGAAATATGAAAGAGAGAGAATTCATGGGACCTGAGTGTGAGTCAAGGAGTGGCCATCCCACTGATGTAATTGGATGGTGGTGTCATTGCTATTGGTAAACCTGAAGAGGACAGAAGTAAATTTAAGTATAGTACATTTTGGTGTGAACACAAGCCAGTCTAGCTCCAACTAGACATGGCTAGAAGATATTTACAAAATGTTTTTGCATTCAGGAGAGACATAGAGACAGCAGGGAAGAAGTCTGCATATAGGTAAAGGCATGTGTGTATGCATGCAAAGAGGGACTGAATGTAATCTTTTAAACTAGGAAATCTCTAAGCTAATTACATTAAATCACACATGTACACCATCCTTAGCAATGTTTTTCCAATGCTTAAACAAGGGCTGATATGTACCTAGTGAAACCATGGACAAAATTTTGTAAAAGATATCTCTATGTGATCTCTTTAAACCTTGGTGTTGCATTTTGAAATTTAATGTATGCAGTGAAGAGCTACAAATAACATATGCTTTTTGACTTTGCAAAATAGAAAATGGAACTGATACCTGGAGGTTTCATTCTAATTCTGTTGTTTTTTTCCAGGACAGCATCAGAAGGTTTCTATCAAGGGGCAAGAAAGAAGTCATTTCACATTTCTCAAAACCCATTATTTAGGGATTAGTCAATGATCTTGTTTGCAGGGTGAGAATTTGGGAGATTGTTACAGGATATTGCTCAATCAAGACAACAAGTAATATAACCCATTGTCATTCTGAATTCATACATTTCTTGAGGAGGAAATAACATGTGAAGTGGAAAGATATATTTTCATCAATTCATTTTTCCTATGAGTATATAACCTGCTAGACAGTTTGTACCCTTATCTCACTTCATCTTTTGCACAAATCTATTAAATGAATGGAAGTACACAGCTATTCAGCAAATTACTCCCAGGTGCAAAGATACAGTATGTGAAGAAATCATCATAGGCAGCCTGATACCTTACTCACAAATCCACTGATATTTTGCATCAGATGATTTTTTTTGTGGTGGGGACTGCCCTTTGCATTGTAGGATGATTTGCAGCATTTCTGGCCTCCACACTCTAGATGCCAGTAGCAGTACCTCTGCCAACTTAAAGATGTGACAATTGGCTTGGCATGGTGGCTCACATGTGTAATCTTAGCACTTTGGGAGGCCCACATGGGTGAATAATTTTGCAGCCAGCCAAAAGCCCATGGGATGTGTGACTTCAGCATTCCACCAGAGGCTATATGATCAAACAGCAAACTGTTTATCATGAATGCATGATGTGGGCAAACTCATACTGCCCTGCCAACAAAAGGTTTGCTGAGGGACATCACTCCCCAGCCCTGGGCTCCTTGAAGTTATCTACTGAGAAAATTAGAGCCTATTGTTCAAAGGATGCAGTTCAAGCCTGCTGTGAACCATACAGCTGACTGACAATTACCCGACAATCACCCCCCTCCTTCTTGCTGTCTCTTTCACCTGATAGACACAGATGCCTGTTTAAACCTCAGCGCCCTTGTCCATTAGAAGCAAGGTTCCCCTGACCCCTCCTTCCAAATATACTCTTTTGTCTCTTGTCTTTTGTTCCCAAGTTTTCACCCTTTTTGTTCAGTTCCCCTAGGTCCCTGTGGGTTTTACAAGTTGTGCTCGAAGAGGTGACAGTCCAAACATGGGAGTTCCAGGACATGAACAAAGAACATCTGCTCCAGCAAAGGAATTGAAATTGACAAGGCAAACGGGGACCCCAGGATGAGTTTGCCAGTGGCAGATATAAGGTCAGTGCCTTAAAGAGGTACTGAGAGCAGTGCTTTAAAGAAGTACTGGGAACGGAAAGTTTTCTGAATCATGGTAACAAGAGAAGAATTTCTCTATTGAAGAAAAACATTATGTGCAGTTTCTTAAAGTTCTGTTGAGACAGTCTGGAGCTCAGGTTCATTCTCAGGCACTAAGTAACCTTCTGCAGAAGCTACAAAATGTTATTATGCATAACCCATGGTTTCCACAGGCAGGCACTCTTGATGTGAGAAATTGTGATACAGCAGGAGGAGGATCAAAATAGGCTTATCAAAAAGGTCTTAAAGTTGATTCTTCTGTTTTCTCCACTTGGAGTTTAGTTTGTGCTGTACTTCTGCCATTATCTCCTTGTTATTCTCTGCAGCAGCAGGCTGAATCTCAAACTCTGAAAGAAACTGTTTTCCTTCCCATAGCTCCAATTGAAAATAAAAAACAGGAGAGGGAGGATAAAAATTGGTCTATACTGCCTCCTCCAATTGCCAAAACATCTGTACTGCCTCCTTCCATAGCAGAAACAGAAACCCCAATACAGAGAATTTTACCCTTTGCTGCCATAGCGGGAGAGCCCTTAGGACCTTGTACTTTTCCTATTTCCATAAGGCCTGATCCAAATAATTGACAGTAGTTTATTCATGAACACACCCCACTAGAATTATGTTGTTGAAGGAATTAAAAACTAGTGTGGTCAATAATACAGTACAAAGCCCATGGTTCCTGGAGGAAGGAATGTTAGATGTGGAACTTGGGGAACAAGTGGGGAGAAATCTTAAACAACATCAGGTATGAAGGCATCAGGTCCCAGTAAAATCTTTAATGTTATGGGCTTTAATTAGAGCAGCCTCAGCTCAGTTACACACAGAAGAGCCTAAAAAGAAGAAAGAGGAGAAAACATCACCTGCCTTATCACCTCCTCTTCCCTCAGCCCCAATATCAACCGGCCAAAATAGCAAAGAGGAAACAGAGGTCTTACCTAATCCTCCACTTCCAATAGATAGGAAAGAAGACAGAGAATATGCTACAGCTATCTGTTCATGTCTTAAGCAGGCAGTGCTAGAAGGAGAGCTCTTAACCTGCTCAGTAATGCAAAATCAACAAGGCAATCAGGTGTATATTTCTAAAAGATAAGAAAAAAGGCATTGAAACTGTGTGGCTCAGAAAAGGCACAGTGGCAAGAAAGCTAGCAGCGACCATGGCCGCAAGGTTTGCCCAGGCCAGCAGCATGCCCCAGCAAAGGAGGGAGGGAGCAGCACAGGCAGGCAAAGCTTCTAAAAGTACAATGTGGCCACTGCCCAGGACCTGCACCACTACCCTGTGGGTCTGCTGGAAGCCCATAGCAAAATTTCATGGTTACATCCCAGGCTATGATTCTCTGCTAAGATTTCAGTAAAAAGTAGGAATTTGAAGAACTTCTTTTCTAATAATGGCCACTATTGTTATCTCTCTCCTATCCCTGATGTAGCTTTCCAAATACAATTTAAGTAAAACAGTAACCTCTGAAGGAAGAGAGATTGCAGAGGGCCCATGAATTAAGAGTAATTAAAAGCCAGGCATGTAAAAAAACACATTACCCTTTAAAAGAGAACTTTAAACCTAATTAAATGATATTTTTTAAATTAGAAGGTAAAAATGTCGTGTTCTTCTCAGAAAGTGAAGAAAACCTGTATGTAAGTGTAGTGAAAACATATGCATGAATGACTGTCTTAACCCATTGATTACAGAGAGTCTTTAATTTGCACTTGCTAAAAGAGTCCTAAATTGAGTTCCCCGGTTAGTGAGTCACTGTTTTCTAGACTGTCAGAATCAAGTTCACAAACTTGATCAGTCTGAAAACTCAATTACAAAATTTAAGCTATTTTGCCTGTGGCTTTAAGCACATGGTTAAAGTATATTATTTGAGTCTCTGCTTCTAGAGATGCTTTCAGGTTATCTTTTTAAACTTCTTGTTACTTATTTCAACTTGCCATCTTAGTGATTAATACAGTCAATTGCTAAGTTATGACCCTGATATCATCAGGATTCCTTTAAGTAAAAGGCAATTTGAAGAGTTATTGCACTTACCCATACCTAATGCTTCTGTTGTAACCAAGCGAGTTATAGAGAAATGCCACACTTTGAGACTAATCCAGGAGTCCTTTATTAGCTGACAATGGAGAGATGGCTAATGCTTGAAATTCTCTCAGTCTTGAAGAAGGAGCTAGATTTTCTTTTATACTTTGGTTTAGAGAGGGGATTGCTTCAGCAATCTTACAGGCAAAAAAGTTGAAAAGACAAATGTTTACAGGAAAACAAACACCTCCAGGTGTGGGGGCTTCAAATTCTTCACAAGGTGATAGGTGTGGGGGCTCTGGGTGTTATATGCCAGACATAAGTGCAGGGACTTAAGAGTACTATCACCTGAGCGAATTCCTGGGAACTATGTACATAGCTTGCCACCCTACCTTATCAATTAATTGCACTCTTTTATGAGCTGAGAGTCTGCTTGCACAAATTAAGTCCTTGAGGAAGGGGGTGGGTAAGAAGCCATTAATGTCTTGCATATGAAGGAGCTGAAAGAGAGAGCCAGTCAAGTTAATACAAGTTAGTATATCACATTTTAACACTATTTATTGATGGATCTGGTGAATATGGAAAAGCAGCAATCTAGTACAGACCACATAATTCAATCACTCGATCTGAGTTTACTAGAACTCAGAGAGCTAAGGTTACTCTGTTTATTTATTAAATAACCTTTACAACCTTAAGCTCTCTCTCAACTTTCCAGCCTTATGTTGCAAAAATAGCCATCAATTTATGGGGTTGAGACTTACTTACAGCACAGGGTATGAGACTTACAAATGAAAACTTTGATAACTCAGGATTTAAAATGTTGAAGAATATGGGATATCAGGGTGAAAAATGTTTGGGGAGATTTCTACAGTGAAATCCTAACCTGATATCAGTAACTGGAAAATCAGATAGAAAAGGGCTAGGACATCAGGATTTATGGCAGGGGTCATTAATATTTCTCCTCCGCCCACTGCCTCACTATTAGAATGTCTTAGTGACAAACCTATATGGGTGGATGAATGGCCCCTAACACAGGAAAAGCTAGATAAACTTTATCTGTTGGTAAATGAGCAATTGAATGCTATAGAAAAGTCCGTTAGCCCCTGGAATTCTCCAGTGTTCGTTATCCCAAAAAGGTCTGAAAGTAATAATGACTGCAGGAGTTTCAGCTCAACACTTAGAGCTAATTGCAATCATTCAGGTTTTACAGCTCACAGCTTCAGATCCTATCAACATTGTCTGTGATTCAGCTTATGTTGTAAATGTAGCCAGTCACATAGAAACTGCTACAGTTAAAAGTACACTAGACCTGCCAGGCATGGTGGCTCATGCCTGTAATCCCAGCACTTTGGGAGGCCGAGGCAGGTGGATCATGAGGTCAAGAGATCAAGACTACCGTGGCCAATATGGAGAAACCCCGTCTCTACTAAAAATACAAAAATTAGCTGGGTGCCGTGGTGGACACCTGTGGTCCCAGCTACTCAGGAGACTGAGGCAGAATAATCACTTGAACTCAGGAGGCAGAGGTTGCAGTGAGCCGAGATTGCACCACTGCACTCCAGCCTTGGGACAGAGAGAGACTCCATCTCAGAAAAAAAAAATAAAGAAAAAAATAAAAGAAAAAAGTACACCAGACCCAGAATTGCTTAATTTGTTTAACTTATTCTCATATGCTTTATGCTACATGCCAAAGAGTTGAGATAGCTGGTCATGTACAGTGACATTGTCTGTCATCATTTGCTCATTTGGGAATATTTAAACAATTAAAAATTGACAATGGACCTGCTTATACTAGTCATACCTTTCAAAATTTCTTACAGCTTTGGGCTATAACACATAAAACAGGAACTCCTTATAATCCTAGCGGATAAGGCATTAAAGAATGGGCACATCAAACACTACAACGCATGTTGAAAAGACAAAAAAAGGGGGTATAGGAGGCCAGCTACCACCTCAATCAAAACTACATTTAGCCTTGTGTACTTTAAATTTTTTGACTCCTGGTAAGAATGGTGAGACTCCAGCAGAAAGACATTGGCAACTGTTAGGAGAAAAGAGAAAAGTTGGTCTGAAAGTGTCATGGAAATCCCCAGAAGAAGGACAATGGAAAGATACAGTGGATTCTCTGATGTGGGGAAGAGGGTACGCTTGTGTGTTTACAGGAGATGGACAAACCACGTGGGTACCCTCAAGATGTGTGCAACCACAGAACAGGAGATGGAGGAACCCAGGGTGGCCAACCATGGGCCCAGTCATTCCAGTAAGAGCCATGATCCAGCTGGGCCTGAGTGCATAGATGGAGAGAAGGCTGACCAGAGTCAAGACACAGTTCTAATGCTATGTTTTCTGTAAAAGTGGATGGACCACCAGTCAGATAATGAGGGCTGCCCAGCCTGGCCTTACATTCTTTCAATTAATACATAAACAAAAAGGGGGATATGCAGGGAGCTGAAGGCTGATGGGATGTGACAAATTCAGCATTCTGCTAGAGGCTATATAATCAAACAGCAAACTATTTATCATGAATGCAGGATGTGGGCAAATCCACACTGCCCTGCCAACAAAAGGTTTGCTGAGGGACATCACTCCCTGGTGCAGCTCCTTGAAGTTATCTACTGAGAAAATCAGTGCCTATTGTTCAAAGGATGAAGCTCAAGCCTTCTGTGAACCAAACGGCTGACTTACAACTACCTGACAATCACCCCCCAACTTCCTCACTATCTATTTTTCCTAATAAATACAGAGGGCTGTGTAAAGCTCAGAGCCCTTGTCCAATAGAGGTAAGGTGACCCCTGACCCCTTCTTCCAAATAAACTCCTTTGTCTCTTGTCTCTTATTACCATGTTCACCCTCTCTTTGTTCAGTCCACAAGGGTCCATGCATGTTTCATCATTTGAGGTGGGTTCTTTTTTTTTTTTTGAGATGAAGTCTCACTCTGTTGCCCAGGCCGGAGTTCAGTGGCACAATCTCGGTTCACTGTAAGCTCCATCTCCCAGGTTCATGCTATTCTCCTGCCTCAGCCTCCTGAGTAGCTGGGCCTACAGGCACCTGCCACCACAACCAGCTAATTTTTTGTATTTTTAGTAGAGATGGGGTTTCACTGTGTTGAGGTCAGGAGTTCTAAATCAGTATGGCCATCATGGTGAAACCCCATCTCTACTAAAAATATAAAAAATAGATGGGTGCAGTGGTGGGATCCTGTAATCCAAGCTACTCAGGAGGCTGAAGCAGGAGAATTGCTTGAGCCTGGGAGGTGAGGTTGCAGTAAGCAGAGATTGCTGAACTGTACTCCAGCTTGAGTGACAGAGTGAGACTCCATCTCAGGAAAAAAAAAAAAAAAAAAAAAAAGATGTGACAATTGGCATGTCTCCATGCAGTGCCAGGTGTCACTGGGGGTCAGCAGGGCTGAAGGGGCATGCAAAATACCCCAGGTTGACAATCATTGCATTGGTTATTCAAGTAGACTAAAAACTAATACAGTAGTTACAAAGTATCCTATCAAGGGGGGAAATATTGTCATCCCTGGGGAATTTCTTGGTGTCATGAATTATCTGGCTGCACCTCAGACATACAGTATTAGAATCTCTGGGACAGTGCCCAGTGATCTGTGTTTTTCAAGCCCTCTAGACACTTCTGATATTCTCTCAAGTTCAAGACCAATTGTGTTAGAATCATGTGCTATATAGCACTCCACACTAGTATTTTCAAGGGAGGAGAGAAGGTGGGAAGAAAAGCAAAAAGAAAATGAGCAAGGCACCAGGGCCTAAACCTGTAATCCCAGCAGTTTGGGGGCCAAAACAAGAAAACCGCTTGAGGCTAAGCATTTGAAACCAGCCTGGGCAACATAGCAAGACCCTTTCTTTTAAAACAAACAAGAATTAGCCAGGTGTGATGATGCATATCTGTAGTCCCAGCTACTAGGGTGGTTGAGGCAGGAGGATTTCTTGAGCTGAGGAGTTGGAGGCTGCAGTGAGCTGTGATCATGTCAGGCACTCAAGCCTGGGTGACCAAAGCAGGACCCTGTCTCTAAAACATGAAAGGGAGGGAGAGAGGGAGGGAGAGAGAGAAAGAGAGAAGAGTATAGGAAAAGAAAGAACAGAAGAAGGAAAGTCAAATCAGTCCTTACAAATCCCCAGAGATTGTTTCAGTTACCTGTAGGGAATAGGTATTAGGTGAGATGAAGATGAAAATACAGTCTCCAGATTATAACTCAGTGTGTTTTGTGCTATTTATCTATAAAGTGCAGCTCTGAGTTGCATGACTTGAGAGAAGAAAAGAGATCTGGCTTACATTTTAGTTGTCTTTGATTAAAACAATTAAGAATGCTCTGAGTCATCTGGTTTTTCAAGCCAGTACTCACTGGCTAGAAAAGTATGTGCAATTTAATCTGTTGCATAGCTCTTCCTAAGATACATGACTAGACTATTGTTGAATGCAAAAAATAAATTTCTAAATTTATCGACCATGAATTAGGAATTAAGTTTTCCTGGTGGAAGTGTGTATGAGATTCACTTTGCTGCTACAAAAAGTTACTGCAAACCTAGTGGCTTAAGAAAAAACACACATTGATTCTTTCATCGTTCTGGAGGTTAGAAGTCTGAAATCAGTCTTAAGCAGCTAAATTCAAGGAGTTGGCATGGCTGGTTCTTTATGAAGTTTCCAAGGAGAATCTATTCCTTGGCTTTTCTAAATTCTGGAGTCTACCTTGACTCATGGCCATTTCTCCTGTCTTCTTTGACATTCTTGTCTATGTCTCATAAGGATCCATGTGATAATAGTAAGACCGTTTGGATAATAGAAGATGATCTCTCATCTTGACGCACTTAACTTCATGAGATCTGCGAAGGTTTTTGTCATGTAGGCTAACATACTGAGCTACCAGAAGTCAAGAAGTGGATGTCTTTGAGGAAAAAGTGATCCAATCTATTACAGAAAGTCAGATTCATCCCTTTCCTAGAAGCCACTACGAATTCAAGTACAGCACCTGCAGTTTCCTCTGGAGGTCACTGTTGATCCAAGCTGATGGTGAGGCATTTTGTTCCTAAGTCATGGTGCATTTCTACCGCATCTTTCAGGAAATCCAGACAGGCCATCCTTTGGAATAAGTACATCATGCTGTATTTCTGGCCACCACAGTCACAAATAAAAGAGAGACAGGGGCAAGGAAGAAGAAAGGAAGGAGTTGCTTGCTTTGTGATCATAGCAGCATGTTAGTGATGCATTTCAAGTTTGTGACAATGATTATAATCAAAGGTATAGATGTGAGAGCCTCCACCCTAATCATAGTTAGGTTATTTACTATCCCAGGCAAAGTGCCATAATCTCCTTGGGCTTTCATTTCCTCACAAGTAAGATGGGGATAAGAGTCACTTGAGGATGTCATTGTTGTGATTTAATGAACTAATGAAAGGAAAATCTTTAACAAGGTGTCTGTAACCTTGTAAGCAGTCAAGAAATGAATACCATTTTTTGTTTTTTGTAGGGATTTAAATGCCACCAACTCAAGCTGTCATATCTTTGCTGTTTATTATTCACAATTTATTATTAGAACATTGCTTTCAAGTGCCTTCGAAGTAGTAGGTCTTTGCAATAAAAATAGTAGCAAGCCTCAGTGACTGATCTCAACAGGTAAGTTCCTGATAAAAAAAGATCAGAGTAGATTTAATTAGGAAACATTCATGCACCAGTCATATTCCATGGGCTTGTAATTGAACTGGAAGTAAAGGAAAATATGTAAACTGTCTTCCTGCATCGATTGCATGTCTCCAACAGCCAAGCTCACGAAGGATTTTCTTCTGGGAATTACATTTGCAGTAAGGAGATCTGGAGCTCATACTGTGCAAAAGTATGCACCCAGCCTCCATTTCATCCTACAGACCGCACCTACTTCAGGGACAACATTTTACACACCCTAGGTGGAGAGGGAATTACTTTAAAATAAAACTTACATGCTTCCATTAATAAAGCAATGTAACTTCACATAAAAAATCTGTAAAATTGCCATTACAGAGAAGAAAACAGATTTTTTCAGCATTTCTTTACTAAATCAACAAGATGTATTAGTTTACACATTTTATTATATTTATCTTTAGCAATGTTTATCTCATAATTTGCATAATGCAGAGGATACAAGCCCTCTATGAAGAAAGACATAAAGAGGAACTTAATGATGGTAAAATTTCCCAGTAGTCGTTTTATTTTTTGTCTTCCTGGTCTACTTTTCCAATTATGGAGGTCATTTTTGTAATTTAAATTATCCAATGAAAAAAGTATGACTCCACTTTCTTATGAATGGTGAGGCTTTCCTCATTTTAAGAAATATGGATTAAGCACCTACAAGCACCCAGACTGTTTCAGATGTCAAGGACAAGAATAAGCAGCTTACTCATCAGTTTCAAAGGGAAATTGCAATACTCTCCAATTTCAGTATTCAGTCCTTTACTTGGCTTCCTTAATAAATGATGATATATTGTTTCTAATATAAGCTCCTTTAAAGACTCGTTACTATTTCTGCAGGAAAAAAGCAAAACAAACAAATAAACAAAACAATGGACAATAAAATCTCTTTTAATGCTTTTTTATTTTTATAATTTATCTTTATATTAAGGGAGAAAGAGAATTTCAATTTGTTTATTTGTTTTAGTCATTACTGCCTTATATATCTGAAAGGTGTAAGGTTAGCTGAAAGAAAGGACAAGAGAGAGAGGGACCCAAGGTGAGGCAATTAAGTTTATTAACCTGCTGGGCTGCTCCACCATAGTTAGAGATAGCCCTGAGCTTACAAAATGAGGGATTTATATGGGAGAGGGAGACCCTGGGGTTGTTTGTCAGTTAACTTTACCACATATCATCTCATGATCAGATTATAGTGTATTATGTTGTGTAAATAATATTTACAAGAGGGTGTAACTTAGATTTACCCACATTTCTCATGACCTCCCCTGTGCTGCCTGGAAGGCTGTAATAGCAAGCCTGGTGACCTTGCTGTGGTGCCTAGATAAGGGTTCAGGAATGCAGCAGTAGAGAATTCAGGGTAAGGGTCAGCTGCATTCTTGGGGGTGGGAGGTTCCTGAGGCAGTTTCTCCCTAACATTCCAGCCTTTTAATAGATAATAGTCTTCTATTAAGGTCACCCAAATGGCCAAATTTAAATGGCTTGTCCATTTTTCAGGATGCCCAAAGGTCATCACCAGCTCTTTAGTAACCAAACATTCAGGATTTTGTAATGGCAGACATATGAGTCTTATGACCATTCAATGGGGTGCCATTGTCATCTGGATGCTTCTTTCTGGATAGGGGTGACAGTTGTTGGGAGAGGCTGGGTGGTAGGGACTGCCAGCCCAGGAGTTAAAGAACCACTGGAGTGAGGAGTCCAAAAGGTGCTGCATGATTTCAGTAGCCTTTTCATTTAACCACTGGGCCGCATCTCATACTAGTCCTGACTTGTTAGTATAGAAACAGCAATCTTCTAAAGAGATGCACAGTCCGCCTTTTTCAGCAGTGAGGAGATCTAAACCTTGATGGTTTTGAAGTGTCACTGCTGCTAAAGAGTCTATTTGGGATTGGAGAGTAAGGATTGATTTAGCTATGTCTTACAGGCTGTCTGAGAGATCTTTTGAGAGAGCCTGATAGTAGTACAAGGAAGTGGACAAGGCTGCTATCCCTGTTCTTGTTGCAGTGGTAATTCCTAGTACTACAAGCAGGGGTATTAGCTGTATGGCTCTGCATTTATGGTCTTGAGCTTTAATAGGGACTGGTAAACCCTGGTTTCCTGGGAAAATGTCAATTTTGGGGCTTAAGGAGACCAGGGTGGAGGTGCCAGTCCATTTGGGGGCAGACATAGGTTGAAGTTCCACACAAGAAAAATACACCCTGGCTGGGCAGAGAGAACTGGTTGTGTATATTGAAAAGGTGTGTGAGTTTATTGTTTTTATTTTCCCACACACATAGAATGCTGGCTAAGGTGGCTCCAGTAAGTGGCTGAAAAGGAGTTTTAGGGGTCATTTGAGTGGCTCCTTGTGTTTTATTCTCCCATTGGAGAAATAATCATTTTGTGTCTACTAGAGTTATTCAGAGGAGTAATTGCAAGAGAGTATACTTAGGCATTTGGCAAGGAGAAGAGACAGGCTACAAGGGGTCTATGGGTGAATGGTCATACAGCTCATATGTCTGCCATTACAAAATCCTGAATGTTTGGTTACTAAAGAGCTGGTGATGACATTTGGGGGTCCTGAAAAATGGACAAGCCATTTAAATTTGGCTGTTTGGGTGACCTTAAAATGTTGGTGGTACTTTGAGGCCTGAAGCTCTAAGGTATAGTTACATTGATGGGATACTAGATGACCTAAAGGCAGACCTGAGGACAGGTTGTGTTGAATACACACGAGTCTTGAAAAGTTAGACCGGTGTTGGTGGACATAGGGCCGTGAATGGGCTGTTATTACTTGTATATTAGATAAGATTGGAGATATAGGAGTATAAAAGTTGTACTTTGTGCCCTGTCAGAGTGTTTTTTTGTCATGTCTATGACAGAAAATTTGGCTAGTGACTGCATGTCTAAAATTTGGAATGGGTTTTTCCTTCATAACGGGGGTGATAAGTTAATTTAGTAAAAACCCAGTTTTTTGAGGGAACGGGGTTGGCAACATAGGTGGTAGTTGATAGGGAAATGTAGAGCTAGCAGTCTTTTTGTAGGATGGGGTTGGACTGGTTTAGTAGGGAGTGAGTTAAGGGTCTTACAGAGGTAGTTGTGTACTATTGGAAGGGTAGGTGTGGCTATGTGGGGCAGCTAAAGGAGTAGGAGAGGTAGATAGACAGAGTGAGTGGAAAAGTAAATAAGTGCATTTCATCTGGGGAAAAGTCGCATAGGGGGCTTGGAAGATACCGTCATCTATCCACTCTAAAAGATAGTTGAGAATGGGAGTTTGGGGATGAAACCAGGAGATGTCTTGGCAAACAGAGGTGAGGAAGAGGGTGAAGTGGCAAGGTAGGCAGGAACAGGGCATTTGAGAGAAATTGGGAAAGTACTTGTGATTGTCAGGAAGAGAAGGAAGAGTCTGGGTATTGTTCAGAGGTCTTCTTCAGGATGGACGTGAGACGGAGTTTGGATGGGCTAAGGAGAGTACTGAAGAATGGATGGAGGATGGCAGTGAGTGGGTCAGTGGGTGCTTCGGGGGCTCTTTTTAATCTGGAAAGATGGTACCAAGCAATATGACCTGAAAGTTTAGCTGCAGTGGGGGTAGTGAGAAGAACTTGAAAAGGGCCTTCCCACTTTGGTTCAAGGATTGTTGGTTTAAGAGCTTTTAGGAAGACATGCTCTTCTGGAATGAGGGTTTGGTTCGTGGGGCCTTCATCAGGTTTTGGGATGGCCTGGTTATCTTGTTCGTGGAGGAGATGACAGATGAAGGAGAGTGTTGAGAGGTGTTCTCCTAGCTGAGAGTTAGAAGAGTGCCTGTTTTGTAAGAGGAAAGGGTGTCCATACATTATCTCATATGGACTGAGGAAGGAGGGTGTTTTGGACTGGCTCTGATGTGAACCAGTGCTATGGGCAAAAGGCAGGTCTATGCTTTTTGGACCTCAAGAGGGGGTTTGGTTAACTAAGCCTTAAGAATCCCGTTTGCCCTTTTGACTTTTCTGAGTGACTGGGGTCGATATGGGATATGGAGGCGCCACTGGATGCTGAGGGACTAAGAAACCTGTTGGGTGATTTGGGAGATGAAGCTAGGGCCATTGTCTGATTGTGTGGAGCTAGGAAGGTCAAATCTAGGGACGATTTCCATCATAACAATTTGGGAGACTTCTGCAGCCTTTTCTGAAGAGGTAGGAAATGATTCTACCCACCTAGAGAAGGTGTCTATAAGAGTAAGAAGAAATTTTGTCCTCTTGATGGGAGGCATGTGGGTGAAGTCTACATCCCACTCCTTCCCTGGGAGAGTTCCCCTGAGGTGATGTGTAGGGATAGGGGAAGAGTGGAGGGCCCCTTGGGAGAAAATAACAGAGCATAGACAACAGTTTGAGGTTATAGATCTTAGTGAGATGAATAGATGTGTGGAGGAAAAATAAGGGTGAAGGAGTAGGTACAGGGGGCACACACTGATATGGAAGGATTGGTGAAGAGATGTCAGAATTTCTTTAGTTTGCTCTTGGGGGAGGATGAGCTTTTGATTTTTCACTATCTAGTCTCCTTGAAAGGAGGCTCCTTTCTGTAGTAGTGAAGCTTTCTCGGTAGGAGAGTACTTGGATTGGATTGCTGGGGTAATGAGGAGGAGAGGGGCAGGGACAGAAGAAAGGGAGGCTTCTTTTGTTTCCTCATCAGCCTGTCTCTTCCCTCTTCAGATTTCCTCTGATCCTGTTTGATGTCCTCAACAGTGCATAACTCCTGCTTTAGCTGGGAAGTGTGCAGCCTGAAGGAGTTTGTAAATAAAAGGGCCATTAGTGATGGGGGTTCCTTTGGCAGTAAGGAATTCTCTCTCTTGCCAGTTGGCAGCGTGGGAATGAAGAATGTGATAGGCATATTTAGAGTCTGTATAAATGTTGACTTATTTGCCTTTGGAAAGTGGTAGAACCCAGGTGGGAGCTATGAGTTCTGCTCTTTGAGAGGAGGTTCTCGGCAGTAGAGGCTTGGCTTAAGTTTACTCAGTCAAGGGAAAGAACTACATATCCAGCAATTCTAGGGGAGCTGGTGGGCCCAGAAGAGGAGCCATCTATGAATAGTTGATCATCAGATTTGGTGAGAGGCTCCAAGGAAATGTTTGGAAAATTTGTGTCTAGGTGGTCCAGGATGTCAGTTCAAGAGTAAGGAGAAGAAGAGAATACAGGGAGTAAGATGCTGGGTTGAAGGGAGCACTTTTCCCAAGACTAAATTCGGGATTTTTGATAAAGAGGGCATGGAGTAATTTGGGAAGGTGGAAGGGAGCTTAATGCTCAGGAAGAGAAGAGGTCTTGTAGATTATGAGAACTTTGGGCAGCAGTATTCTGGCTGAAGTTTAGTTTCCTGCTTTCTAGAGCTAAAACAGCTGCTGCTGTTAGTGCTTTAAGGTAGGTTGGCCACTCTTTGACTGTGTTATCTAGTTGTTTAAAGAGATAAGCTACAGGGGAGAAAGAAAGAGGATTTCCTTTCTGTTTTTGTAAGACACTGAGGGCTATTCTTCAGCTTTCAGCAGTATAGAGAGTGAAAGGCTGGGAGATATCAGTAAAGACAGAATTGGCACAAAGAGAAGAGCAGTTTGGAGTTTGTGGAAGCTGGGGAGTATGTTATGTGAGGGGTTTAGGGGTTCATTGAGAGGGCCTTTGACCACTTCATAGAGTGGGTGAGCTATGAGAGCAAAGTTGGGAATCCATACTCTAAAAAAGACTGATAGCCCTAAGAAGGGAAGGATTTTGCTTTTGGAGGAAGGTGGGGCTAGAATATCAGTGTTGCTTGGGCTGGATCATAGCCCAGGTCCCAGGGGAAAGTTGAATTCCTAAATAGGTCAGCAGGGAGGTGGAGAGTAGTGTGCAGTTTTGAAAGGATGTCTCTGCTAGGAGCGGAGTTGGACATGAGAGCAGGACTAAGAAAAGTGAGTAAAGGAAAACATGTGCAGGGAGCAGAAGAGTGGAGGGGTGGCTCAGGGTTTGGAGACTTATCCATCAATTCCTACAACAGAGACCTGGGAGGACTTAGTGTGTCCTGGAAAATTAGGTAAAGCAAAGTAGGTTGTCCCAGTAATACTTTTTTAAAAAACATACTGGCCTACCTGCCACCATCAGAGTTACCCTCAGCTCAGACAAAGAGAAGGTAGTTGCCAGGGCATCAATTCCAGGGCACCATCAGTCCTCAGTGGCAAGGCCAATAAGATCTGAATAGGAGGTTTTGGCTGGCTCAGGAAGGGATGGAGCAGTCCTTTCAGGGTTCATTCACCATCTGACTTCCAGTGGGGTCTTCCACAGAGTGAGGCATGGCTTGGTGAGCTCACCTGGGTTTGGGCATTGTCTAGATTAGTGGCCTTCACTGACACACGTGAAGCAGGCACTAGGTAGAGGTGAATTACTAGGAGGCTTTCATGTGGAGCTGAAGCCCCATGGGCCTGCAGGGCCTCTGATAGAGGACTTGAAACTGCCTGTTTTTGCCTTTTACTTTCCTCATCATGATTCTTAAAGACTTTGAAGGCTAAATTAAGAAGGTCTCATTGTGGTGTTTGAGGGCCATCGTCAAGCTTCTGAAGCTTGCGCCAATTTTGGGGGGTGGTTTGGGAGTTAAACTGAAGGTTTAAAATAGTGGTTCCTTCTCAGGAGGCAAGGTGGCCATGAGTAGATTTTTAGAAAGCCTCTGTAAGGCAGGGAAGAAATTGGGCAGGGTTTTTATCTGCTTTCTGGGAGATTTCTTTGAGTTTTTCAAAGTTTACAGCTTTATGAACAGCTTTGTTAAGACCTGCAATGAGGCGAGTAACCCTATATGATTACGGAATGCTAGCCTGGGGTCTGTGGGTTGGTACTTCCAGGAAGACTTTTCCTGGGGAAATGCAGCGCCTCCTACGGTTGTAGTAGGATCCTGTCATTGAAGGCAACTGGCATGTGCCTGAGCTGCAAGCCAAACTTTTTCTTCTCTTCCGGGAGGAGGGTAGAAGACAGAATAATATAGAGATCATGCCAAGTAAGTTCATAAGATTGGGTGAGATATTTAAATTATTTGATGTAAGTATCGGGATCAGAGGAGAAGAACTTGAGACATTTTACCAAAATAAGTCCTGTTGCAGGAAATAAGTGAGTTTCACAGCTTTCTGAGCCCCTACTCGACCCAGGAAGCCCAGATGATACCTCCTTTCATTTTGGTGCCTTAATATTATCAAGGCTTGCACAATGAGTCTTGACATGCATGTGTTCTGGAGTAACTAGAAATTCTAGTTACTTAGAGTTGGGTAAAAGAAGCTTGGTACCCTCTACCAGTTAAGACCACTTTTTGCTTGTTGTGGCCCTTGATGACAGACACAGGCACCCTGCTCCAAAGCCTGGGGCTTTACAGGTTACCTAGGATGGCCCTGGAAGCTTCTGGGATGGGAGAGGCCTCCTTGGGCTATTCCTAGTGTGTCTGGAATTTGTTCCTTCTGTTGGATTCTTGGTCTTGCTGACTTCAAGAAGGAAGCCACAGACCCTCACAGTGAGTGTTACAGTTCTTAAAGATGGTGTGCACAGAGTTTTTTCCTTCAGATGTTCAGATGTGTCCAGAGTTTCTTCCTTCCAGTGGGTTCGTGGTCTTACTCGACTTCAGGAGTGAAGCCGCAGACTTTCACACTGAGTGTTACAACTCTTAAAGGTGGCACGTCCAGAGTTGTTTGTTCCTCTTGTTGGGTTCGTGGTCTCGTTGACTTCAGGAGTGAAGCCACAGACCTTCACAGTGAGTGTTACAGCTCATAAAGATAGTGCAGACCCAAAGAGTGAGCAGCAACAAGATTTATTGTGAAGAGCAAAAGAACAAAGCTTCCGCAACATGGAAGGGGACACGAGTTGGTTCCTGCTGCTAGCTCAAGTGGCTCCACACACATCCTGCTGATTGGTCCATTTTATAAAGAGTTGATTGGTCTGTTTTACAGAGTGCTGATTGGTCTGCTTTACAGAGGGCTGATTGGTCCATTCTTATGGAGTGCTGATTAGTGTGCTTATAAACTTTTAACTGACACAGATCACTGATTGGTGCATTTACAATCCTTTAGTTAGAAAAGTTCTCCAATACCTTACCTGATTAGCTAGACACAGAGCACTTATTGGTGCATTTAAAAACATTTAGCTACACACAGAGTGCTGATTGGTGCATTTAAAATCCTTGAGCTAGACAGAAAAGTTCTCCAAGTCCCCACCCCACCCAGAAGCCCAACCGGCTTCACCTCTCAATACCCCCTCTAAATAGGACACTCCAACTGATGTTGGGAATTAGGCTGATGACTGCTCTAGCTAATTCCTGCTGGACAGGAGCAAAGAAGGGGCCCTGAAGTTGTAGGGTCCTCCACAGGGGAACTCTTTAGGCCAGTGAAAGGGCCAGTGGGTCAATCCAGGGGTCCTCAGTAGCAGTTGTTAGTTGAGCTCATTTAGGATTCCATTTGCAAGACCATCTGTAGCTTGATGGCCTTGATTCTAGAGGAAACAAATTTGACAAGGAGGTTAAAAATACAGGGCCCAAAGGTGAGTAATAGCAAGATGGCTGCCACAGGACCTAGAAAGGGGAGAATCCATGTTGCCCAACTCCAGATGTTGATATAAGAGTTTGAAAGGTGTCTGACTTCAGAGGCCTTTTCCTGTAAACATGGGGCAGCATCTCATACTATCCCTGACTGGTTAATGTAAAAACAGCAATCTTCCCCAAAGAAGGTGAGAGTCCTCCTTTCTCAACAGTGAGGAGGTCTAGGCATCAGTGGCTTTGGAGAGTCACTGCTGCCAAAGAGTCTATTTGGGATTGTAGAGTAGCGATAGATTTTGTTATTTCTTACAACTATCTAAGAAATCCTTTGAGAGTGTGTGATAGTGGATAATGAAGTAGATAAACTGGCTATTCCAGTTCCTGTAGCAGTAGCCATTCTTAACCCTATAAGTAGGAGTATTAGTTGTATGACTCTGTGCTGATGGACTTGAGCTTTGAGGAGTACTGATAAGGTCTGATGTCCTGGGGCAATGTTAATGTTGGGACTTAGAAAGACTAAAATGCAGATGCCGGTCCAGTTAGTGGGGAGACAGATATAGGTCAACAGATATAGTGGGGAAACAGATATATTCCATGTAAGAATATACCTTGGCTGGGTAGACACAACTGGTTGTGTGTGTTAAAAAGGTGTGTGAGTTTGTTGTTTTCATTTTCCCATACTCCTAGAGTACTTGCCAAGGTAGCTCTGGTGAGTGGCTACAAAGGGTGTTGGGAGCAAACTGAGTGGCTCCCTGTGCTCTATTTTATTTTTATCCTGGCAGGAGCTACCGTATGTAGTCCTATGACAAAAATTATGGTTAGTATGCTGTTCAATAATATGACATAATAGTAAAAGGATTCCATTAAAGGGGCAAGGAGAGGTGTTAAAGATAATGCATATGTAGGTTTTCATTTATCTTTTTTAAGGAGGAAGGGTTTTTCTTCAGGATCGGTGGTAGAAGCCTTTTTAGTCTGGGATATTTCCTTCTGAAATAGGAGACGCAAGTCCTCCAATGGTTAGCAAGTCCTCCAAAGGTTTATCAAGGCTGCCCTGGCTAATCTGGGGACTCATGAGCTGATAGACCCACAGGTGCCTCAGGGTATGTTTCCCATTCTACTAGATGAGTATTTGCTCTCTGAATCTCCTTGGTTAGAGTATATAGGGGCTGGTCTATCTTGCTGTATCTGGGGATCCATAGTTAGCCAAAGCTGGTGATTCTAAGGAACTGCCACAACGGTTTTAATGTCTTAGAGTGAGGATAAGCCAGTATAGGCTTTATTCATTCCTTACTGAGGGCTCTGATCCCTCTGGTCAAGATTAGGCCTAGATATTTGAACTGCTGTAAGCAAATCTGGGCCTTCCACATAGACACTTTTTACCCTTGGTCAGCTGGAAAGTTCAAGAGATCTAGAGTAGCCTGCTGGCATGAGGCTTAGGAACTGGTAGTCAAAAGTGAATCATCCACATACTGAAGGACCAGAGTGCCTGGACTTGAGAAGTGGCCTAGATCTTGGGCCAGTGCCTGACCAAACAAGCAAGGCCTATCCCTAAACACGTGGGGCAAGATCTTCCATGTAAGTTGGGATGTGTGGTTTGTGGGATCCTCAAAGGCAAAGAGAAACTGGGAGTCAGAGTGCAGGGGAATACAGAAGAATGCATCCTTTAGGTCCAGAACAACAAACCATTCTGCTTCTCTGGTGTTTGAGAGAGCAGAGTATAGGGGTTTGGTACAACTGGACATAGAGGAATTACTGCCTCATTGATGAGTCTAAGATCTTGCAATGGTCTGCACTGACTGTTCCGCTTTTATACTCCTAGAACTCAGGTGTTGCATGGACAGCTGCATTTCCTTACTAAATCTTGAGCTTTTAAATGTTTAACAACATCCTGTAATTCTTTATGAGCTTCAGGCCTTAAGGGATATTGCTTTCAATAAGGAAAACTGGTGGGGTCTTTTAGCCTGATTTGGACTGGGTGGGCATTTTTTGCCCTTCCAAATTGTCTTTCCAATGCCCAGACTTCAGGATTGTTTCCCTCCTCAAAAGGGGACAACCAATGGGTAACTTGTTCCCCATATTTATGTAGATAATAGCTCCAGCTTTCGCCAATATATCCCTCCCTAATAAGGGTGTGGGACCTTCAAGCATAACAAGAAAGGCATGTGAAAAGAGTAAAGTCTCCCAATTACAACTGCGGAGGTGGGAGAAATACGTGGTAACAGGCTGTTCCAGGATTCCTTGGATGGTAACAGACCTTAAAGACAGTTGTCCAGGACAGCAGATTAGCACTGAGAAGGTGGCACCAGTGTCCAGCAGGAAGTCAATTTTTTGGCCCTCAATGGTTAAACATACCCAGGACTCAGTGAGGGTGATGACATGAGCTGGTGCTTGTGCTGGGCACCCTCATTACTGTTGTTGGATCATCTGGTTGAGGGCTTCTGGCCCAGAGAACCATTGCATTCTGGGGGCAGTGCACCTTCCAGTGATTGTCTCAGCATAGTGGACATGGATGGAGGGGGGGCTTGTTTCTTACTGGACAATCTTTTTTAAAGTGTGCTTGTAAACCACACTGATAGCAAGCCTTACTAGGTGATTGGCCTTCTCCATTTTCTGTCATTTCTGAACCACCAAAGTTTGTTAGTCTGAGGGACGTGACTAAGGCTGCGGCCTTTCTCTAATCTCACTTTTCCTTTTGGGCCTGTTCCTCTTGGTCCCTATTATAGAAAACTGAAGCTGCCAGGTTTAGTAATGCCTCCAGATTTTGTTCAGGGCCCAGGGCTTTCTTTTGGAACCTTCTCCTGATACCTGTGGCTGATTTGGTAATAAACTTATCTTTTAGAATCAATTGACACTGTAGTGAGTCAGGCAACAGGGGATTATATTTTCTTAATGCCCCTTGTAGCCACTTGAGGAAGGCAGAAGGACTTTCTTCATTTCCCTGAGTTATGGTGGACATCATTGAATAATTCATGGGCTTTTCCTAATTCTCCTTAGTCCTTCTAGAACATAGGTCAACAGATGCTTATGACTCCAGTCCCCATGATCTGAGTCAAAGTCTCAGTAGGGATGCATACTGGGGATGGCTTGCTGACTGGTAGAGAATTTGTCCCTTTCTTCAGTTGTCATTCTATCATTTACTTCATTAAGATACCAGGTACCTCCAAACTCTCAGGCTGCAGCTAAAGCTGCATTCTTTTTTTAAAGGCCAGGGTTTGATCTAACAATAGCATGACATCTCTCCAAGTGAGATGGAAGATTTTCCCTAGACACTGTAGGACATCCATGTACCTATCAGGATCATCTGAAAACTTCCCCAGGCCTGTCTTGATCGGATTTCAATCAGAGAGAGATAAGGGGACATGTACTAGGGTTTAGCCAAATTCCCCTCGCCCTACAGCTTGAAGGGGACATAACCAATAGCCTGGGAGATTTTGTGGTCCCTTGGAGATTTCTTTGCTTATTTCCTTCTGGATGGGGAAGATTAGAGGAGGCATATCATTAATAGCAAGGGGAGCTATAGGGAGGCTAGGATATGGGGGTAAGCTGAGAGTTCCTCCCATGGGATGTAAATTGCAAGCTTTGCATAGTTGTGGATCCTTCTTCAGTGAAAAGAAAACTTGGACATAAGGCATTTCACTCCATTTGCCTTCCCTCTTACAGAAAAGCTCAATCTGTAGGACAGTATTGTAATTTATACTTCCCTCAGGTGGCCATTTTTCCCCATCAAAGAGAGAATACTGGGCCAAGCCATAGTGTAGAAAAAAATGAGAGGCCTCTTTAGCAGTGTTTGTGGGTCAAATTCATCCCAATGGCTTAGGATGCCTTTCAAGGGTGAGACTGTTGGTGCCTGAGTGTTTCCTATCTCAAGACAAAACCACCCATGGTTTTGGTTTGTTTGTTTCTCCCCCTGCCCAAGAACCCACAATGGTCCCTGGACCCTGCTGATCAGAAAAGTTGCACTCACTGATGCAGCAGCAGAAACACGAGTTTTCCTCTTAGACCACAAGGAAGGTCAGATTTAGTGGTCCTTAACAATGCATTCTCAAAAACCTGCACCCTTGCCTGTCCTGCTAGACCACAAAGAGGACCAAGAAATATCGGATTTTGTGGCCCTTACTGAACGTTCTCAAAAACCTGTTAAGCATTCTCCTGTTAGTAATGGGATGTTACCCCTGCCCTATAAAGATGTTATGCCCCAAAAATGAAGTGGAGGGCCATACCCTGAGGGATGGAAGGAATCTCCAGAGTTGGAAGAGTGATGCCTTTTTTCCTCATTTATATGAATAGGAAGGATACAATTTCTGAGGCTCCTCATATCCTAGCTTCAGGAATAGCTTTTGTTAGGCATACTTGTCTGAGAAGGGATCATAAAATTCTATCTAGTACTCCATACACTGGAGCTTTGGGCAAAAATTATGTCTTTCTGATTAGTGAGCCCACTTGCCTAAAGAAGGTAACAGAGTCCTGAAGTTTATACTAGAAATCATTCTTACAAGAGAAACTAGAAAAGCACCAGAGACAGGGAGTGGTTTTTAGAAGGAGGACTAGCCTTGAAGAAAAGAGCTGAGAGGAAGTTTGTCTGACAGGCATTAGGACCTAGGAGGCAAGGGTCAGGATAGATAGTATAGATGGGCAAGTCTCGCTTGGGCATCATGACTTTGAGAGTTCAGCTTATGACCGCAGGTTCAACCAATTTGTTGTTGGGACCCTGGAGCTGAATGGCTTTCCTCTCTGTTGACCCTCACCTCAGCCCAGAAGTACAGGAAAAGCAGGAAGCTGGTTCCAGCAAACCAACGCTCCCAACTCCAAAGAGTAGAGGGTTGTTAGAGAGCCCTTTCCCAGAAAGCCTGACACCAGTGTCTTCAGTCCAGTGGCTGCACTATTCTCTTTTAACTGGCTGACAGATGCCCAGTATTTAGACCCTGAATTCTAAGGAAAAATAGGACAGAATAGCAAGCAAAAGGGGTCTAATGGTGTTCACCATTTGGTGATAGTTGATTGTCCCTTTGTGTTTGCCAAAATATGGCCAGAATTGCTTCCTTCTGGTGGGTTCTTGGTCTTGCTGGCTTCAAGAATGAAGCCATGGACCCTCATGGTGAGCATTACAGTTCTTAAAAATTGTGTGTCCAGAGTTTATTCCTGCAGATGTTCAGATGTGTCCAGAGTTTCTTCTTTCTGGTGAGTTCATGGTCTCATTTGACTTCAGGAATGAAGGCGTAGACCTTTGCAGTGAGTGTTACAGCTCTTAAAGGTGGCACATCCCAAATTGTTTGTTCCTCCCATTGAGTTTGTGGTCTTGCTGACTTCAGGAGTGAAGCTGCAGACCTTCACAGTGAGTGTTACAGCTCATAAAGGTAGTGCAGACCCAAAGAGTGAGGAGCAGCAAGATTTATTGTGAACAGTGAAAAAACAAAGCTTCCACAGCATGGAAGGGGACCCGAGCAGGTTGCCACTGCTGGCTTAGGTGTCCTGCTTTTATTCCCCACTCACATCCTGCTGATTTGTCCATTTTACAGAGAATTGATTGGTCCATTTTACAGACTGCTCATTGGTCCATTTCACAGAGTGCTCATTTTTCCATTTTTACAGAGTGCTGATTGGTGCATTTACAAATCTTTAGCTAGACACAGAGTGCCGATTGGTGCATTTACAATCTTAGCTAGACTGAAAAGTTCTCCAAGTGCCCTACCCAATTAGCTAGACACAGAGCACTGATTGGTGTGTTTACAAACCTTTAGCTAGACACAGTGTGCTGATTGGTGCATTTACAATCCTTTAACTAGACAGAAAAGTTCTCTAAGTCCCCACCTGACCCAGAAGACTAGCTGGCTTCACCTCTTACTAGCATTAGAGTCTGGCCTCTGAATGGTTTGCTTGATTACTGCCAGGTGATCGTTAGTCTCCCCAGTAATAATTAAGCTGGTTGTTTTAGGTAAGGTGCACTGGGAGACAGTGTGGAGAGAAAGTGGGGGAAAATGAGGGAAGTAGCTGGAGGAACAATAGCATGAAGGGAAGATGAAAAATCCAGCAACGAAGAAATGATGGGTCAGAAAGAACACAAGAGAGCAGCCTTACATGGAAGCAGTAGACAAACATTCTATTCTACAAAGTCATTGTTGGGGGAAAAAAAGAGGCAAAAAGGATTGAGTTTTGCAATTTTATACTCTTGACAATTGAGTGATATTAACAGTTCTTATGTTATTTTCTCTTGAACTATCATTTCTTTAATTAATACTGATTGTAAACATCCTTTTGGTATATTTTTTACTCCAAGAAATCTAGTATTCCTTTGGTTGCCTTATTTAATTTGTATTCTCTTATATTATTTTCTTTTTCCTGATTATTTTGGGTTTATCTTGTTCTTTCTCTTCTGGGTTCTTAAAGTGAAAGCTATGGCTCCTTAATTTAAAATCTTCATTCTTTTTTAATATAGTTATCCAGAGACATAAATTTCTTAGTACAAGTTCAGTGTTATCCTGTAAATATGATACATTGTGCTTTCATTTGCATTTTGTTCAATTATTTTATCATTTCTGATTTTTTTGTTTGATTCTTCCATTTATAATTTATGATTGTCTTATGCAGTTTCTAATATTTGGGCATTTTCTAGATATGTTTTAATTATTGATTGTAATTTAATGCTACTGTGGTCAGAGAACATACATTGTGTCATTTGGATTTTCTTCTAATTTTTTGAAATGTATGATGTGGTTTAGCTGTCTGTCCTCACCCAAACATCATCTGGAATTGTAATCCCCACATGTGAAGGGAGTTACCTGGTGGAAGGTGACTAAATCATGGGGTTAGTTTCCCACAAGCTCTTCTCATGATTGTGAGAGAGCTCTCACAAGATCTGACGGTTTAAAAGTGGCAGTTTCCCCTGCACAGATTCTCTCTCTTCTGCTCCCTTGTGAAGAAGGTACCTGCATCCCATTTACTTTCTGCCATGATTGTAAGTTTCCTGAGGCCTCCCCAGTCATGTGGAACTGTTAGTTGATTGAGCCTCTTTACTTTATCAATTTCACTGTCTCAAGTATTCTTTATGGAAGTACAAAAAATGACTAATAAAATGTATTTCAGGTCTAAACTTAGTCTATCCTGGTAAACATGCCTCTGTCTATTTGATCATATATGCATCTTAGAGGTTAACTTCAGCATACTTACAGGACACAAAAATATTCAACTTCAAAAGGTTAAATTTTACAAGATATGGCATCCAAAGAAAAGCCTCCAGTAATGAGAAACAGTACAAAAATGTAATTAATAAGATGAAGAAAAATCAATCAAAATAGCCCCAGAAATGACACAGATGTTAGATTATGCAATGACATTAAGTAGCTATTATAACGGTATTTCATGTGTTCATAAAGTTAGATAAAAACATCAAAGATACATAAAATGCTCAAATAAAACATCTGGATATAAAATCTACAACGTGTAAATCAAAATAACATTGAACCAAGTTAACAGGAGAGTAGAGTTTGCAGGAAAAGATGACTTGTGTATTTATAGACATAGCAATAAAAACCCTACCAAACAAACAAAAAGTAGAGAAGAGAGATTTTAAAAAATGAATAGATCTATGAGCTTTAAGAATATTTTAAGTACATTAATATGAATGTAATTGGAATCCCAGAAAAAGATAAATCACAGAAACCATATTTGAAGATATAATGACAAAACATTTTTGTATTTGATGTAAACTATAATCCTATAGATTCAAGAACCTCAGCCAACATGCACCAAAACAACAAGTAAAATTCCAGCTTATAAAATTTGTAGATGATGCTAAAGCTGTATTTTGGAGAAATGCATAGTACTCCATAATCTGAGGGCTGAAAAGTGATAACTCAAGAAAACCTTACAAGCACCCAGAGAGAAAACACAGGTTACATTTCATATGTCAAAGTAATGATTCCAGCAAATTTCGAGTGAAAAATAATGCCCACTGGAAGACAGTGGAATGATGTCTCTAAAGAACTAAGGGGGAAATGTAATCTAGAATTGAATAACTACCAAAAATATTATTAAAATCAGAGAAGAAGTAGGCATGTTCAAAAATAGAAAAACAGAAATAATTGATTAGCACAGACCACACTGCAAGAAGTGGTAAGGACATCCTTCAAAAAAAGAAAAATGATACCAGGTGTGGTTATGGAAATGTGTATTTATACAAAGAAGCAAAGAACACTGGAACTTATGGCTGAAATAATAAGGTATAGAATTTTTTATATTTGTATATTATATATGTTTATAGTTTATATATACTTATATATTTAAATATTAAAATATAAATATTTGTGTATATATACACATATTTATGTATATATTTTTTCTTCCAATATCCTTTAGGTTTTCGTTGTATAGGTTGATAAAAATACCTCAACTTTAAGACTATATGTGTCAAAATGAACAAAGAAGCAATTAAAGAGTATTTTGCCCTTAGATGAGTAGCTAAGCAATTTCATTTTTTATTAAATTTCAAGTTGACAGTTTCTGTTAAGCTTTGCCATAACTGCAATAACTTTGCCTGTCAGGTTATTTGCAGTTTGTTGCGACTGATATAAATGATGTGGCCAGACAATTTATAGAAGTCAGGCAATTAATCAAAATGTTGAAAACATTTTTACTAAAAAGTCAATCAATTGAAGCGTGTCTTAGAAGCTGTAATTTATCTATTGATTCCTCAGAAAATATCCTATATTAAATAAGTATGTCACATATTTTCCCTCAAGTTTAAAACAATTGAGTAATTTCTATCTGGATGTTTTAGTATTGAGTCATAATTTGATGGTTACACACCTCAAAATTTTCTTCCTGCCTTCTCTTTTCCCAAAGGGAAGATGAAAATAGGAATGAACCCAAAATAGAAAAAACTATATTTCCTTTTAAAAGCAAAGTAAGCTAACATCTTTTATGGAGAGTCCATGGTTTCCCTTGTAATTTTCCTTGAGGGTGAAATTAAAACCTGACTTTGCATTTAAAATGCTACAAACATATATGAGTTCTCATATGAAGACCAAATGCCTATGGGTTTATTGATTTTTCTTCTACATTAGAAATTGCACAATCAAGAAAAATCATTTTAGGAGGCTCTCTTAGAGTAAGTAAATAAGCTGAATTGAAGATAGGTTTTACAAACTCTTAAATTCCATTGTTCTTCTTAAAAGTTATCCAGAATTTATGGAAAAGCAGAATGACCCTGAAGGGTGGGTCAGAACATTTTTGAGAGTGTGCTCATAGACACCAGTTGCCAGAAGTAGATGGGACTGGGTACCTTTCTATGTACAGGGAGTCTGTCCAAGTGCCATGAAGCAATTGGACAACACCTTGACCTTCTGGGTCATTACCTGTTCTGTGACCAAGGAGCAACTAGAGGTCATTTGATTTGGCTTGAAGCCAAGAGTAGTAGCATGGCTTGTTTTCCCTAATCATTCCTTGTTTTCCCTAACCATTCCTTGTTTTCCCTAATCTTATCTGTTTTTTGGATGTCTTTCTCCAGGGTTTAAACCTGGTACCATCTTAAAGGAGGCACTGCAGAGAGAAAGCAAAATATATTATAATATTATCTCTATTTTAAATTTACATATCTATTCTCTCTCTCTCTCTCTCTCTCTCTCTCCCCACCCCCCCCCCCCGCCCAATCTGGAGTTGTCTATAAAACCCTATATAGAGCAGCAGTAAGTATATGCATGTAAACAAAATGCTCATTTGTTTCCTAATGTCTATATTAAGGAGGCACTAACAGTTGGACCAGCTGGCAAAAAAAAGGGTATGATTATATTTTAGAGAAAATGTTAGGTTGGTCTGAGGTAGAAAAATTGTAGCTTTCCCATGTGGCATAAAATGGGAGTAATCTAGTTAATATTATTGTTTCATATTGAGAGTTTTTAAAAAACCACATGTCTTCTGAGTTCAAATTTGTTTGCATCTTTAACCCAGAAACTAGCAGTTAAGATGAATCATGTCTATTTTCCTCTACTATCCAGTCTCTCACACAATTAATTCCTACTATTGTCTTCAGCTTTTTCATTTTGAGCTTGACCTTGGCAAAGCTCAAAACGTGGATGTTGCCTTGGCTACTAAATCTCATGTGATAAGAGATAAATAAGACAGTCACACAGCAATAACCTTCTCCTATAAGATCATTTCTGAAGACTGCAAGTTTCCCCATCCACAGCACATTATAAAAGGGCTTCCTTGGTTTCTCCAATCTTGTCCGATTTTTGGATGTCTTTCTCCAGGGTTTAAACCTGGTACTTTCTTAAAGGACACACTGCAGAGAGAAAGCAGAATTCCTGCCATTAATGATAATGCTTAAATCACTGAAATCAAATCTGCAGCATTAAGCCATCTTGAAAAATGTCATATCCATAAAATATTTTAGGAAATGTCCAGCTACATAGTTAGGCTACTTTATCATTTAGCACATGCGTGTTTGATATTTGTATTTGGTGTTTCTGTATTTAGTGCTGTATTTAATGATGGTCAGGAAAGCAAAGACCAAGGACCCAGAAAATGGAGAGTTTGAGGGCAGAATAGTAAGAAATGTTTTTTGCCTTTAATTTTAGTTGCAGGGGATATATTTATAAAGTCAATGAAATGTAAATTAGTTACCCATAAACATGTCCTGAATGACTAGTTAGTGGAATTGTACTTTCTATTTGTCCTTCTATATGTAAGTATTCTTAAATGTCTCCAGATATCACATCATTCTTGTTATATTCAAATTCTATGGCCAGAATGGCCCCTTTTTTGAGACTTACTTCCTCCAATAATCAAGAATATGTGTTATTAAGCAGATTGTCTTTTACTAATTATATAGTTCTCAATTTCTCTTCATTCATAGTGTTCTCAATCATAAAATTGATAATATGTCTTTACCTGTTAATAAAATGGAACCCATCAATAGTGTGTAATTCTGTTTTTCTTTTATGTGATGGATTGCATGCCTCCATGAACAACCACATAAAATGTTGTGTTTTGTTTTAATAAATAAGCAGGGTTATGATGTAGAAAATGTGACGCTTTTGGCTATTGGCTGAGTGGAACATTTACATTTATAGTCTGTGGACAAAGGCCACCATGTTTTGTGTTCATGACTCATAAATGACAGCAGGGTCAGAGAAGGGCTTTTCTGCTGTGATGGGGCAGGCTTTGCCCAGGGGTCTTAGCTCTGCTAGACTGCATAGGGACAGGCTATCCTGAGCGGGCAGTACAATAAAGCAGCCAGAATCAGGGACCCACTGAACATCAAAGACCCATTTAGACAGCCTGGTCACTGCAGAAATGTATCAGCAGAGTAAGGGAGGAAAGAGGAATAAGCCAGGCTTGCTGCTTTCTAGAGGATCAAAAAGAGCTCCTATCTAAGAGCAAACTTGCACTCATCTAGGATTCCATCTGAATTATGAACCTCAGGGAGACCTGCCCTGTGGTCCATCCATCGTCACGGTCACCGTCCCTGAATATTTTCTGTGCATGACTGGTCTACTGCCTCTACTGCAATACCCTGAAGCATGACCCTATGCCTCAATTACTATGAGCAGCCCTAGGAGAAAAACCCAGTCTTACTCTTTGTTGAATCCTCTTTGTCACTTGATACAATCACAATAAATGCTTAATCCGTATGTTTTAGAGAAATCGGTTTTAGAAAAGCAGGTGCACATGTGTGGAGGCAAAACAAGTAGGCAGAGAGCAGAATTAGGATTGAGAGGGTCTTGCACATGAAAATGATGAATAATGTATGTCTACCTCAGAAAGGTGGTGGGAGGGTGAGTAACATCAAATTTAACCAAAACAGCAACAAAACTAAGCTTCCCTTTAGCTTGTGTTGGTGGTACCTCCTTCTAGATTCCATCTCCAAAGTTTCACAGTCACGTTGGGCATCATATTGGGGAAAATCATCGATTAGACCTATGAGAATCTTATCTTTGTTCTGAAATTTTCCAGTGGGAAAACATTGGGTTGGGCTCAAGATAGAGTTTGCATGAGGCTGATGGAGAAAATTGAAGATGTATCTTTTTCCTTCTGTAATGTGACTGTTTCCAAATTGAGATGATGTACTAGGACTGTGGATAGAGCACATGTGAACAAACACATCATAGTATCTAGAGGAGGCTTTCATAGCTCCTTGAAATTTGGCAAGATCAATGTAAGTGGATTTCAAATTCCATAAGGAACTGATTTGGTGGAGAACATTCATTTGCAAGAGTAGATTTAGCTAAAACTACTTTTAAAAATCCAATCCAACATATTTATGTTTTTTTGTTTTGTTTTGGTTTTTTTTTTTTTAGATGGAGTCTTGCTCTTTCGCCCAGGCCGGACTGCAGTGGCACTCTCTCTGCTCACTGCAACCTCCGCCTCCTGGATTCACGCCATTCTCCCGCCTTAGCCTCCTGAGTAGCCGGGACTACAGGCACCCGCCACAACACCAGGCTAATTTTTTTGTATTTTTTAAGCAATATTTTAAGTACTATAAAAATAAAATACAATGAATGATTTATCCAGCGAAAGAAATCATTTCACTGAGGCCACCAAGTATTTCTCTATTTGTTTTTAATTTTTTTGGGTGTGTTGACACGTGGTTTCCCTATGTTGTCTGGGCTGGTCTTGAGCTCTTAGGCTCAAGCAATCCTCTGTTATTTATTTTTATTTTTATTGTTCTTTTAGCGTCAGGATCTTGCTCTGTCATCCAAGCTGGAGTGCCATGATACAATCATAGCTCATTGTGACCTCAAATTCCTGGGTTCAAGTCACCTTCTTCCTGCCTCACCACCCAGTATTTTAAACAGAGACCTTATATCTGGAGATTTTCGACTCTAAAATCACAAGTCAAGCTCAGAGGTACATACTGCATGCTGGGACTAGCAAGGACCAAAATTCAACTGGAATTTAAGAGAAACTGCTCCCGGTACAAAATCTTGTGTCTGAGCCACTTCCACACCTTATATGTTTTTGTAATTGGTCAAATAATAATGATCCAGTATAGGTTGGAAAATATTATTATAATTCACATACAGGTTCATATTATACACTAGCAAATAATTATTTGGAATTGATCTAATGGTCACTAATATTTGCCTTCTATTTAATCATAAAAATATTAAAAGTAAATTTACTCTTTTTTTCTTCCATTGTAATCAATTTCTTTCACATTACTTGTTTTAATATTGTTCAGATGGTCTCCTTTTCTCTGAAGAACTTCATTTTTCTGGCTTTAGATTAAGAAGTCAGAGAATGAGTAAAATAACATAAAATAAAAGGCTAAAATAATATAAGCTTTTTTAAAGGCTCCAAATTATACATGCAGTCCCTGGAAAATGAAAAGAGAAGTCAGCCAGAGAACGTTCATTCTCCTGCGCAAGTCTGTAAAATGGTCACTTTAATTTTCAGAGTTTCCCGGCCATATCTATCCATAACAAATGAACTAAAATGCTTGCAGTGTATGCATTTTTTCCCCAAAATCACTGATCAGGTTGAGCAATTTGGAGCACTTAGGCATATCTTTTGTTTCTTTTGCCTTGTTTTGTTTTGTTTCATCTTTCTGGGGCTCCTCACATTGTCATTTCAATATAGATCCTAAATCCCTTGAATATATTTTCTGATGGTGGTCTTTAATGTGCCTTTCATTCTGTTTTTTGATCATTTGTTTTTTTAGATACAGAGTCTCACTCTGTTGCCCAGGCTGGAGTGCTGTGATGTGATCATAAGTCAATGTAGCCTGGACCTCCTGGGCTCAAGAGATCCTCCTGCCTTGGCCTCCTAAGCAGTTGGAACTACAGGTGCATGCTATTATTCCTGGCTATTTCTTGTTTGTTTTGTTTTGTTTTGTTTTGTACTGATACGGTCTCTCTGTATTGCTCAGGCTGGTCTTCAACTCCTGGCCTCAAGCCATCCTCCCACTTCAGCCTCCTAAAGTGTCTGAATTACAAATATAAGCTATCACTCCTGGCCAACCTCTTATTCCAGAAGAAAAGGTTATATATAAAAAGATACAATATTCAATGCCTGTAGCAACAGAATGGACCCAGATAGTGCAAGGACAAGGGACTGATTAATGACTTGGTGAAAAGGGCTTTCTGTTTAACCTGCTAGGGAAACTTTAGCCTGTGAGCACTCCAGGGAGATGAATCACTTAAGTGATGTGGAAAGGCACCGAGCACAATCATCCACCAAACATAGGTGTTCTGAATGAGGTCTTGGACTGCTTAAGCTACTGGCCATCTCTCCAAAGATCAATTCTTCAACAGTGGAGAGAACAAAAAGTAAAATCAAATAGAGCAAATAGAGTGGTGCAGGGCACAATGAATGGGTGTGCATGGGTTGAAGTAGTTGAGGATGCCTTCAGACTGGGGCAGTCTTGAATGGCTCTAGAGGTTAAGAGAGGGCAAGATAACAGTTGGTTTTATTTCTCTCACATCATGGCTGTGGTATGACACAGTGACTCCTCCTTACCTGTCTTTACTCATATTGGGAGATGCAAAATCTTCTTAGCAAAATCCAGGTGGGATAGAAGTTTGGAACTTGAGAGAAGCTGGGAAAAATTGACATGAATTGATGCACATCTGAAAATTCATTCTCCCTCTCTCTCTCTTCTGCTGGGATTCTCCTACAGTGTAACTTGTGGAAAGGCCTGCACCCAAGTAGTTAATTGAAAATATGAGCAAACAAGTGAAGAGCTACAGTGGGATTGTTACTGCTGGAAGGTATCTGAGTAACCAGCGGCATGTGTAGCCATCTCAATTCTTGCCTCCTCAGATGATAGAATTCAACTGAGGGCCATAAGGAGAAAAAGAGACTGAAGCAAGTTTCAGAGCAGGAGTGGAAGTTTATTTAAAAAGACTTTAAAACAGGGAAGAAAGGAAAGTGCACTTGGAAGAGACCCAAGCGGGCAACTTGAAGGACAAGTGTGACATTTGACCTTGAATATAGGACTTTATAGGCTGTCCCACTTCCATGTGCACCCCTTTCCCATAATTCTTCCCTTAGGGTGGGCTGCCTATATGCACAGTGCCCTTGTTAGTCTTGGGAAATGAGCACATGCAGTGTGTTCAGTAAGTTGTATGCATGCCAGTCTGAAGCTTTCTTCTCTTTTCTGGTGGAGTGCCCCTGGAAAGTCGTATACTGCCATTCTGTCTCTTATTGCACATGGCTGGGAAGTTGCTTCTCCTTGGTGTTTGTATTCAATTAACATTTTAGTGCAAGATATGTGGACAATTAGGAAATGGCCTCCCCCTGGTGCCAGCTGCCAATTTATCCCTTTTAGAGTGGCAATGTGATAATTTTCAAACTATAATCCTATTCTCACCTGACATTCCTGGTGGTGGTGGAAGCAACCTCTCCTGCTCTGCTCATGCCTCTCTAACCATCTGTAACAGGACAGGAAAGGCAGAACAGCTAATGAAAATAATCTTTAGCAAGTTTGGTGATTGATTCTTCATCCCATTGAGACCTGGATGTTTACAAATTGTTTCTCACAAGTGCACATTTGGGGATGAAAAGGTAAAATGTAGAAGCATTGATTTTAAGCAACCATATCATTCATTTGCTAAACCTGTCCCCTTAAATGTATAAACTCCATCAATATTTTTTGTTTGTCCCTGAGAAGTTGCAGAATTCTACAACTTCAGAAAGATGCTAGTGCATTTGCCTAAACTAAATAAGACCTGCATGGAACTGAGCACCAAAGTAGTATGCATTGGAGGTAGAACTAAATTAGTCTGAAGTAATGCACAAAAAAGTATCCAATAATAAAGTGTGTGGGTGTCAGATGGACCATGTTAATTGACATTTTATTTCTTAAGCATTTAGAGTATTACAATAATTGATCCCGTATTAGGCCATAAAAAAACCCTCCGCAAATATCAAAGAAAAGGTATCATGGAGATCATATGTTCTGTCTAACTTTTAATTCATACTATTTTGACATTAGTTTACTGTAACTTATAAATAATAAAAAGAAAGTAGGAAATGAATTCCCACATACTAAATATAAATATGAATGTGCTTAGGTAAACAACTCATGGATTGCAGATGAAATCATGTAGAATTTGAAAGTATTAATAGAACTAAATAATAATGGATATACTACATAGAGAAATACTATGTTAAGTAAAATTGGTTCACTGGAGGGATTATATCCTTAGAAATTTTAAGCAAAAAACAAAGCAATTCAAAAGTGATCATCCAAGTGCTCACATAAAAACAATAAAAGGGGCCGGGTGTGGTGGCTCACACCTGTAATCCTCGCACTTTGGGAGATTGAAACCAGTGGATCACCAGAGTTCAGGAGTTGGTGACCAGACTAGACAACCTGGTGAAATTTGATCTCCATAAAACATACTTTTTTTTTCTTTTTTTTTTTTTATTTTGTCATTCTGGCATCCACCTGTAGTCCCAGCTACTCAGGAAGTTGAAGTGAGAGGATTGCTTGAACCTGGGAGTCAGAGGTTGCAGTAAGCCCTGGTCACACCTCTGCACTCCAGGCTGGGTGACAGAACTACACTCTGTATCAAGAAACAAACAGCGACAACAACCACACACACACACACACACACACAAAAACACACAGGAAAAAGAACAATAGCATACATTACAAGAATATGAAAGGAAAGGGATAAATAAGAGAAGAAATAAAACATATAAATTATGAAAGTTTCTAATAGTACAATTGAGAAACTTAACATAACCAACAGTTGTTCTTTGAAAAACAACTAAGAAAACACTTTGACATAGGGGCAAATGTTAAGGGAAGGTTTAAGAATTTTGTTAAGGCTGGCTTACTAAGAAGTAAAAAAGGAATGGCTAGAAGTCTTTCAACGGTTTACAGCATCAAGCCCAGATAACTTTTATAGGTGTTCAAGAAACAGATCATCCTAGGTTTATGCAACCACACACAAAAAAAGGAAATGGAAGAGTATCAACTCATATTTTAAGGCTGTCATGTCATTCTGAACACTGAAACTTGACCAAGATTTTGAAAAAGAAAAAGAAAATAAAAAATGAATCCATTTCACTTATAAATGTACACCACATGTTCTCACTCATAGATGGGAGTTGAACAATGAGAACACATGGACACAGGAAGGGGAACATCACACTCTGGGGACTGTTGTGGGGTGGCAGGAGGGGGGAGGGATAGCATTAGGAGATATACCTAATGCTAAATGACGAGTTAATGGGTGCAGCACACCAACATGGCACATGTATACATATGTAACAAACCTGCACATTGTGCACATGTACCCTAAAACTTAAAGTATAATAATAATGAAATGAAATAAGAATTAAAAAAAGAACCTGGGAAGAAAAAAAAATAAAAATAAAAAATAAATTTACTTTCAAATATCTAAAGACATTTTTAACAAGTTTTATGTAATGGTATATAAAAATAATAATATACCATGACCCATTTGGGTTTGTCACTGTGCAGCAGAGATTGCTTATTAAAAAGTCTAGAAATGAAATTTATCTCAGTTTTGGATTAGGAGAGAAAATACGATCCTCTAATTGGAAAAAGAAAAGTCATTGATAATATTTAATTGTTATATCTCAAAATACACTGTAAATTGGAAATCAAATGGAACTTACTTAATGGAGTAAAAGAACATAAGAAAGAAAGAGCAAACATTGCCTTAAAAGGAAGCACATTATTATTATTATTATTTACATTTATTTTCAGAGACAGTGTCTTACTTTGCTGCCC
Organism: Homo sapiens; assembly: GCF_000001405.40. Taxonomy (NCBI): domain Eukaryota; kingdom Metazoa; phylum Chordata; class Mammalia; order Primates; family Hominidae; genus Homo; species Homo sapiens. The sequence goes on from NC_000024.10 coordinate 17,366,076, forward strand.
AGGCTGGAGGGCAGTGGCAAGAACTTAGCTCACCACCACAGCCTCCAACCTGTGGTCTCAAGCAATCCTTCGACTTTAGCTTCCCCGGTAGCTGGGACTATAGGAATGCACCACCACACCTGCCTAATTTTTTTATAGAGAGGGAGTCTCATTATGGCTGGTCTTTAACTCCTAGGCTCAAGCAATCCTCCCAACTTGGCTTCCCAAAGTGCTGAGATTAGAGGTATGAGCCTCATCACACCTAGCTACATTATCTTTAAAAATGAGATGAGGATACACACATGCCAGATGATATTTTATTCATATGATGATATTTTGCAAGTTTGGCAAATAGAAACAAATCAGGTAACAGTCAAGCCTATGTTCTAATATGAATCCATAGTATCCCTGATGAATTCTGAGTGAGAAGAGTGAATCAGTGCAAATACTTTGGAAAACAGTTTAATATGATCTGTAAGGCTGAACATCCCCAGAGCCTGTGGCTAACCACAACACTCTTAGGTGTATACCAAATAGAAACTGAAACATATACAGTAGACAATGGAAAAAAATGTAGAATAATGTACATAGCAGCATGGCTTTCAATACAAACTCTAGAGACCATGCAGGTCTCCTCTGATAATAGCACATGTGTCCTCACATAACAAATTTTCATGTGCCACTCATTATCACACAGCACAGCACTGTGGGAAACAGCAGTGGTTTCACTCAGTGAAAATCATGAGGTCAACAAGATGCCAAACTGACACTTACCCTTTTTTTCTTTTGAAAATTAAAGCCAATAAAAATAAACATATGCATGTTTAAAAATACAGGCCAGTGAAACAAGGCCTCATTTTAGACAACATAAAGGAAGTAAGAATATCCCAAACATAAGATCCATGTTAGTTATGGACTGAAAATTTGTGTCACTCCCAAAACCCATATGTTGAAGTCCTAATCCCCAAGGTGATGGTACAGATAATTGGAATTTAGGATGATTTGACTTATGATTATGTGAAAGTGAAACATGGCCAGGAGTAGTGGCTCACACCTCTAATCAAGCACTTTGGGAGGCTGAGATGGGTGGATCACTTGAGGTCAGGAGGTCACCACCAGATGTGCCTTTCAAGAGCTCCTGAAAGCAGCACTAAATACGGAAAGGAAAAACTGGTACCACAAACTGCAAAAACAAACCAAAATGCAAAGACCATCAACACTATGAAGGAACTGCATCAACTATGGGCAAAATAACCAGCTTGCATCATAATGACAGGATCAAATTCACACATAACAATATTAGCCTTAAATTTAAACAGGCTAAATGCCCCAATTCAAAGGCACAGACTGGCAAATTGGATAGAGTCAAGACCCATCAGTGTTCTGTATTCAGGAGACCCATCTCATGTGCAAAGACACACATAGGCTCAAAATAAAGGGATGGAGGAAGACTTATCAAGCAAATGGAAAGGAAAGAAAAGCAAGGGTTGCAATCCTAGTCTCTAATAAAACAGACTTTAAACCAAAAAGATCAAAAGAGACAAACAAGGGCATTATATAATGGTAAAGAGATCAAGGCAACAAGAAAAGCTAACTATACTAAATATATATTCAGCCAATACAGTAGCACCCAGATTCATAAAGCAAGTTCTTAGAGGCCTATAATTGCACTTTTTATTTATAATATTTTCAACTTATGATGGGTTTATTTGGCTGTAACCTCACTGTTATTCATGGAGCATCTATATTAGAAAGTGTGTGTGTGTGTGTGTGTGTGTGTGTGTGTGTGTGTGTGCGCGCGCGCACAAGAGGTCAAAAACTTCTCTGGCCAGACAGAATAAACAAAGGGAAGGGAAATTAAAGGCAGAAATAGAGAATAGGGTATTACTTTCCTAAAAACTATTTTCTGGGAACTATATCATAAATACCTTTTTATCTTTTTTTTTTTTTTTAACTTCTTGAGACAAGCCCCCACTCTGTCATCCACGTTGGAGTGCAGTGGCACAATCACAGCTCACTGTAGTCTCCAACTCCTTGGCTCAAGTGACTACCACACCTGGCTTGCTTATTAACTTATTTATTTATTTATTTATTTATTTCTGTAGAAATGATGTCTTGCTTTGTTGTCCAGGCTGGTCTTGAACTCCTGGGCTCAAGTGATTCTTCCACCTCAGCCTCTCAAAGTGCTAGGATTATAGGCATGAGCTACCACACCTGACCCATGTAAAAAAATTGTTAATGTAGCAATTCATTTATGTGCTGCGAACAGCAATGACATATGTTTGTATTTCAGGAATAAGGAAAGTTTTCTGGGGGAAGTCTAATGCTTTTTGTCAACTAAAGAAACATAAAGGAGAATTTTCAATTCTTAGTTCTAACACACATAATGCTTCTCAAACCCTGTATAGGGTGCCAATGCTTTTGGTACCTATCCACATTGTCTCCATTGTTCATTCTCCCAGAATAAACTTCTTCACAAAGCTTTCCTAGCAACCTGCTATGTCTGGTTTATGTTGTCACATGGATGAACAGAATTTGATGCATCATAATATCTGAGTCATGCACACTCATTACTGGCCTTTTGATGGTGCATTTAGTTGAGCTTTGTTTAGTTACTTAATTTGGTATTGCATACAATGGAGTAAGCATCTGCAAACCACCACACAGACAAAAGTCAGTATCATGACAATACATTACTTTATTCAATGATTTCCTCAACTAACCCATATTTTCATTCTAAGTTAATCATCATGATTGTCTTAATTCATTTGAGTTGCTATAATAAAATATTGTGGACTTGGGTGCTGATATTGTTTGGCTCTCTGTCCCACCCAAATCTTATCTTGAATTGTAATCCCTACATATCAAGGGAGGGACCTGGTGGGAGGTGATTGGATCATAAGGCTGGTTTTCCCCATGCTGTTTTCCTGATAGTGAGTGAGCTTTTATGAGATCTGAGGGTTTTATAAGGGGCTCTTCCCTTTTAGCTCTCTAACACACATACAGCAGCACATAGAAGATAAATACAATTCATTTGGGCTGAATAGTAAGTCTCTTGTTTTTACTTCTATGCACATTCATGAGAAAGCTGTTTTCACAAAATTAGGTAAAGTCTACTCAATTATGTATATATTTGCATGTCTATATTAGTCTTCCCCCAAATAAAAAATATATAGACTTTTTTTTCTAAATCCTTTTCCAGTTCATCTGAAACCACATTTGGCTAACATTATAACTAGAGGATTGGTGAATATTTTCTGGAAGATATGTATTTCTACATGTTTCTTTTTTACATAGACAAAGAAAATTTCATATATTTACAATGGACAGCATGGTGGTTTGAAGTAGATATACAATGCGGAATAACTGAATTTAGCTCATTAACAAATGTACTACTTCACATAGTTATGATTTTTGTGGAGAAAATTTCACATCCACCCTTTTAGCATTTTTCAAGAATACAACATACTATTACATGTAGCCACCACGTGGTGCGATGGATCTCTTGAACTCATTCCTCCTGTTTAACTGAAATTTTGTATCCTTTGGCCAACATCTCTCCAACACCCACTGCCCTCATTAACCACCATTCTACCTCTACTTCCATGAAATAAACATTTTTAGACTCTACCTATGAATAAGACCATATGCCATTTGTTTTTCTGTTCTTGGCTTAAAATAATAGTTGCCTTAGGCTTACAAACTAAGCAACAACAATGTGAATTCTGTGTTTCCACATGTTTATTTTTGTATAAATTAAGTTAATCCCAAATGCTGAGATGATTTAATTTAAGTTAAAGTATATGAAGAAATTAGAAATCCCTTTAGTCAATATAGGTCACTGAAAGTTATTGGGATTATGGCATGTTTGTGTGTTTGTGTGTGAGTTTGTGTGCACAAGAGGCCAAGAGCTTCTCAAGTCAGAGCTCTTCTACCTATTTTTCTAATGAAAAGAACTAGTACTATTTCCAAACAACTCATATATTGAGTAAACATGGATATCTTAATATGTGGCAGTTTGAGATAAATGAAAATATGAATCACATATATGGTCAATAAAAGCTGGTCATACATAGTTTGTTTTTGTTTTTTTAATAATCTACGTAAGTGTCTTTGTACCAAATCTTACCTCAAGGAACACACTTTTTCTTCATGCCTCAGCTTGAACTGAGAGTTAGTTAATCTGCGCACTCTCAAATACATTGGCTTCAAGAGATAAAAAAATCATTTTAAATAGAAAATTCAGATTAGGACACTGAATATTGAAGAGGCTATTGTTGACTCCTAATACAGAAGACCAAGGCCATGCCTTCTCCTCCTTCTCTAATTCCTACCCAGCAGACCCAAGCACACAATGTCATCTGGCTGAAGGTAGAAAATTTATCATTTGCCTTCTGGAAAAGTTTTTCCCAATGTAGTGTTCACTACACCATTTGGGGAGTTTGCTAAAATAAAGATCCTTGCATACTACAACAAGAGAATTAATTCTTTGATGGTGGGTGAGAAATGCTCCTAAAACAATCTAGTACTTAAAAGCACTCCAGGTGAACCTCATTCAGATAAAATACATGAAGACACCCCATGCTCACAACAGAGGCTTCAGAGCTTTCAAATGCTTATACACCAAGTGATTTCAACAAGTGTATCTCATTATCCATTGACCTTGACTAATGTCTTAGAGAGTTTTGCGTTTCTGTAAAATGATATCTCAGTCTGGGTAATTGATGATAAAAAAATTTATTTAGCTCATGATACTAGTTGCTGGAAGATTGGGCACCTTGTAATGGCCTAAGACTTCTTCTGTTCATAGCAGAATGGGAGATGGTTTGTGCAGAAATCACATGGTGAGAAAGTAAGCAAGAGAGACAGCAAGTGAGCTGCCCAGCTCTTCTAAAGAACCAGCTCTTGCAGGAACTAATAGAACTCACCCATTACTGCAAGGATGGCATGAAGACATTCAAGAGGAATTCACTCCCAGGATCCAAACACCTCCAGTTAGGCTCCACCTCCAACATTGGGGATCCAATTTCAACATGAGGTTTGGGAAGATAAACATCCAAACTACAGCAATCAACCTTCCAGAGTGGGTAGGAAGAATGGAAATGTCGAGATTGATGGGGACAACTAATAAAATAAAGGGGTAATGTAAATGGATTCACAGGTTGGGTGGTTCTTGATCCAAGAAAAGTCTTACCTTATTTTCCCCTATGATTAGGACTAATATTGGAAAGTGCATGGTATGGAACTAGTACTCAGTGATCTGTAAAAACCTGTGCATTATCCAAGACAGAGATAAATTTTCCAGTAATTAGAAAGTCTTCTCTCATGAGCACACTTCCCCCTCAGGGGAGGTTCCTTAGGGATGCAAGTTTTGGCATGCCTTATTAGGCTAAAGTATGCCTAAATTAGGTGACCTAATTTAGGTCACCACCATTCCAACTGATGCATATATGTGATCTAAGGTTTTGAACAGAGGTATCATCAGGGATTGTGCATTTCTTTTCTATGAAGTGACATTTCATAAGGTCTGAGGTCATTATTTTGCAATTAACTAATGCCTATTAATGCCTATGCAAGCATTTTAATTTTTACTTTGTGGTGTATGCCATTCTCTTTGGCAGACACTGAGAGAGAACAGATTTTTAAATGCTGTTTATGGTCCGATGTGCATGTGATCATTTGCATAGGCAATAATTAGCTAGTACAGAATTCTCTTGGTTTGGAGCTGCCAGGTTTTATTGTTTCTAAGTTCCACTTTTGTATAAAAATGAATGACAGCTATGCCTTTTACGGTGTAACTCCCAGGAAACACACACACCCACACACACACTCTCTTTGACAGACAAAAATAGAAATTAAGAAACAATGTGAAAGACTAAGCATTCATCTGAAAAAAAAATGTGAGATTCTGAGATATCTCTAGAAAATATAAAGATAGCAACTGATCCTCCATTGCCAGTCATGAGGGAAATTAATGTAATGGACTCAATAAATATAATATCACATAAACACTCCCATCCCCTACACAACTTGGTGTTTTGTCTTTGATTCTTAAACAACAAATACAATATCATTGAAATTACTTGATGAATGAATTAGCTTATTTTAAGTTGTTACTAAGTTCTTACTGTCTTTTTAAAATGAGAGCATAGTATCTTATATATAATTTATATGGAATTTATTTTCTTAGGTATCCATTAGGTTCAGAGCATAATTGAATGGATGGTCCAGAGAGATCTCATGTTCCTTCCTTCACACATGCACTGCCTCTCCCATTATCAACATCTCCCACCAGAGTGGCACATTTGGTGCAGTTGATGAAACTATGTTGACACATCATTTTCACTCAATGTCCATAGTTTACTTGAGGGTTCATCTTTGGTGTTGTACAAAATGTGGGTTTGGACCAATGTATAGTGACATGGATCCACCATTGCAGTGTCATATTTGTAGGGCCATGTAATTACAGTGTGATTATACTCTTAAGGACTTTACAGCACTTTTGTTTATGGGGATTTATTTTTCAGTTGAATTCCTACTGCTTCCAAACACAAATTATATTTGTCTTATATTCTATCTGCAGAAGTCTCCCGGCTGCATATCAAAAGCTCCCCAAACTGTGCTCTTCATCTTCATTTTGTTTTTTTAAGCTAGAAAACAGCATCACCCCCTTCAGAATCATCTAACAATGGAGATATCTGCCCAAGAATACTTTTTGTGTCAAACACCAAATAAAAAATGTAGCAGTTTACTCTGATGCAGTGATAATGTATTAAGGGGTAGAATTATGAAAATAAAATTTGCTATAGGAGAAAATGATGCTTCCACTCTTAAGGCAAAATTTTGACCCAATTAGGCAAATTAAAAGCACCATTCATGTCTCAATTAATTCTCAATCTTAGCAGCGGGCTTCTTGGTTTTCACAACTTAACAATTGCTTAGGTTAAAATAATGTAAACCCTATCAAACAAGAGTCTCTGGAATATACAGAATTACTAAATGCTAGGCACTACTTTTTTCATAAATGAACAATTTTCATTGATAATTTATAGAAAACTCCCTTGAAGTGGTAGAATTTTGAACATGTTCAGAAGATAGAAGGGTACAGATGCTGCCTGCTTTAAAATTGTCAAAATAATCAATATTAAGAACCTCAAGGGCCTAGTTCACATCTGTAATCCCAACACTTTGGGAGACCGACTGGAAGGATCATTTGAACCCAGGAGTTGAAGACCAGCCTGGTCAACAGAGGGAGACCCCCCACCTCTGCACACACACACAAACACACACGCACTCACACACACACACACTCTGTCTGTCTCTCTCTCTCTGCCCCCTTAAAACATAGACTATTAATGTAAATTTCCTCATGCCTCTTAAGTCAGCTACATATCAAAATTGTGTGGATAATAGCAAGAAAGGGAGATTGGCAATGTAACATTTAAAAAATGTTAAATGTCTGAATTGCACATTAAATGTCTACAGGCACATCTTATCATATACCTATTTCTATTTGTGATTGAATAGGACTTTGGATAGGAAGAAAATCAATTAGTAATTCTAAGCAGAAAATGAGGTTTGATTTACAACATGAACATCAATTCTTGGCACAGCCTGCAACTCTTAATGTTTATTTAAATTGAAATTGATCTGCCTTTCTTAAAGACTGTAATTTGAAACACATTACAACCAATTATCCTGGAATGAAATTATTTAAAATGTACCCAGGACAAACTACATTTGTTAATAAGTACCCAGTTCATTTGCTGATGTAGACAATAACAATTTTTGAAGGTGTTTGTAGAATTAACAATACATATTTAACAGAATTCTATTGGATTTATGGTGAAAGCAGATACTGTAGTGCCTCCTTTGTGGCATTTTTGCTTTAAATTATTAAGGAGACTTAAATTGTTGCAGATCAATGTTGCCAGATACAAAAATAAGACTTGATTAGATACCAAGAAATAATCTTGAAAATGTATTGGAGACAGAGCAAGGATTTACTGGACACTCTTCCAGGCACAAGTACTTCTGAACATTAACTAATATTTCTGGGTCTTAGGCTTCCATGTCTTTCAGAATGAAACTGTTGACCCTCTCAAATGAAGAGTCATTATCTGCAGTGGTTCTGCTGTCACCTTGATTTGAGTTTGAAAATGCAGGCTGCCATTGCAAGTCCATGCCTCAATATGTCCTGAAGAGAGAATGCATTGGTCCTATCAAGGAAAATAGGTGCCTAGGAGGAAATCAACATGGTGGGAAAAAGTTTCAAAAGACTTGTGTCATGAGGGCTTCTTATTCAGTAAAGCTCCATTGTCCCTGGTCCAGCAGAATTCAATTTCCAGAAAATAGAGAGAATGGATTTCATTTTCTTCATTTTTTTTTATTTTATACTTTTATGTTAGATTCAGAGAACATATGTGTAATTTTGTAACCTAGGTATATCACGTAATGCTGAGGTTTGGCATACAGTTGATCCCATGACACAGGTACTGAGCATAGTACCCAACAGTTAGTAGCCTCTAGTAGACCCAGTGTCTACTTTTCCCATCTTTATGTCCAAGAGTATACAATGTTTAGCTGCCACTTATAAGTGAGAACATGTTATAATTGGTTTTCTGTCTTAATTTGCTGCTTAGGATAATGGTTTCCAGCTCACAGTGGCTCATTCCTGTAATCCCAGGACTTTGGGAGGCTGAGGACAAGATTTTGAACCCATTGTCCACCTTGGAAATCATTTTGAAAATAAAAGACTAGCCATGGTTTCTTCTGCCTTTCATCTTCCTTAACCCATTCTTGATACCTAGTTTTTCTCTATTTATATATGATTAGCAGTGTGTGCATGTATATGCCTGTGGGTTTTGTTTTCACCTATTCCTCCAAGACCCTCTAAAATAAATTAGTGAGTTATTTTCTTTTTTCTTTTTTTTTTTTTTTTGAGGTTTCAGGGCATCTTTGGTGCCACAGTAGCTCAAGAAGAGCCTTTTATTTTATTTTTTTTTATTTTTATTTTTTTATTATACTCTAAGTTTTAGGGTACATGTGCACATTGTGCAGGTTAGTTACATATGTATACATGTGCCATGCTAGTGCGCTGCACCCACTAATGTGTCATCTAGCATTAGGTATATCTCCCAATGCTATCCCTCCCCCATCCCCTGACCCCACCACAGTCCCCAGAGTATGATATTCCCCTTCCTGTGTCCATGTGATCTCATTGTTCAATTCCCACCTATGAGTGAGAATATGCGGTGTTTGGTTTTTTGTTCTTGCGATAGTTTACTGAGAATGATGGTTTCCAATTTCATCCATGTCCCTACAAAGGATATGAACTCATCATTTTTTATGGCTGCATAGTATTCCATGGTGTATATGTGCCACATTTTCTTAATCCAGTCTATCATTGTTGGACATTTGGGTTGGTTCCAAGTCTTTGCTATTGTGAATAGTGCCGCAATAAACATACGTGTGCATGTGTCTTTATAGCAGCATGATTTATAGTCCTTTGGGTATATACCCAGTAATGGGATGGCTGGGTCAAATGGTATTTCTAGTTCTAGATCCCTGAGGAATTGCCACACTGACTTCCACAATGGTTGAACTAGTTTACAGTCCACCAACAGTGTAAAAGTGTTCCTATTTCTCCACATCCTCTCCAGCACCTGTTGTTTCCTGACTTTTTAATGATTGCCATTCTAACTGGTGTGAGATGATATCTCATAGTCGTTTTGATTTGCATTTCTCTGATGGCCAGTGATGATGAGCATTTCTTCATGTGTTTTTTGGCTGCATAAATGTCTTCTTTTGAGAAGTGTCTGTTCATATCCTTCGCCCACTTTTTGATGGGGTTGTTTGTTTTTTTTTCTTGTAAATTTGTTTGTGTTCATTGTAGATTCTGGATATTAGCCCTTTGTCAGATGAGTAGGTTGCGAAAATTTTCTCCCATGTTGTAGGTTGCCTGTTCACTCTGATGGTAGTTTCTTTTGCTGTGCAGAAGCTCTTTAGTTTAATTAGATCCGATTTGTCAATTTTGGCTTTTGTTGCCATTGCTTTTGGTGTTTTGGACATGAAGTCCTTGCCCACGCCTATGTCCTGAATGGTAATGCCTAGGTTTTCTTCTAGGGTTTCCAGCAGCACATCAAAAAGCTTATCCACCATGATCAAGTGGGCTTCATCCCTGGGATGCAAGGCTGGTTCAATATACGCAAATCAATAAATGTAATCCAGCATATAAACAGAGCCAAAGACAAAAACCACATGATTATCTCAATAGATGCAGAAAAAGCCTTTGACAAAATTCAACAACCCTTCATGCTAAAAACTCTCAATAAATTAGGTATTGATGGGACGTATTTCAAAATAATAAGAGCTATCTATGACAAACCCACAGCCAATATCATACTGAATGGGCAAAAACTGGAAGCATTCCCTTTGAAAATTGGCACAAGACAGGGATGCCCTCTCTCACCGCTCCTATTCAACATAGTGTTGGAAGTTCTGGCCAGGGCAATCAGGCAGGAGAAGGAAATAAAGGGTATTCAATTAGGAAAAGAGGAAGTCAAATTGTCCCTGTTTGCAGACGACATGATTGTTTATCTAGAAAACCCCATCGTCTCAGCCCAAAATCTCCTTAAGCTGATAAGCAACTTCAGCAAAGTCTCAGGATACAAAATCAATGTACAAAAATCACAAGCATTCTTATACACCAACAACAGACAAACAGAGAGCCAAATCATGGGTGAACTCCCATTCACAATTGCTTCAAAGAGAATAAAATACCTAGGAATCCAACTTACAAGGGATGTGAAGGACCTCTTCAAGGAGAACTACAAACCACTGCTCAAGGAAATAAAAGAGGACACAAACAAATGGAAGAACATTCCATGCTCATGGGTAGGAAGAATCAATATCGTGAAAATGGCCATACTGCCCAAGGTAATTTACAGATTCAATGCCATCCCCATCAAGCTACCAATGACTTTCTTCACAGAATTGGAAAAAACTACTTTAAAGTTCATATGGAACCAAAAAAGAGCCCGCATCGCCAAGTCAATCCTAAGCCAAAAGAACAAAGCTGGAGGCATCACACTACCTGACTTCAAACTATACTACAAGGCTACAGTAACCAAAACAGCATGGTACTGGTACCAAAACAGAGATATAGATCAATGGAACAGAACAGAGCCCTCAGAAATAATGCCGCATATCTACAACTATCTGATGTTTGACAAACCTGAGAAAAACAAGCAATGGGGAAAGGATTCCCTATTTAATAAATGGTGCTGGGAAAACTGGCTAGCCATATGTAGAAAGCTGAAACTGGATCCCTTCCTTACACCTTATACAAAAATCAATTCAAGATGGATTAAAGATTTAAACGTTAGACCTAAAACCATAAAAACCCTAGAAGAAAACCTAGGCATTACTGAGTTACTTTCATTTGGAGAATAAATTCATCGCACAAATTTGAGAGACTCAGCTCTATGAATAGGAATCAGAATTTACTCAGGGAAGACAAAAAAAAAAAGGATCTATGCCAAGAGATTTCTGGGACCAAGTTTTCTGCTTTCTAAACAACATTAATATTTTCAGCAAATATGATTTGGATTTAAAGTGGTCCTTCAGTCATAAAAAATGAAATCTATGAACTACTTTGGACACAGCTTGGATAAACTTGATTTCCTGAAAAATTTTACCATCTGTCAAGAAGCTGTCAGCATTGACCTGAATTATTCATTTTCATTCAGTTACAGAGTAGTTTTTACACAGAAGTCTTTGAGATTGTTTCTGATTTACCCAGAATTGTGGGACAAATCCTCTCAGATCCCTTACTACAGCCCTGATAAGTAGCCATAAAAGGAATATGCTCCATTAGATCTGAAGCTCAGAAAAGTCTGATGCCACATATATCTAAGGCTGTCTATGCTACCTTGTACCACATCTGAGGTGTCTGCCCAACAAGCATCCACATAGTTTCCCAAAATGGTTTTATTTCAAAAAAGATGATTATACAGTTCTGCATATATTGAAAAGAGTCATCAATATCAGGGTCCTCCATGGAAAAGAGATACTTTGTTAACTGAATAGAGATGAACAGCACAACTCAGTGCTGTGGCTTTTTGACAGATGACAAAATGTACCAGAAAACCAAGTCTAACATGTTAAACAACATTGATATTTGTGAAATAAACTATCTTTATCTAAAATTCTATTAAGGAGGCAAAGAAACATGAATGAGGAAAGTCATAGAAATAATCTATATGGCATCAAAGCATTATGAAAAATGAATGTGTGGGATGATACAGCCACAGAGAGTTGGGTCGATCTGGCAGTGTGTTCTGTTAGAAATATGTGGGAGAGGATATTGCATTACAGTCTTTCTAGGCAGTAACACTTGATGTAAACCCATGATAGTATCTTCCTGTCATGGGTTGTTTTCCCTGTCATAAAACCTGACAGGGTGTGTGTTTATGTGTATGATCTGCCATTCTGTTTGGGTAAAGACCTATTCCTTCACACCAATTCAACTGTGGCAGTCATTGTCTAATAAATGCATTAGGAAAAAAAATCCTCACCATGCCTCATGAATTTAGATGCTCTGAGAAGCACATAATGCTCAAAAGATGTAATCTTCTTGAGGGCACCCAGAGATTTCAGGAAACACAAGAAATAGCAAATTAGGTTGCAGCAGGAAAATTAAGGAATCAGAGAGACTGAGGGGTCGAGGAGGAATTATTTAATTATTTAGGTGCACTGACCCAGTCAGATTCACATTCAAAGGACTGAGACCCAAACAAAGAGTCAAGATACCTTTTAAGCATTTCTTGGGGCAGGGGGAGAGCTGTGCAGGGAGAAGCATATTACAGAAGTGAGAAACAAAGGCAGTTATTCAGTTAAGACATTTATTACATTATTTCTTACTTTTCAAGGAACAGCATGTTTTATGACTTGAGATTATCTGTTTAGTAACCTTGCAGCTGCACAGCTAGAGAAACAGTCTTCACAATGCCTGGGAAAGGGACAGATAAGGCTCACTAGCCACAGAAAAACAAGCAGTTAATTTTTAAAGGACTTCAGCTCTTCCTCTTCCTCAGGGGGAATTGGTTTTTCTTACATACAACTGAGTTTTTGCTTACACAGTTTTAAATTTCTTTTAATTCCTGTTCCAGGGTGACAGCTTAATTCCCATGAGTTGAAAGATTTATTTAAGTTATTTTGTTGATGTCACAAAAGTCATTGCGGTTTTTGCCATTACTTTCAATATAATGTATATATGCTTATGCGTACTCTAATATGTAAATGTCCACATACTTATATATACTTATGTGTATAGCAATGACTGATATAAAATGTACACCTACTTACAGGTATAACAATGACTGTATTTAGTATGAGGATTTCTCAGGAAGACCACACATATAGGAAATAGGAAACAGGTAGAAAGAACCCAGACCTCGGAGGAGTCACCAGAATGCAGGGCACTATAGGAAGTTCTGTTAAGTGTGAAGAAGCAAGGCACTGCAAACAGAAAAAGGGAAAAAAAGAGAGGGCAGATTAGTAGGTATGAAAGCCTGGGCTATTACAAGAAAAGAATATGGACTTATGGATACTGGATCAAACTCATTCACTTCTATGAGTGAATTAGATTAACAATGTTGGGTTTTGTTGACTACAGGTGAGAACAGAGAATATGCAAATTTTTCTTCAAAACTGGACACCTGTGGACCCAAAGAAGAGAACAAACAAGCACTGGGATCAGTTTAGGGTAGAGGGAGGAGAATGAGGAACAAAAAGCTTATTGGGTTGTGCTTATTTAGGTGGTGAAATAACTCATACACCAAACCCCATGACATGCAATTTACCTTTGTAACAAACCTAACAAAAGGGTTTAAAAAAAAATGAAGAGTCTGAAGGCTAACATCTATACCCAGTAGATGGAAAATGGTATAAAATGGAAAATAGTATAAAATCTTCCAACAGCTAAATGCAATACCACACCAGAAAGTCTAAATAAGAATTCTATCACACAGATAAGAGAATCTCAACTAAGTGATGAACACATACATAACATCAACAACTAAGCATTACTGATGAATTCAAGAGCCATAAATCAAATGGATGAGTGTGTCTTCAAAATCAATGAACATTTGAAAATAATGCCTACTTTATTATATAAATTATACATTTGGTAATCCAAAGACTCCATCTAAGTGAAGAGGTGATCAAGGAAACAGAAAAAGATATTTAATTAAGTATATTTAACATATTCAAATATATAAATAAGAGTACTGGGTCTTTATAACAACAGTCGATGATCATAGAAAGCCTGAGCAACAGAGCGAGACTCCATCTCAAAAAAAAAAAAAAAAAAAAAAAAAAAAAAAAAAAAACTTCCTGGCCCCTGTTTTTGACTTTCTTTTCTTCAACATCAGGGTCACTTGGGAGATAATTAAAAGCTTAACCCCACCAAGAGCTATAGTAATAGGAACTGTGGTGAAGACACTTAAGTCTAACCTATTAAAATGCATTGCTATCCATTCTGTTATATGCAATATTGCCCTGTATAATTCAAGGAAAGTAAGGCGGATTATTCACCGTAGCCCTAATTTTTCCTGCATGAGTGAATAGACATGCACACACAGAAACATACACACATTCATTCACATGCATATGCACGCGCTCAGTAATGTTTGAAAAGTATTGCTGTGGTTGGGTGCAGTGGCTCAGTCCTGTAATCCCAGCACTTTGGAAGACCGAGGTAGGAGGATCACTTGATGTCAGGAATTCGAGATCAGCCTGGCCAATATGGTGAAACCTTGTCTCTACTGAAAGTACAAAAAAATTGCCCAGGTGTGGTGGTGGGCGTCTGTAATCCCAGCTACTCAGGAGGCTGATGCAGGAGAACTGCTTGGACCAGGGAGGTGGAGGTTATAGTGAGCCAAGGTCACTGCCACTGCACTCCAGCCAGAGTCTCAATAAATAAATAGATAAATAAATAAATAAGAAAAAAGGAAAAAGGAAATGTACTGGTCTAACACAAAGGTAGTAGTTAATTTCTTAACATAGGAAATGACTTCATTGCTGACACCATGTTAATTATTGTTATAAAATCTCAAAATAGACAAAGAAAAAATAATATCAACTCTACAAGGAAAAACTACTGAAAATATTTGAAGTGGAAGAATCTCCTTGTTTTCTTCAATGTATTTTCAATAAGATTTGACCTCAAGGTAGGGTCTGGCTTTCAGAACTTCCATGCATCTGCTGTCTTCATCGATACAGGCAAATATCACAACTGGTGTTATTTTCTTCTGCTATGTCCCTACAGTTTTTTTATCTGGAGGAAAATGGGTACAGTTTCAAA
Organism: Homo sapiens; assembly: GCF_000001405.40. Lineage (NCBI taxonomy): Eukaryota > Metazoa > Chordata > Mammalia > Primates > Hominidae > Homo > Homo sapiens. The sequence continues at coordinate 17,381,422 of NC_000024.10, forward strand.
CAGATGTTGGCAGTAGCCAACCAGAAAAGCCCTAAAAGTATGCCAGTGGATGGAAGGGGGCCCCAGAGTATTCTAGGGAATCTCAGTGACTCAGTGAAGTAAGGAGCCAGTCTTTCTAGTCTGCATTAATGAATAAGAAAGAAACTGAATAAGGCAGAGCATAGAAAGACTCATTTCAAAGGAATCCTGCACTAGGGAGCTCCAAATAGCACTGCAGTATAAAGCTTTATCAGACAACATAGCATGCCCACTGTTCATTCATAGATGGTTATGGCAAAGGCATAGATGATGGATATAGAAATAAAGATAGTTATAAATAGATATATGCATTAGTCCATTCTTGCATTGGTATAAAGAAATTCCTGTGGAAAGGTGATTTATAAGAAAAGAAGCTAAATTTTCTTATGGCTCTGCAGGCTGTACAGGAAGTGTGGTACTGGCACATGCTCAGCTTCTGGGCGGCCTCAGAGAACTTTTACTCATGGCAGAAGGCAAAGCAGGAGCCGGCATGTCTCATGACAAAAGCAGCAGAAAGAAATAGAGAGTGGGGTAGGGAGGAAGTGTCACAGACTTAAACAAGCAGATCTCATAAGAACTCACACACTATTTCAAGGACAGCACCAAGCCATGAGAAATCTGTCTTCATGACCTGAAGACCTCCTACCAGGCCCCACTCCAACACTGAGGTTTAAAATTCAACATGAGATTTGGCAGGGACACATATCTAATCTATATCATGTGGTTATATAGACTTAGATATATTCTTATAAATAGATTTAGACTCATGGGGTGCATAATGACATTTATGTCAACAGAGAAGCATAGATATGAGAGTGGTTCTGTAAGATTATGAGACCATATTTTTACAATACCTTTTCTCTGTTTTACAATACTTTTCTCTACAACCACCTTGCAATATGTTTCAGCACAGAAATAATTACCATAGTGTTACAACTGCCTATAGTATTTAGTATAAGAACATGCTGTACAGTCTTGTAGCCTAGGAGCAATAAGCTATACCATACAGCCTAGGTATGTAGTAGGCTGTCCCATCTTGGTTTGTGTAAGTGCATACTAGGATATTCCCTTGATGACAGAGTCAGCCTAACAACTCATTTTTCAGAACATATTCCTATTGTTAAGTGATAGATGACTGTAGTTATTTAGATATAGATAGATATAAATATAACTACATAGATAAAGGTATAGACATAGATAATAGAGATTAGATATAGATACTGTTACAAATATATAAATAAATGAATACATATATAGATATATGTATGGGTATGTTTATGACTATAGATATGGATATGTTTATAGATACAGATGTCATCATAGATAGATATATATGTGGAGATAGAGATACAGATGTATAGATACATAGGTATTTGGGTAGATATGGTAATATAGATGTAGATATATAGATATATACATATAGGTATCAGCATAGATATGTAGATATATAGACATAGATGTAATTAAAATATAGCTATATTTATAGATAGAGATGTAGTCATAGATATAGCTGTAATTAGAGATATGTTTATAGATATAGATGTGGTTATAGATTAGATATATTTATAGTTGTAGTAATAAATATAGATGTATTATAGAAATAGATACAGATGTAGTTATATATAGTTTATATGTAGTTATAGATATAGATGTAGTTATAGATAGATTTATAGTTATAGATGTAGTTATATAGATGTAGTTTAGATAGATTTATACTTATAGATGTAGTTATAGATATATTAATATTTATAGATGTAGTAATAGATATAGATGTAGTTACAGATATAGATACTGATGTAGTTACATAGTTAGAGTTTATATTTAGTTATAGACATAGATGTAGTTATAGATATATTTATAGTTATAGATGCAGTTATATAGATGTAGTTATAGATATATTGATATAGATGTAGTTATAGATATATTCATAGTTATGGATATAGTTATAGATGTACTTATAGATAAAGTATAGTGTAGATATGCTTGCAGTTATAGATGTATAGATATAGATGTAGTCATAGTTTTAGAAGTAGATGTAGTTATAGGTGTAGTTATAGATATGGTAATAGATATAGATGTAATACAGATATAGATGCAGTTATAGATATAGACATAGTTACAGTTATAAATGTAATTATAGATATAGATGTAGTCATAATTATAGATGTATAGACAGTTACTACTTTTACCATTACTCTTCATGGAAAAACCACAATTACTTTTGCATCAACCTAATGTATTCTATATGATCTTAATTAAATAAGTGTGTTCTTTTCCTTATATTTGAAAATTTGTTCTGTGCATTTGAATATTTTTATCTCTAATCATACTTAGAAATCAATTCTATTTGGACAGTTACTTCTTAGGAATGAAAACAAAAATGGACCTTTAAGAAATATTGAGAATAAAAGGTTGACCGATCTGTTGTGCATTATAGTCTTGTAAATTCAGGAGGAGCAGTTCCCAAGTGTTAACTGTGGCTCCACTATTTTTGGGTGGACACACACACACACGCACACACACACAATCATGATCCTACTCATCCCACATCTCTGTCTCCAGAAAGACAGCCAATGTATTAGTGCAATATAATGAACAAGTAGGTAAGTAGGTACCTACCTGCTTTGCTTCCTCTAGCTGATGAATGAAAATTTTAATGTAAGAAACAAAATTTCAGTCCTCTCATTGACTCAGTTCTAACAAAATTGATGATTCTGACTCAATCAACAGAGAAATGAATAAAGTACAAAAATTAGTGAAGCTGATGCTATTTTCCCAAAAATCTTCCCTTACGATTATACACCAAAAATATTTAAGAACAGATAATTAATGTTTTTAAAAAGAGGGTTTCTCTGTGCAAATATTCTCAACAGTACTGTATTTTTTTTTAAGACATCATCTAGCTCTGTCACCCAGGCTGGAGTGCAGTGGCACAATTTCGGCTCACTGCAACCCGAGTTCAAGTGATTCTCCTGCCTCAGTCTCCAGAGTAGCTAGGAATACAGGGACCCACCACCATACCTGGCTAATTTTTTATATTTTAGTAGAAACGGGGTTTCACCATGCTGCCCAGGCTAGTCTTGAACTTGTGAGCTCAGGCAATCCGCCCACCTTGGCCTCCCAAAGTGTTATGATTACAGGCATGAGCCACTGTGCCCAGCCAATACTATTGTATTTTAAGTCAGCAATATAGTGACAAGGCAAAAGGAGTAAGGAAAATATTATTATGCAATACAGTTACAAGAACTGCAATTTCTATTACAATGGTAAATTGGACTCTCAATATATTCAACTTTCTTCAGTTCTCCCAAACCTCAATCCCACACACCCATCATAGTGCTTAATGAATCCCTCTTCTCTTCTACAGTTCTGTAAAGACGTGTCATTATTTGGTGTTCATTTTCTTAAATAGCATTTCCTCTCCTGCCTTCTATCAGCACAACTACTGAAAGTACTTTTAATGTTTGTTGCTAAGTAGCTTAAAACTTTTGCAGTACCTTTTTATGAGAATTCACAGCCATGTGACTGTATCCCTGAATTCCCTGGGTGACATTGTTTCTTTGTCACCTAGCAACTGCTATGAAGAAAAAGTGAGTAAGAGACAAACATTGGTTGAGTTACATTTTAGAGATGGAGGATTGCTTGTTACTGAAGCATCACCTTGTGTATCTGATAGATATATCACTGTTCTGAAGTTGTACAATGGCACCTTGGAACTTGATATAGTTTGACCATGTCCCCATGAAAACCTCATCTTGAATTGCAACTACCATAATCCCCATGTGTCACTGGAGGGACAAAATGGGAGGTAATTGAATCAGGAGAGCTAGTCTTTCCTGTGCTGCTCTTATGATAGTTAATAAGTCTTAGGAGAGCTGATGCTTTTATAAAGCAGAGTTTCGCTGTACACACTCTCTTACCTGCCGCCATATAAGATGTGACTATTTTGTTCCTCATTTGCCTTCCACCATAATTGTGAGGACTTCCCAGCCATGTGGAACTGTGAGTTCATTAAACCTCTATCCTTTATAAATTACCCAGTCTTCAGTATGTCTCTATTAGCAACATAAGAACAGTCTAATACACAACTCATCTAAGAAATCCCTCAAACTCTGTGACTATTCATAGCATGTATTACTGTGTCTTCTGTTTTAAATTTGCATCTTCTTCTTTTGGGTACTCTCAAAGTCTCAGAACTCACTGCTTTTACACCCTGCCCAACATCACTGTTTGAAAATCTGCAAGTTGAATACAGTGTTTAAGTAATTCACTCTAAAGTATCAATAATATTAATACAAGGGACTACTCATTCAAGACTTTTTTGGTTATTCAGGAATTTATTAACATGACATAATTTCTTACTATGGTATAAATGTTTCTGTTCCCTCAAAATTCATATGTTGAAAACCTAATAATCTATGTGATTGGTTTATGAGGTGGGGCCTTTTGGAGGTGAAGAAGTCATGACCGATTGGAGACCTTCTAAAAGTTACCCCAGAAAGCTTCCCTGCCCCTTCTACCATTTGAGGATTCAGAGAGAGTTCAGCAGTCTGCAACCCAGAAGGTGACACTTATCAGAAACTGACCATGCTGACACCCTGGTCTTAAACTTCTCAGGCAACAGAACTGTCAGAAATAAATGTCTATTGTTCATGAATTACCCAGTTTATGATATTTTGTAATAGCACCTTGTATTAGTCAGGGTTCTCTAGAGGGACAGAACTAATAGGATAGATGTATATATTAAAGGGAGTTTATTAGGGAGTATCGACTCAAATGATCACAAGGTGAAGTCTCATATAGGCCTTCTGCAAGTTAAGGAGCAAGGAAGCCAGTAGTGTCTCAGTCCAAGTCCCAAAAGCAGGGAAGCTAAGAGTGCAGCCTTCAGTCTGTGACTGAAGGCCTACAAGCCCCTGGCCACCACTGGTGTAAGTACAAGAGTCCAGAATCCAAAGAACTTTGATTCTGATGTTCAAAGGCAGAAAACATCCAGCATGGGAGAAAGACAAAGACCAGAAGACTCAGAAAATCCGCCTCTTCCACCTTCTTCTAACTGCTTTTTGTAATCAGCTGGCAGCCAATTGGATGGTGCCCACCACCTTGAAGGTAGGTCTTTCTGAAGGTGGTTTTTCCTCTCCCTGACTCAAATGTTAATCTCTTCTGGCAACACTCAGAGACATCCAGATACAGTCAGAAACAATACTTTGCATCCTTCAATCTAATCAAGTTGGCAATTAATATTAATCATCACACAGTCCAAATGGACTAAGCCAATATTAAATTCCAATAGTTAAATTCAGCTCTATGAGGACAAAGACTTTGAGTGTACATAACTATGTGACCTATTGTTTTCAAATCCTTTGGATACATACCTAGATGTGGGGATCATATAGTAATTCTATTTTTAGGTTTTTGAGAAAACTCCATGAGGCTTTATAATGCCTGTAAAGTTTACATGCCCAACAAAAGTAAATGGTGTGTTTCAAAACTGTAAGAGAGTGCATTTTGAATGTTGTCATGACCAAAAAAAAAATTCAATGTAATAAATATGTTATTTAGTTTGATTTTAAGCATTTTATACATATATCACAAAATCACTCAAATCCATAAATATATAAATATATGTCATTATAATTTGCCAATTTATAAGAAAATAATATTTTTAAAAAAGACTTCTTTACAATAAAAAAGATTTTGAGAAATTTGCCCCTCAAGGTACATGAGAATATGCAAGAAGAATTAGTGTTACTTAAGATTATCAATTCAAGTTTTCATCCATGTTTAGTTAAATCTGAATGTTCTTTTAAATCTTATTTTTGGAATGAAATGATCAATATAGAAAAATTAAACTTTTTAAATATATATATGTATTAGTATGTAAGATTTATGTCATATCTGTATAATTTCATTCAAATTACCTGAACAGAACATGGGTTGTGGTGAAAATTTATAAAATGGGATTACTACCCCTGGTTTCTTATTGAAATGAGGTTTCCAACCCAAAAGCTTCAAATTTTAACAGGAAAACGCTATGCATTATGTAACAAAAGCACCTAGACAGTTATGGTAAAGCTGATAGAGCTTGAAGATAAAATAAAATTTTACTCTGTAATAACATCAATTCCTAATAGCACTTTTTCATATTTTAAGTGAAAATATTATGCTTTTTAAAGAGAAGATGCTATAAGGAAATATAAATGATAGGCTTTCACACAAAAAAATGTTTGCTGGCAATATCCAGAAATGGGTATTAAAATGGACACAATGCATTTTACTACAGCCATGAGCTATGTAAGACATGATGTTCTTCTTAGTTTACTGTGTTGGGCAAGGCCCAGTGTTTCAATTCAGTTGAATCTGACTTTCACTCATTATTTAAATATGTTCCTTAATCTGCTTGAATCTTAGTTCACATATGCAAAATAGAAGTAAGCTAAATTTGATAGACATACATTGTAGAGCTTAGTTACAAGGCTCATACGTGGTCAAAGAGGGAGAAATGTGAGATGGAAAAGATATGCCCTGCATGGAAAACTGTTCCTTGTGAATAATCCAACTTTCCGGGTCCTGAGGAGAATCAATTTTTACTTGAAGTCTATCATGTGAAGACAGGTTGTAGAAAACACTTACAAAACGAATTGGACATACCAAAGAGGTGACTGAGTCTCCTTTAGTAGGGGAGAAGGAAGTTAAATAGAAGTTGGAGACAAGATTGCCCCAGTTCTTGGCTGCAAACCTGAGTTTTTTTTAATGGGGGTAAAGCAGAATCATTTTACTTATCATGGATGACACTTAGGTCAGCAGTGAAAGATAGGCAGACAGATACATAGGTAGATAGATAGATAGATAGATAGATAGATAGATAGATAGATAGATAGATAGATAGATGATAGATAGAAGATAAATTAGATCAACAGGTAGATGGATGGATGGATAAGAGAGATGGGCAGGTAGATGGATGGATAGATAGAAAGAAGACAGACAGGGGCCGGGTACAGTGGCTTATGCCTGTAACTCCAGCACTTTGGGAGCCCAAGGTGGGTGAATCATTTGAGGTCAGGAGTTCGAGACCAGCCTGAATAACATGGTGAAACCCGTCTTTAGTAAAAATCAAAAGAATTACCTGAGTGTGGTGCCACATGCCTGTAGTCCCAGTTACTTGGGAGGCTGAGGCAGGAGAATTGCTTGAACCTAGGAGGCAGAGGCTGCAGTGAGTTGAGATTGTGCCACTGAACGCTAGCCTGGGTGACAGAGGGAGATTCTGTCTGAAAAAGAGAAAGAAAGAAAGAAAGAAAGAAAGAAAGAAAGAAAGAAAGAAAGAAAGAAAGAAAGAAAGACAGCTAGATTCGATAGATTAATAACTACATGAACAGATAGACCGATGGATAGATAGATATAATGGATAGGTGATTGTTTCATTGATTGACAGATAGATGACAGATGGTAGATAGATAGATAGATAGATGATAGATAGATAGATAGATGATAGATTAGACAGATGGATAGCTATATGGGTGGATGGATGAAGAGAAGATAGATAGACAAATAATGAATAAATGAAGAATGGATAGATACTTAGATATATATCTGAATGTATGGTAGATAGATAAAGGATGAATAGAGAGATAGACCCATAGTTACATAAATACATACATACATAATGTATGCAAGATAGATAGATGGATGGATAGATAGATGTTAGGTAGATATTAAATGGGTGAATGATGGATAGATACATAAATAGATGGATGGATGTAGGTAGATAAATAGATGATGGATGGATTGATAGCTAGCTAGCTAGATATTAGATAAATAGATAATGGATGAATAGAGAGATAGACACATAGGTATATAAACACGTATATAATAAATAGATGGGTGATGAATAGATAGATACATAGTGAATCATGGGTGTATGATAGAGTGGACAGGTAGATTAGATAGATGATAGATTCATAGGTACATAGATAGACTAATGATAGATTAAATAGAATGATAGGTAGATAGATTATAGAATGAGTGGTAGATGGATAAACAGATAGATAATTAAGATGCACAAAGTTAACCATGAAAGTTTCACTTGAAAGCTACACTTTTCAGCTTTATTGTACAGTTTCCAGCTTCACTGAGGCATAATTTACATAAAACACCTTTTAAAGTATAAGTTTTTATTTTATTTTTATTTTTTTGAGACAGAGTCTTGCTCTGTTGCCCAGGCTGGAGTGCAAATGGTATGATCTCACCTCACTGCAACCTCCGCCTCCTAGGTTCAAGCGATTCTCCTGCTTCAGCCTTCTGAGTAGCTGGGATTACAGTGTGCCCACCACCATGCCTGGCTAATTTTTTATATTTTTAGTGGAGACAAGTGTTTCACCATGTTGACCATGCTGGTCTCAAACTCCTGACCTCAGGCGATCCACTGGCCTTGGCCTCTCAAAGTGCTGGGATTACAGGCTTGAGCCACTGCGCCCAGCCTAAAGTGTAAATTTTATGAGTTCTATTAATTTTACTATTCTGTGTAACCCCTGCCAATCAAGACAAACCAGCTGGAACACCCTAACACATTTCTTTATTCTTCTTGCAGTCAATCCTTTTACATGACTCCCTGCCCCAGAGAAGCACAGATGCATTCCCCATTCCTCTGGTTTTGCCTTTTCTAGAATTTCATATAAATAGCATCTTGCATGTAGGCAGACTTTTGTGCATGATTTATTTCATTCAACATAGTGTTTTTTTAAGATTTATCTACGTTGTCTCACTAATTGTTTTGCTTTTGATTTGTTGAAGAATTTTCATTGCAGGAAATGTATAAATTAAATATGTTTATTCATTGACTAGTTGATGGATCTATGGTTGTTTTTCTTTTAATTTTGTGAATAAAGCTGCTTTGAATTCATGTACAAGTTTTTGTAGGTGTATGTTTTCATGTTTCTTTGATAGACACTTAGAAGTGGGATTTTAGTATTTTGTGATTAGTGCATGATACAACCTCAGTCTTTCAAATAGATAAAACATTTATGAACAGTTGATTTCTTGCAGATTATATTTCTTATATCTCCTCTAAAATGTTAGCAAACAGTGATGTTACTATTAAGGATTTGATAGCCTAAGAAGATGTTCTAAAATTAGAATTATATTACTTGATGTGTTAAATGTACTTTATATTAACTCCATATGGTCAGTCAAATATTTATCTGAGAATAAGAGTACACCAGCATTTAATTTCTTCAATCACCACAGAAGTTTCTAGATTGTTTACATTGGCATCAACAGGATAGTATTGCAAACATACATCTCCAGTCAATGGTATGACCTAAATGTCCACCAATAGGTGGACATATGTAAAATTTCAACATATGTTAAATGTGTGTATTTTCAAGAAAGGTAGTTCCTTTAAAATACCCTATTTCATTCTAGACCACAGAGTGTATGTAAAAAAATGCAAGCTTATTATAAGCATCTTTGAAGTGTTTGTTCTATCCCTTTAGAGTACATAGTGAATAATTTTGGAGACTGGGTGACTATTTTTCATTCACCAGTTTCTTTTTCTCCAATTTTTCCTGTGTGACACTGATTCTTTTTATTCAGCAAAATAATGACTAACACTTTGAATACTTATTTTAAACCAATAAACAGAGACATAGGTTGTTGTTTGTTTATTAGGTTATTATGTTTTATTTATTTATTTATTTATTTTGAGACAAGGTATCGCTCTATCACCCATGCTGGAGTGCAGTGGCATAATCACAGCTCACTGCTGCATCTATTTCCCAGGCTCAAAAGATCCTCCAACCTCAGCCTCCAGAAGAGCTAGGACTACAGGCCTACATCTCAAAACCAGCCTTTTTTGTGTGTGTGCTTTTTGGAGAGATGAGGTTTTTCCATGTTGCCCAGGCCTGTCTCAAAGTCCTGGACTCAAGCAATCCTCCCATTTTGGCCTCCAAAAGTGAAGATCTATTTTTTAAAGATGTGGATTCCTTCTGCAAGCCAATAGGATGAAGAACATTTAAAAATATAAATATGGCTTTGAAATTGTCAGAGTTCATCATTCTTCAATGTGACTCACTTATTAGGCACATTATTTGCTTCCTCACATTGTGTATTCCCAAAATGCTGATTTTATTGTGGGTGTGATTGTTGGTATATGACTGTCTGATTAGAAACCATGAAAAAGTATTCAGTTCAACTTTTCTATGTTGTATATATTTACTGATTGTGAATAGATTACCATGTCATTTCTTGAGTTCAGAAGTGGCCAAAAGTACCCATGTGAAAAATTACATTTTTAAGTAAAACAATTATGCCATACTTGCACATTTATCTTTTCCCTCAAATGTAATTCAATACAATGTTTTACACCACCAATGAAAGTCACCATAATGGTACCTTTCCTTTTGCAAGGCAAGTTATAATCTGATTATCATCCTTGATTGAACAAGTTAAATCTAACTGAATCTTCTTTAGTCAGGGAAAGATTATGTTGTACCCTCTATCCGACGATGATTTTCTTGGAAAAGGCAGGCCAATATAAAGTATTAAAAGAATTAGTTGTTGTACTGTTTAAATATGTAATTTCAAGCACTGTTTACAGAATTCTCAATTTGTGGGGTCCCCAACGGCTAATGGTTGAAGAATATTCTTGAGAACATCAAGCTTCAAGGATATAACTTATTTCTTTTTTCTTTTTTTTTTTTTCTTTGAGACGGAGTCTCTCTCTGTCACCCAGGCTGGAGTGCAGTGGCACGATCTGGGCTCACTGCAAGCTCCGCCTCCAGGGTTCACGCTATTCCCCTGCCTCAGCCTCCCAAGTAGCTGGGACTACAGGCGCCTCCCACCGCGCCCGGCTAATTTTTTGTATTTTTAGTAGAGACGGGGTTTCACTGTGTTAGCCAGGATAGTCTCCATCTCCTGACCTCCTGATCCGCCCACCTCGGCCTCCCAAAGTGCTGGGATTAACAGGCGTGAGCCACTGCACCTGGCTTTATTTCTTCATTAAACTAGGGCAGGAGAGAAATAAGGGTTTAGAAAATAATTAACTTTAAAAATATCCTTAAATTAATAACTCTTTTTTCATTTTTAAAAATCCCCTGAGCATAAGAATACATGAGCGCTTTCCATTTTAAATGAATTTTTATCTTTTCGATGTTTATTAAGATGTTACAGGATTTGCCGTTTAATCCAGAAGTTGTTCTATCATCAGAAAATAACATGCTACTAAAGAAAACGTAAACTTATTGGATAAATTCACAGATATATATTGTGTAGATTCTAAAAGCTGATCTATATTTATTACATTATATTTGCTTTTAAAACCTACTACTTATGGCTTCAGGAAAAAAATCCCAGGTTATTTTTTTTCTAATCTTGTTTTATTCTCCTGAGATTGATAAGTAACTTATTTATCATGACTAATCTATCATGGCATGGCACATGTTGCAAATGTACTCCACATTTTGAGAGTAATATTGATGTATGGATACTTTTAGGCCGTATGGCTATGAGGAAAACTCAATGATCTGGTCGAATACTTCACAAAAAAATGTTGCTTTGTTTTAGAATATAGTTATGTTTTAAATTTGAGATTGGTCTCTCTCTCTCTCTGTCTCTCTCTTATATGTATGTGTATGTATACATGTGTGTAGGATATACATATCTATTAACTATTTATATATCTGTCATTTACCCATTTCTATCTATAACTTTTCTAAGCATTTGGATATATACTTACAATTGAAAATTATTCTACAGTTTTATACATATATATCTAAATATATACATCTAATATATATATAAATATATATATATAATTATATATAAATATATATTTTATTATACACATAAATAATATATTTATAAAAATATATTAGATATATTTAGATATATATGTTTAAATATATATATTTAATATACATTTAATATAGATATATATGTTTAAATATACATATGTTTAAATAGATATCTCTCTGTATATATAACTGTAGAATAATCTACAATTGAAAGTATATATCCAAATGCTTAGAAAAGTCATAGATAGAAATGGGTAAATGACAGATATATAAATATATATCTAAATATATATAGATATACATTTGACAGATATATATGACAAATATATAAATATATATCTAAATATATATAGATATCTAAAATATAGATATCTAAATATATATAGATATCTAAAATATAGATATCTAAATATATATAGATATCTAAAATATAGATATCTAAATATATATATATATATAGTTTTTCTTTTGTTGTTTGTTTTTGTTTGTTAATTTTTGACAAACAGGCTGGAGTGCTGTGGCGCAATCTCAGCTCACCGCACCTCTGCCTCCCAGGCTCAAAGGAGTTTCACGACTCGGCCTCCTCAGTGGCTGGAATTACAGGCCTGTGTCACCACATCTGGGTAAATTTTTTGTGTTTTTAGTAGAGATGAGGTTTTTCCACGTTGCCTAGGCAGATCTCAAATTCCTGGCCTCAAGTATGTTTGGTTTTTAAATCTTCCATAAATAGTACTAACCCATGTATATCTTCATATAACTTGCTCTTTTAGCTTAACATTAGTTTTTTCAGGTATATTCATGTTGAGATGTGTGTGTGTGTGTGTTTGTGTGTGTTTATACACACACAGAGTATATTTTGTTTTTATATCTTCCATAAATTATATCAACCCATATATATCTTTACATAACTTTCTCTTTTAACTTAACATTAGATTTTGCAGGTATATTTGTGTTGAGATGTGAGATTGTGTGTATGTGTGTGTGTGTGCTTATACCTACACAGAGTTTCCCCAAATACAGTGTTTTGATTTTATGATGGTGTAAAACTGATATGCATTCAGGGGAAACCGTACTTAGATTTTTCAGTGCTGATCTTTTCCTGGGCTAGCAATATGTAGTAGGGCATTCTCTCCAGATGCTGGACAAGAGTAGGGAGCCAAAGCTCCCAGTCAGCCCTGAGATCATGAGGGTAAGCAATTTGACTCCACAGTGAAATGTGTTGCCAAATGGTTTTGTTCAACTGCAGGCTAATGTGACTGTTCTTAGCACATTTTAAGGTACGCTGGTCAAAGTCATCATGTTCAGTAAGCTAAGTATATTCAGTGCATTTTCAATTTACAATATTTTCAACTTACAATAGGTTTATCAGAATGCAACCCCATCATAGCCCATCAAAAAGCCTATGTACTTACATAAAGTCATACATTGCTTAATAAGGGGGATACACTCTGAGAAATGCAACATTAGGTGGTTTTACCATCGTACAGACGTCATGGAGAGTACTTACACAAACATAGGTGACACACATATTTTCATTTATTTATGTTTTTATGTGAAAAGCTAAATTTCTCAGCACTATTGCTTAATATCAGTCATTTTCCCTACTTGATCTGCAATGCCAGTATCAAGTGTGATATATTAGGTTTCTGTGTATGCTTCATTATAACCTTTAACTTTTAGGACTATATATATAAATATGTATATGATATATATGAGATACACATTTCCACATATATGCATATACATACACATATATACACACACATATACATAAAACAGTCTTTGCTTGATATGGCTCTATATTAATAAACAATAAGTATTTTATTTATTCCTCTTTTTTTTTTTCTGAGACAGGGTTTCACTCAGTTGCCAGACTGGAGTGCAGTGGCATTGTCATAGCTCACTACAGCCTCAACTTCTTGGGATAAGGTGATCCTCCAGTCTCAACCTCCCAAGTAGCTGGGACTGCAAGTACATACCACATCACAACATCTGGCTAACAGTTTTTTTGTTTTGGAGACAGAGTGTCTCTCTGTCCAGCCTGAGTTCAGTGGACAATATCGGCTCACTGCAACCTCTGCCTCCTGCATTCAAATGATTCTCATACCTCCGACTCCCAAGTAACTGGGACTACAGGCATCGGCCACCATGTTCAGCTAATTCTTTTTTGTGTGTGTATTTTAGTAGAGACAGGGTTTCACCATGTTGTCCAGGGTGGTATCAAACTACTGAGCTCAGGTAATCTGCCCTCCTCAGGCTCCCAAAGTGCTTGTAGGATTACAGGTGTGAGCCACTGCACTTGGTCTTGGCTAACTTGTAGAGTTAGGATTTCTTGGTCACACAGGCTATTGGTTCCTGTATTGATGAAAAATAAGATTACTTCCTGCTCACCTCTTACAGTATTCAAACTGTTAAATAAAATCTCCAAATGTTTCTCAGTGCAGAGACTGATGTGGAGTGCTTGTGTTTGACAGCTTTCATTTCTTTGGGGCATGTAAAATGTCAAGGAGAAACAGCCTAATTTTCTCTGTGGTATATATGATCAATGAGTGATACTTAATAATTTAGTACACAAACATATGTATGACATTTCCCGAACTACAGAGGCCAACAAAAGTCCGCAGAAGCCCTGTTCCTTGGGAGAACACTGTTTTCTCTACCCTCTGGGATTCACGCAGAGGAATAAGGACATCCTTCGGCAACTGCGTGTCAGCTTTGGGGTAACTTAGGAAAAGACTTACCATGTTTCTGTTTCATCCCTCATTCTACATAGCCTGAATGAGTGTTCTTGTTTATTTGAGCATTTACGTGTCCATCTTCCTCTCTGTACATGAAAGCACCTATCCTTCATTCTGTAGTAAAAACACCCTTGCTATAATTGTCTATCTACACCCAGCTTTTTGTACCAAATATTTGGATGATTCAACCCTTTGCTTGTTGTCATGACCACTAGCACAACCCTTGTCTTTATTTTTGGCAATAACCAAGTTCCTACACTCCTTCTCCTTAAGTAACTTGAAACTTGCTTTCATTTTTCCTCCATCCCTCCCTGGTATCTCCAAACAATGAATCTTTTTTTTTTTTTTTTTTTAAGACAATGTCTCACTCTGTTACCTAGGCTGGAGTGAAGTGGTGCTATTTCAGCTCACTGCAACATCAACCTCTCGGGTTCAAGCGATTCTCCTGCCTCAGCCTCCTGAGTAGCTGGGACTACAGGTGTACACCAACCAACCTGGCTATTTTTTGTATTTTTAGTAGGGACAGGGTTTTACCATGTTGGCCAGGCTGCTCTCAAATTCCTGACCTCAGGTTATCTGTCCGCCTTGGCCTCCCAAAGTGCTGACATTACAGATGTGAGCCACTCTGCTCAGCCTAAACCATGAATCTTCATTACAAAAGTTGTATTGCCTTCTTCTCTGTTCCTACGTGACAGTCTCAGACAATCAAATTCTGTCATTCAGCTAGTATTTTCTAGTATTCCAATTCTTGCACAACTTCAATGTAATCTACACTGGAATATAAAATCCACTCACCTGACCTTTGTTCATTGTCTCTTCTCTCCCATATTTGGAAGTAGGAACTGTTTGAACAGCCCTGTATAACAAATAACATCGGCATTTACTTAGTACCTCTAGGAAATCTTTTGTGATTAACTATAATCCCTCTTCCAAATCATTTTGAAGTTTTAGGAAATATCATGGATAATCAGGTAATTTTATTTGATTAATTGGCTATTTGATAAATGTTCTATTTCTCTGTAACAGCTCCACTAACAAAACAAGTTAAACTCCAACGGGCTTTAAGTTCTCTCCAATGTCACAGAATATATTCCCAGTTTGCTATTCTTTTCTTAAGAGTGCATGGTATGTATATTGATATATCCCTTTTTACTGTCTTTATGTGACAATTATAAATAAATACTGATCAATAAATATATATTGCTTTGAGTGAGTGAATGAGTATTTTGGGTCTAATTTGTAATATGCCTATTCTCAATCTCTTTTATATTGTTATCATTTCTTATTCTATATTTCTGCTGTAATCTAATTTTTGTGCAAAACAAAGATTGTTTCTTCCTCAAGTTGCTAATTTTTGCCAGTTAAACCTACTTGCTGGAATCAAAAGTACATTTTCATGTAAATGTAGTCACGTTTGTATTTTTGGTAAAAACTTAATCTTTTTAAATTGCCTAAGATTCCTCTATTGATTTTTTTTCCTCTTGATGGAATTAATCTTCTCATTGTAAATTAAATAGCAGTACAATTTTGTAGGACCAATCCTATTTTTAAAATGCCTTGTTTCATCAATTCTATATATTTCCTAAAAGCCACAAGGCTATAACATCCTTCAGTTTTATCTGACAATGTTTCCACAAAAATTTTTACACATATTCAGAAATATTTCATAAATTTTGTTATTGACTGAAGGTTTCTGTTTCTTCAAAACATATGTTGAAGCCCTAATCTCTAATGAGCTGGTACTAGGAGTGGGGGTCTTTGGGAGGAAATTACGTTTAGATTAGGTCAGGAAAATGGGACACCATATTGGGATTAATGTTATTAGAAGAAGAGGAAGAGAAACCAGAACTTCTTTTCACTGCTATGTGAGGGCACAGTGAGAAGGCAGCCATCTGCAGATAAGGAAGTGACACCTCACCAAACACTGAATCTGCTAGTACCTTAATCTTGAACTTACAGCCTCTGGAACTGTGAGAAATACATGTCTATTGTTTAAGCTGCCAAGTCTATTTATTTACTTATTTTATTTATTTATTATTTTGAGACAGAGTCTCACTCCGTTGCCAAGCTAGCGTGCAGTGGTGTGATCTCAGCCCACCGCAACCTCTGCCTCCTGGGTTCAAGCAGTTCTCCTGCCTCAGCCTCACAAGTAGCTGGGATTACAGGCATCTGCTACCACATCTAGCTAATTTTGTTTCTGTATCTTTTTCCCACGTTTCTTTTTTTTTTTTCAGTTATACTTTAAGTTCTGGAATACATGTGCAGAATGTGCAGGTTTGTTACATAGGTATTTATACACCTGCCATGGTGGTTTGCTGCACCCATTAACCTGTCATCTACATTAGGTATCTCTCCTAATGCTATCCCTCCCCTAGCGCTGGCTTCAGAAATGGCACTACACATCTACAACTAACTGATCTCTTTTTTTTTTTTTTTTTTTTTTTTTTTGTATTTTTAGTAGAGATGAAGTTTTACTATGTTTGCCCTGCTGGCCTCAAGTGATCTACCCACTTTGGTCTCCCACAGTGCTGGGATTATAGGCATGAGTCACCAAGCCCAGCCTAAGCTGTCAAGCCTGTGGTATACTACTGCAGCAGCCAGAACTGACTAAGACATATATTATTAGGATTTACATATATTTCCCACAGAACACAGTTGAAATACACACCCATTGTGTTTAATATTTAACAAGTTATTACTGAACTTCACTTTTTTTTTCTTGTCTATGAATGTATTGTTGAATTTCCTTATGGGAATCTTTTTATAAAATGCTATGTCACTTCAGCCCTGTGAAGTCTGTGTGTATACTACAGGATGATTGCTGAAGACTTTGTTTTCCCCCATTTTTACTTGAGTTAGGATCTTGGTTGTGGTTAAGTATGTCAGAAAGCTACATCAGAGTGAGATCTGAGTGATGACAGCTGTCACTGGGCAGGGGTTCTGTGACTTGAGTTTCTTAGTAGGGGTTTTTATGGGAACAGTTCTGCATTTAGCTTGGTATTTCTCCTGCATGGGTCACTTCTGGTTTTGAAACATCCATATTAATTTTTAAAGTTCTTACAAATTTGATTAACTAACAACCACAAGTAAATTCATTTCTGCTTAACCTACTTGGAAGACCTGCTATTTTAAAGGCTAATTCATGGAAATATGAGTTTAATCATCCTAGATTTAATTAATGGTTCAGTTAGTGCTTTTATAGGGGAGCGCTAGGATTCCTACTATAAGGCTAATCTTTTCTAAGCTCGTCATTCTTTTGCAGTTACAATTTCATCTCTCTTGTATCATATCTATTTTTTGCATTATTCATAAACTGGCACTTGAATTTTAAGAGATACGTTGTTAAGCAAAATTTTAAAATGTTACAGTTAGTCCATAATTAGTCCAAAGAAATATATATTCATCTCAAGGACATTAAGTCAAGCCAATATGTTGCAAAACCTATTTTGTGTGTATTCCCTGACTTTAAAATTAGGTTTTCAAAAAGATTACTCCCAAGGATTTGAGATCAAACCTCAACCCTCAACCCTCATATTATACTGACATTTTAAGAGCAATCATTTGCAATATATATAGGTATGTCCACATTAAATGCCCATGTATATTTTTGGGTAGTTTTCATTATATATTTTTCATTATTGTTCTGAGTTAAGAATCTCTAAGTTATTACTAAAAATTCCCTGAGATGATACTTCCTGATCATTTATGACTCTACATGTTTCTCCAAAAATAACAATTGTGTATTTTAGCATGTGGTTACAAGCTCCAAATAAAAGCCTGTAGGTTTACAAGACTTGGGATTTATCTCTACTTTCTGTGATAGGTGTCAAATGAATGCCGTCTTATTGGATTTGTTTTTCCAGCAGCCGATATTTCTCATCCACAAGAAGCTCCAGTTCAATTCAAAATTTTGTATTAATAACCCGAATATCTACCAAGTCAAGAAAATTTTTTTAGAAAAGCAAAGAATTTATGAACTTACCACATTAAAATAATAACTTTTAATGTCTGGAGGCATTGCTTTCATGTCTAATTTTTTTTTCTTTGAGCAGAGATAAATGACTTACATATTCGGTATCATATATTATATGCTACCTTATTTGCTACCTTATTTGCTAACTTATATGCTACCTTATTTGTCTTCTGTTGATTTAACATTATATATCACTCTCTTTCCCTTTGTGTGTGTGTGTATATATGTAATATATAACATATATTATATATTACTCCTATATTTATATTGTATAAATATATGAATATGTAATATTTGTTATAAGTATAATATAGATAACATGCAATTTATCATTGTAACCATTTTAAATTATACAATTCAGTGGCACACAGTACATTCACAATATTGTGCAACCAACCAACACCCCTATCTAATCCCAGAACATTTTCAAAACATATGTATTTATTTTGTAAATATGTATTTATTTTGTAAATATGTATTTATTTTGTAAATATGTATTTAAACATATATTCATATATATTGATATATTTATATATAAATATCTACATATTTATATATAAATATGTAAAAATGTATTTATATATTATATATAAATATATAAAATGTATGTATTTATATATAATATATAAATATATAAATATATAAAATGTACATATTTATATATACTTATTTCTAAAATATATATTTATATATTTAATATATGTATTTATTCCTAAAATATATATTTATATATTTTTAATATATTTATTTATTCCTAAAATATATATTTATATACTTACATTTATTGATTTGTAAAATATATTATATATTTATCTAATATATTTATTTGTAAAATATATGTATTTATACTTATCTTTTATGTATATATACTTATCTTTTAAATATATAATTATTTTAAAATTATATACATATGAATTTATTTTTAAATATATGTTTTATGCCATGAAGTATCAAAAGTGTATATAAGTATAGGTTTTTAAAAACCTGCAACAAGCATTTCAATAGCAATTCTCATTCAACTCAGGAAAAAGAGAAATAAAACTAGGCAGTGATTTTTATCAAAAGTGTGAGGTGAAGGAGGCCTTAGATTCAACAATGAGATAAGAAATGTAAGCAACATTTTGGAAGTTGATGTATGGGGTGAGAATTGCCCTATTAGAATATGGCACGTTATATCTTGTTTTTAGGTCTCTATGCTCACTGATCAACAAAATGCCTGTCTTTTTAAGTAACTTTTGCAACCCTAGGATAAGCACAGTTAGTAAGCTTTAGCTACACCCTTTGTGGAGAATTTCGGACAGTTAGCAATGTGATCTTTCTTTCTTTCTTTTTTTTTTTTTTTTTTTTGCATAATTCAGTAGGTGCATTTGCATTGGTGTTTGCTTTGGATTCCCTAGAAGCACGTTCAGAACAGAGGTTCATAGGAAATTTGTTAGAGAGTGTTCCTGGGAAAAACACACAGTAAAATAGGAACATTTCTGAGGTCATATGGTAAATCTGTGTTTATCCTGTTGTGGGATCTTCAAATTGTCCTCCACAAAACCTGTACCCATGTTACTTTCCATTCTCATCAGTGATGAACAAGGTTTCACTGACGTGGAATAACCTTGAAAACATCATGCTTAGTGAAAGAAGAAAGACACAAAGGCCCCGTATCACATTACTCTACTATATGAAATTTCCAAAATAAGGACTTTCTCAGAGACAGAGAAAGACCATGGAGGAGAACATAGAGTGTCACTTTGCCATACACTCCACTGCATTTTTTTTTTTTTTTTTTTTGACCAAGAGCTGCTTTGAGATTTATGCTGTTTGGATCTGGGTCAATCTTTGGCTTATCAATAAATTTTAGTCTCTGTTAGCCTTACCGTCTTTAAGAAAATAAGTTATTCTGTGTTCATATCTGTATTTATTCCGTTTTGAATAATTTTATATAAAAGATACAAGGATTATTTTAATGTTACTGCACTGAAAACTGAGTGCAAGATTACTTAGCAGAACTTTTACAAGTTTCTGTTGACCTTGTTGACTGACCATGACAACTACATATTATGTAATAAATTAATTTATCATAAAAACATATATGTGATATATGTAATATGGATATATATATAGCATCACAAACAGAATTTGAAAACAAATGTATGCCACTTTTCAGCTTCAAAAACAGGGCTGGAAGCTCGGGGACTTCCCATATCCCAGGATGGGAACTCCCCCAGTTCTGCCCCTTGGCAATTGAATGGTCCAGGGCAGCTGGCCTTTGTGAAAATTGGGAATATAAATTAGTGCACTTTTAACTATTGGCTGTGAGTGAAGTGCTGCAGGGAATCCCAGTTGGTAAAATGGACACTGAGGGAATTTCCTGCCCGGATGGTGTTTGCTGACTGCTTATAAGTTAATGTGTCAAGACAGGACCTGTTGCTACAACAGAAATGTAAACTGGAAAAGGAAAATGCCAATATGATTTCCAGTCTGGCCCTGGCCCAATGCCAGGCCTATATATTAACTGATCAGGCTCAAAGCTATCAGCCTATTGCTGAAAAATGCAGCTGTCCAAGTGGACTGGTCAGGGTAAAACTGAAGGCCTAGTTATCCAGGGCTTGAAGCAGGTAAAAACCTAGCTCCTATTTCAAGGATTGGAATCAGCCATAATAAAATTCAAGGACCTGCTAAAATACTATAATTTGAAACTGCTACCAACAAAAAGGAGGCCCAGAAATTTGTTGGCTGGTTTAGCTTCTGGAGACATCATATTTTCCATTTGGGTGATATTTTACAGCCTCTGCACGCAGTTGTTAGAAAACACTATAACTTTCCCTGGAGAAAGAAAGAGACCAAAGCCTTTGAGCAAGCTGAACAAGCAATGTAATTAGCCCTAGGCATTTGGCCTATATGGGATGAGGCAATAGAATTGCAGGTAACCATCCTGGAGCAGCATACAAATTGGAGCCCTTGGCAAAAAACAAGATAGAGAAAGAGTGCCTTTGGGGTTTTGGACCCAGAAATTGCCAGAGGCTGGGAAAGATTATATTCCCTTGGAAAAGCAGCTGTTGGCCTACTACTGGGCTTTACAGGAAAGAAAACACCTTTGTTTTATTCATGATGTTTTTATGAGACCCGACATTCCTATTACAATGCAGATCATAAGCTCCCCAAAACTCATCAGATAGGGCACACTCAAGGAAGTAGCATCATAAAATGGAAATGGTATATACAAAATAGGGCTAAGCCAAGACCAAAGAGGGTATCATTTTTTACATGAGGATGTGCAAAACTTGCCAACTCAGGAACACTGAGCAAGTTCTGCAGATGGGGAAGGAAATTTTCTGCATGCAATGGGGCAAATCCTTTGAAGAACTAAGCCCAGAGGATCAGAAATATTCTTGGTTCACTGATGGATCTGCCAAATACATTGGTGGGACCCGATGCTAGAAGGCCAGGGCTTATAATCCTGTTAAAAAACATAAGCATTTCTGATGAAGGAAAGGGTGGGAGCAGCCAGATAGCTGAACTAGTAGCCAACTTCTGGGCTATTCAGGAGGAGGTCAGAGGAATCTGTCACTTGTGTATCAACTCTTGGTCAGTAGTAAATAGTCTTACTACCTGGATGCCCCAGTGGCAAAGAAAGAAATGGTTTACTGGGAATAAAGAGGTTTGGGAATAAACAATACTGGGAAGATATCTGGATCCTTGTGCACACTATCATTATCACTGTTTTCCATGTTGATGCTCATGCATCTCTGCTTTTTGTTGATAGTCTATTAATCAGCAAGCAGATCAATGGCCAAAATTTCCACATAACTGAAAACAAATGCAGATGAATGGATTAAAACATGTTCAAGCCGTGCAATGAGAGGCATTATAGTCTATGGTAGTATATTGATAGTGATTACTGGGGAGAGTTAAAAATCATTTCATAAAATACCAACCCAGATTCTTTTGCCATAAAGCCACAGATGCAGATTGCCCAGCTACTGATAGTACCCTGTCAACAATTAAGCCCCAAGGAAATTTCTGCCCTGATTAAAAACAGTATATAGAACTGGAGAATTCCGTTCCACTGGAGTGGGCAACTTAAGACTTGGAGCCAAACTATGGGTAAAACATCTATCAGATCCTGCCCCTAGGGTGGGCAATCATATAGCTATGGGGAAGAAAATGAAGGGGTGGTACAATTTTCTAAAGAAAAAAAAAGTTCTCCTCTGTTTTTGTTATTACAGAGAATAACCTGTCTGCTAGTAATCAGTACCTAGATTGTCATGTCTGAGGCCAAAAATGAATTCAATAAATAGGTGGCCACTGCCACAAAAGAGGCCAACTGCACTCAATTCTCGCTATGTGTTGAGTTGCTTGCATGTAGAAAACTCTCTTAACAATAGTAGCACTGGACTTATGTTTCTATCAGATGAATTTGCTCAGCTGCATGTTGTTGTGTTGCAAAATCAACATTAAACATGCTTACGAAAGCCCAAGGAGGGGTCTATGCCTTACTGCATACTGAGTGTTGTGTGCATATCTCTGACAATTCTCCCAAAATTACTCTCCTTGCCTAAGACATGCAGAAACAGGTAAAACAGTTAGCATCTAACCATCAGGACTGCATTATAAATTGTCTGTCCAATTGGCATTGGTGTTGGCCATGGTGGGTGTGATTTTTATTAATTGTGCTTTTAATTCTCCTGTGCTTACCCTGTATCTGTAATCTATATCAACTATGCCTTCCCCATGTATCTATACACATTTTGTCTTAAAACTATGTGTCAAATTGAGGCCAAATGTGGAGGAAGAGTTAAATATTAAATTTGAACTCAATTGAACATGGACATAAACAATGGTCACCAAGTCCCAGAACAGGTTGCATGAGCCTCTTGAGGCATTCATCCAAGATTGTTGAGGAGAATTCTCTATTTCAATCTGTTCTTATACATTAGTCATTGAAAAAAAACCAGACAATCTGTGGGTGCCAAGCCATCCAGGTGCCAAGGCAAGAGACTGAGGACATGAGCTGCTCCAGTATAATAAAATACAAAATAAGAATAGTTATATCAGATATAGATCTTAGATATGATTATATATGAATATCATTAATCATTAGCTTGTAGCAATTACTCTTTATTCCAATATTACAATAATCCTTGCTCTATAATCATAACCTAGGAAAAATCAGGCCATATAGAGATAGAAGCTGAGGAGATATAGTGAGAAGTGACCAGAGGACAAGAATGCAAGCCTTCTGTTATGCCCAGACAGGGCCACCAGAGGGCTCCTTGGTCTAGCGGTAATGCCAGCCTCTGGGAAGACGCCATTGCCAAGTGGACCATGGTCTAGCGGTAGCCTTAGTGTCAAGGAAAAATACCTGCTACTTAGCATACCGGGAAAAGGAGTCTCCCTTTCACCCTGGGGAGTTTAGAGAAGACTCTACTCCTCTACCTCTTGTGGAAGGTCTGACATTAGTCAGGACCACCCGCAGTTATTTGGAGGCCTAACCATCTCTCTGTGATGCTGTGCTTCAATGGTCAAGCTCCTAGTCCACCTTCATGTTCCATCTTGTACACCTGGCTCTGCCATTTAGTTAGCCGTAGCAAATTAATGAAAGTACTAAAAGTCTCTGATAAGCAGAAATAATAACTTAAGCTGTTTCTCTCTTTCTCCTTTGTCTCTCTGCCTTGGCTGCCAGGCAGGGAAGGGCCCCCTGTCTAGTGGACAAGTGATCCATGTGGCCTTACCTATCATTGGAGATGGCTCACACTCCTTATCCTGCCCCTTTCTCTTGTATCCAATAAATATCAGCGCAGCCTGGCATTCGGGGCCACTACTGGTCTCTGCGTCTTGGTTGTAGCGGTCCCCCAGGCCCAGCTGTCTTTTCTTTTATCTCTTTGTCTTGTGTCTTTATTTCTACAATCTCTTGTCTCCACACACTAGGAGAAAACCCCCCGACCCTGTGGGGCTGGACCCTACCACAATCACCAAAACAAGTTAACCATTTTGTGTTTCTTCAGCCCAGTCACAAAGGGCCCTAATGACTGGGCCTCATGCCAAACAAAGCATTACAAAAAAGCTAGGGTCCCAGACCACACTAAACCTTGATTTTTTGTTTGTTTGTTTGTTTGTTTGTTTTTTGAGATGAAGCCTGGTTCTGTTGCCCAGGCTGGAGTTCAGTGGTACAATCTCAGCTCACTCTAACCTCCCCATCCTGGGTTTCAAGTGATTCTCCTGCCTCAGCCTCCCAAATAACTGGGATTACAGGAGTACATCACCAGGCCCCCCTAATTTTTTTGTATTTTATTTCTAGTAAAGATGAGGTTTTACCACGTTGGTTGGGCTGGTCTTGAAATCCTGACCTCAAGAGCTCTGTCCACCTCAGCATCCCAAATTGCAGGGATCACAGGCATGAGACACCATGCTCAGCTCTATGACTGATTTTCTTATTTTTTATTGCCCTGTATGCCTACAACTATGTAAAAAAAAAAAAAAAACTACTTAAGAAGCTCAAGCCCGGTAAGATAAATTCCTGATTAGCTAACTCAGAACTCACAGTTGGGATTTGGTTTGCGTCTTGGTTTTTACTTTTTTATTTGAACAGAAAGCAAATTGGAGGTTGCCAGAGACTAGAAAGAAGGACTGTGAGTTGGCTGCTAATGAATACAAGGTCTTCTTTTTGGGTGATAAAAGTGTTCTGGGACTAGATAGAAGTGGTGTTTGCACAATTTTGTGATTACCCTTAATGCCACTGAACTATATACTTTAAAATGATTAAAATGGTAAATTTTATGTTATATGTGTTTTACTGCAATGAAAGATAAACTTTATCTTTCATTGCAATAAAAGATATATAAAAATACATACTTATATAATAAATCAATATTTATATAGATATTTATATAAACATATTGAATATATTTAAAATAACATATTTACATTACATAAAATTTATATAAAATGTTTATATATTTATAAATGTACATGTGCTATACATATTTGTGTGTACATATAAATATAAACATTAACATAAATATAAATGTAAATTAATTATAACAGCATTTCCAGCCTACCACAAGTGTGGCCACAAAAACTTCCCAGCATGTTTGAACTCTTTGTGGCTGCTACAGTCTACAGTAAACTACTGCAATGCTACAGAGTTAACCAAAATGTATTTTCACACTGCTGGAGGATAGAAGTCTAAAATTAGAGTTTGCAGGACACTGCTCCCTCTGAAGGCTCTGGGGAGGATCATTACTGCCTCTTTAAAATTTTGTGGTCTGCAGGCACCTCTTGGTTTGTGGCTTCATCATTCCAGTCTTCAAGGCCAACATCTTCAACTCTCTCTCCTCCATTTTGACATTGCATTCTCTTGTCCATGTATGTCCAAACCTCTCTTTATCTCCCTTCCTTAAGGATTCTTGTGATTACTTTGGGCACAGCTGGATAATCCAGAGTCATCTCCCATCTCAATATCCTTTCTACATCTTATCTGCAAAGTGTCTTTCCCCATGCAGTCACATATCCCTAGCTTCTGGGGATTTGGATTGGATGACATCTTTGAAGATGACTTTATTTAGCCTAACTACACCCAGGTTGAAGGCTCTCTCTTGCTGAACCAACTAATAAACCCAACTTTTTCAACTACATGTGTCTTCTTGGTGGTCTTTGGCTAGAGGACATTGAAACATTAAGTTTGAAAATAAAAACAGAGACTGCCCTCTGAGTAAATCTCAGAGGTCGACTGATCAGGAAATAACCTTTTATTGTTCATTGCCCTGTATACCTACAACTATGCCAAAAAAAAAAAAAATTAAGATGCTCACAGCATTGTGAGATCAATTCCTGATTTGCTTACTCAGAATACGCACACTACCATTATGACTTTTGTCTTGGTTTTTATTTTTTTATGTGAACAGTGATTCTGATGTGGCTGCTTTTCAGTGATGTGCATTGAGGTGCTTTACTCTCTACCACAGATAAAAATTAATGTAAATGATTTCAATCCACTCCACTGTAGTTCACTGGACCAAGCTTATTAATTCAACTGTGAATAGCTGGAAATGTGGAACTTGCATTTTAGATTTTTCCAAAGTCTCATTTTTAATACTCACACATTTTAGGGTGTTCAAGAGAAAATAAATGATTGCCTTAAAGGGATAATTTATCATGACTCTGCATGTGAAAGGAATTGCATTGAATTTTTCCCCCAATAGTAGAAATAGCCCAATTCCTATGGCAAAATAGTAATAATCTATTTATAGCCAGAGTTAGGTAAGAAAAGTGCAGTCCTTTTTAGTTTCCCTAGGTAAGCATTGATCAAATTGCATTTTTCATTAATGAGAGTATCTATGAAATCAGTAGAGATTAAGTGTATGAATAATTGTCAAATAGTTGCACAGAAAGCAAAAGAACTTTCAATAAATTTGTTTCACTTTTTCCCCCAGGTATTTTCCTCTCCCCTTATTCTTTCCGTCCTCTGCTAATTTATTTATGAAGCAATTTATTGAACTTCTATTAAGTGAAAGGCCATGGGGAAATCAAAATATGTGAGGTAGATTCCTACCCTCAAAGAGCTGATCACAAAGAAGAGACAGACTCCTAAAAGAGGCAAAAAAACTAAAAAGGAGACATGATAATAATAAATTAATGAATAGGGTGGCAGTTTTCATCATAGTCAATGTTGAAGAAGACACAGCTTTGAAAAGGCTTGCACCTCAGTTAGTTTGAAACTAGGATGGTGAGTTTTTGATAACCTTGTAAGAGGCCAGGCATGGTGGGTCATGCCTGTAATCCCAGCACTTTGAGAGGCCAAGATTGGTGGATCACCTGAGGTCAGGAGTTCAAGATTAGCCTGGCCAACATGGGGAAATTCTATATCTACTAAAAATATAACATTAGCTGAGAGTGGTGGAAGGTGTCTATAATCTCAGCTTTTCAGGAGGTTGACGCAGGAGAATTGCTTGAACTTGGGAGGCAGAAGTTGCAGTGAGCCGAGATAGAACCACTGTACTCCAGCCTGGGAAACAGAGCAAGACTCAGTCTCAATTAAAAAAAAAAAAAAAAAAAAAGAATGAAAGAAAAAAGAAAACCTTGCAAGAAGACTAGCAATGTCAACTTATGGGTCTTATTCATAGAGTTATGCAACTTGGAGGCAAATGAGAACCAGTATCCTTTCACCTGCAAGCATCCTCAAAAATCAGAATATCCTTCAATATTTTCTCCTCCAATATTGGCTTATAAGTAGAAACATCTAAAATACAGTTATGCATCATTTAACTGCATGGTTAAATTCTAAGAAATTTATCACGAGGCAATTTCATCATTGTGTGAACATTAAATGGTACACTTACACACACCTAGATGGTCTAGGTTATTGCACACTTGGGCTACACACCAGTACAGCAAATAACTGTATGGAACACTGTAGGCAACTTAATACAACAGTAGATATTTCCATACTTGAATATATTTAAATAAAAACACAGTACATTAAAAATACTGTTATTATAATCTTCTGGGGCCCCCACTGTCTGTGGGGTCTACTTTGCTGTGATTTACACAACAATATTATAGCGTGCAAAAATATTGTGAGAGGCTTGAGAAAACCTGATCATTGGTAAAAAGCTGAAACAGTAGGTTATTTGAAGGAGGTTGAACATATTTGGGGACCTATAAGATAATTTTAGGATTTTGCCATGAAGACTAATCACATAGGAAAAAAACAAAATTAAAACCTCATTGCAAGTATGCAAAATCTTAGAGAGAGATTCAAATTTTAACTTTTTTTAACTTTTAAAACTTTTTTTAAGTCTAATGTTAATCTGAAAAGAATGTTTTTCTGTTTGTGCCAGTACAAATCAATAGGACTGGATAAACTGGTTTTAAGTCTGTTATTCTTATAATACATTTATAGATTTAATCTAGGTAATATACTTTTTAGGGGACTTAACCACTTTGTGTTTATATATGGCCATTATAGTATGTTGCAAACATATATTCTGAGTAAGTACTTTGGGTTGTGTATACATAGATCTTCAGATTCTCTGATTTACTTGATAAAATACTTCAGTGGGCATAGAACTTCACATGTCAATGTACAGATTTTTTATAAAAACAACCTTTTAATTATACTTTATTTTATTTTATTTTATTTATTTTTTTGAGAGGGAGTCTCGCACTGTCACCCAGGCTGGAGTGCAGTGGCAAAATCTCGGCTTACTGCAAGCTCTGCCTCCTGGGTTCACACCATTTTCCTGCCTCACCCTCCCAAGTAGTTGAGACTATGGGTGCCTGCCATCACTCTTTGACAATTTTTTTGTATTTTTAGTAGAGACGGGCATTCACTGTGTTAGCCAGGATGGTCTCAATCTCCTGACCTCATGATCCATCTGCCTCAGCCTCCCAAAGTGCTGGGATTGCATATACCTTATTTTTTTAATCTGCCTGCAAATGTATTTAAAATGATATAACTTTATATATAAAAAACATACAGCATCAAGAAGGATAAGCAAATTCTCCACAATCTCAAAATCCACAGGAGATAGAATTGTCAGAAGTATTTGAACCAGAGCAACTCCATCTTGAATAGGGGCTGACTAAAATAAGGCTGAGAACTACTGGGCTGCATTCCCAGACAGTTAAGGCATTCTAAGTCACAGGATGAGATAGGAGGTTGGCACAAGATACAGGGTCATAATGGCCTTGCTGATAAAACAGGTTGCAGTAAAGAAGCTGGCCAAATCCCACCAAAACCAAGATGGCAATGAGAGTGAACTTTGGTTATCCTCACTGCTACACCCCCACCAGCACCATGACAGTTTACAAATGACATGTCAATGTCAGGAAGTTATCCTGTATGGTCTAAAAAGAGGAGGCATGAATAATCCACTCCTTTTTTAACATAGCATCAAGAAATAACCATAAAAATGGGCAACCAGCAGTCCTCGGGGCTGCTCTCCATGTGGAGTAGCCATTGTTTTATTCTTTGACTTTCCTAATAAACTTGCTTTCATTTTGCTCTATGGATTCATCTTGAATTCTTTCATTTCATTTTCAATTCATTTCAAGGTCCAAGAACTCTCTCTTGGAGTCTGAATCAGGACCTTTTTCTGGTAACACAATGAGGCTGAAAAACTTCAAATCTTACATCTTCTGTGAAATTATTGTTATTATTTATTTTTAAATGAAATTATTATTTTATCTTATTTATGTTAAAATGACACAATAATTGCATCTATTTCTAGAGTACAATGTGATGTTTTCATAGATGCACACATGATGAAATGATTAAATCAAACTAATTAGCTTATCACTTCACTTTTTTATTTGTGTTTTTGTGTG
The DNA here is from genome assembly GCF_000001405.40 of Homo sapiens. Classification (NCBI taxonomy): domain Eukaryota; kingdom Metazoa; phylum Chordata; class Mammalia; order Primates; family Hominidae; genus Homo; species Homo sapiens. The sequence continues at coordinate 17,411,259 of NC_000024.10, forward strand.
TGTTGGTCAAATATTTAAAATGGGCTTCCCCAGTAATTTTGAAATATACATTACATTATTAATAAGTACAGTCACCATGCTGTGCAATAGATTTCAATAAATCATTCTTCCTATCTAACTGGAACTTTCCTCTTCAATCAACATCTCTTCATTGTCTTTCTTCACTCCTCTGTCCCTGGCACCCATCATGCTACTCTCTGCTTCTGAAACCATCTTTGTAGGTTATATCAGTGAGAAAATTCTAACAGTAAGCTACGCTAGCCTATCTTGCCTTTCCCTTAATTATTTTTGGGCTACTGGGGCAAGCTAACTTGGAAAGACATTTAGGCTACAAGTTAAATAATAATAGGGCTTGCCCCTAAATGCAGCCACATTTGAAAAGCTAATGGGAAGCATTCAGACTGCAGGGAGAAGAGGAGCCTGATTCCTGCTAATGCGCAGACATGAAGGATTGCCAGCTATTATTCCAGAGATTATAAAATGTGCAACTTCCCCAATTACTCCTGCACCACCCTTGAAGATTAGCCTTCTGAGATATCTTGCCAGTCTTTTTGCATGTCTAACACCCATGACTTCACATGGACCTACAACCCAGCCCCTGTGGCCATACCCAGAAGCAATCCAGCCCACAGGAGGACAGCTTCAACCCCCTACGAATTCATCTCTGCCATAACCAATCAGCAGCAAGCACCGGTTACCTGGCCACTTCTACCTCTTCCTCCAAACTATCCTTGAAAAACCTACAAGCTTTGAAAAAGACGATTTGAATATGAATTCCATCTCACACGTGGCATGGCCATCTTCCTGTCTGTTAAACTTTTTCTCTACTACAGTGCCTTGGTCTTTCTTGATTCGGTGGGCAGGAGGAACCCCTCATGCAGCTACACTTCTATGAGCTTTTCTTTCATAGATGCCACATGGAACTGAGATCATGCAGTATCTGTCTTTCTGTGCCTAGCTGATTTCACTGCATATAAACCCTCCAGGTTTATTGATGCTTTCACCATTGTCTATTTTACAACCTCAGAAGACAGCCTAAAAGTTGATTTTTGTAAACTCCTGTACTGGTAAGCAGCTGTTGGATATGTCATTTAATTTGTTTTCCTCCACTTGTTTTCCTATCTGTAAGATTGAAACTGCCTTTGCAAAATTATGACTGAGACAATCAAAGAGATCTAACAACGGACTCCATCTTGCTTCTAACCCCTAAGCTGTCCTTGTTCACACCTTGCTAAACTAACTTTGGGAGAAACTTAGTTTATAGTTTAAACAAAGACGGTAACATCGCTTTCACAAAGCAGACCTCCTTCTTGCCTATAGACTAGATTGCCTTTGTAGGACTAATATTAGCCACAAGATTAGAAATTATGGCTTAGGAGTCATGCAACTGGAGGCTACAAAATTCTGACCCTCCCTAAACTGCTCCTAAGATTAGTGCTTGTGATATTTTGCACTTGATGGATCAGTTGGCCCCACCCAGATCAATAAACTGGCTCATCGGATCTTGTGGACCCCATACAGGCACTGATTGAATGCAGGAAGAGAGCTTGACTCACTATGATTTTATCTCTGACCAATGAGCCCTTCTGGGTCACTGGCTTCCCCCTACCCATCAAGTTGTCCTTAAAAACTCTGCTTCCTGAATGCCCAGGGAGACTGATTTGAGTAATAATAAAACTCTGGTCTCTTGCACAGCTATCTCTGAGTGAATTACTCTTCTTTATTGCAATTCCCTTGTCTTAATGAATCATCTCTCTAGGCAGCAGGTAAGATGAACCCCTTGGTGGTTACAAATTTGGTGGCTCATCTGGGTTTGCCCTTGTGGTGACCTGCCTGTGGTTCCATATCCCCCCTCCAGCAATGGATCCAGAAGCCAGCCCAAGTGCCACCTAGTGCTCTTGGATTGGGGGCTGACCATGGTACTCTCTGTACTGGCAGGTGCTGCTGACCCAATTTGCATCAATTTAATTGCAATAAAGAAATAATCCTGAGGAGACATCCCTTAACTGTAGCCCTATTATAGGGTGTCTCTCTGTAGCCCCATTGTGGGGTGTCTGGATTGATGAGCTTCCTAGGCACTGCCAATGCCTCCTTCCTTCTCCTGACTGGTTCTGTAGACCTTTGGTGGGGTGTATGTAGCCCCATTGTTGAGGGTCTATTTGTAGCTCCACCATAGGGTATCTGTGACTATAGCCTCATTGTGGGGTGTCTGTTTGGCTCTTAGTGTATCTCTGTTGGCTGTTTCTAGCTAGTAGGAAGAGTACTTGTCTGGGAGATTTCTCCTCAGTCAGGAAGATTTTGAGGAGGTTTCTCAGATGGAGAATAGGAGAACAGTTTGGAAGGGGTACTCTTGGAGTTCTTCAATAGGAATCTGGTTTGGAAAGCTTTTTGTCCATATCATCTCTGTGTGTGTTTGTATATGTGGAAGAGATCTCAGAGGCAATGTGGATGAAAGTCCAGCTGGCCTAACTCAGAGAATCCTCCTTATTTGTCTTCTCACATTTGATCAACCCTAAAGAAGTCTCAATGGGTGGGTCTCTTGGGTTGACTATCTGCTCTTCCTCTTGCCAAGAGACCCCATTGTGAATTACCACTCAGTGGTCCATCCCCACCTGGAGTAAATCAAAGACAACAAGGATGAACAAGTAAAAGTTTAAGCTTTGCCAGGTTTATATTGAGTGCTGAATGAAGTGACTAATGTCTGTTTTGTCGTATGTATTTTGCTGAGATGGAAAATGTTAATTTGGTTCCCCATGCAGCCTGTTGGGCAGCATCTTGTAAATTAAAAATCTTGTGTATAGTTCCATAAAACAGTAAAGGATGATTTTTTCTTGTAAAGTGGCTTCAACCAGAAGCCACTCTATTATTCTGGAAGCTGCAGGGAAAGGGAACCCAGGGACCTGGTATGGCAGTGAAAAGGGTAAGAAATTCTTACCAGCCAAGTTTCTAGTCTCTCTTTCTCTGTCTGGGTAAAACAGTAAACTATTGGTCTCCTCTACTAGGGTTTAATCAATAGAAAAAGGGATTTGTAAGACTAGCCTTATGCTGTACCAAATCTGGTGTTCTTTGTGCTAAGAATTTGTCTTTCTGTGCTCTGTAATGGAGAGACAGGTATCATAGGATAGAATGTGAGTTTAGAACCCCTATAAGCCTGCTTTTCAAGCCAGCTTGGCAGGCTGGTCAGTAACGAACTTTGCCATAAGTCTCTGATACCAATACTGTATGAATTTCTCTGTCTTGTTTTGTGTCCTTACAGCTTAAACTTGTGACCATGTGGAGATACTTTCTTTTGGTTTCCACCCACCAGAGGACAAAAATTTAGGGGTTCATGCCATAGTTAGTCCTAAAAATTTTTCTTAAGCAGTTAAAAGCCTTACAAGCTTAAAATTGGCTTCTCTAGGCTCCTTCTGGGAAAAGCAATAGAAACTGTTCAATGCTATATAGCTCAGTAGTTAAGGCTTTATATTTTGGCAGTGGTGGCTTGGGTTCAATTGTTGGCTTCTGGAATAATTCCTTTCTGGTTGTTATTTGTGCAGCTTTGCCATTTATTGAGGTTTTTTCCCTAGTTTCTGATTTCCTCTCTTGAATTTTCCTTTCTCTGAACTACCTTATGGAGATTCTAAATCTTGCCTTAAAAAATAAAAGAAAAGAAAAGAAACTGCTTACCATGTATTTGCAGCACCTAGGAGGTTACCTTTCATGAAATTCAGAAGCTAGAAATATTGGCCACTTGGCATAGCTAAATCAGGTATTAAGAAATTTAAAAGAACTTATTTTTAAAGAGTGCTATGGTTAAAAGTTATCTTAATTAAAGTGGATAAACAAGCTATAGATATATTTAAAAGACCTTTATGTTTTTCTCTTCTTGGAAGTTGTTTTTCTGGAAAAACGTTTTTTCATCTTAGTTGACTGAATTAGTTTTCTCCATTGTTTTGTCTTGCCACTCTTAATGCTCACCTAAGAGGCCCTAAGATAACTTCTGGTAGCCTGGAACTCCTTGGAGAAACAGGGGAGGTGCCATAGACCCAATTTTGGGAGATAAAAACCTCTGTTTTCCTCATGAAACCCCAGGAATTAAAAGCAGATAAATCCCTCTCAAAATCAAGGGCTCTGTTCTGTTTTGCATTGTGTTATCTGACAGTTTTAAGTTTTGTGGGTATCAGAAATTACTTCACATTATAATAACTAGGTAGAAAATATATTTTAAGAGATAGCTAATAGTAGCTATAGAGGGATACTTGACTGTGTGCACACTCGGATCAGAGAATCTTGCTCTTGGCAACCTGAAAGATAAGGAAACACCCCCATCTCCCCACTGGGAGATAAGACTCTTATGAGAGAAGAGCTCATTAAAAAAAAATGGGCTGATTGGCTTTGGGTTGCCTTGCAATGAAATAAAGGATAGAAGCACTGCACTGTCTTCTCCTGTAGTATTTCCCTCTTTCTAGAGATCCAGTACAAAATGGAACCCTTAAGTCTGGGTATCTGTCTTTACATTCAACTACTTATTTGCTGCATATTTAGTTCTAGAAATGCATGCTTTTCTGACCCTGTTCTTCCAAGGGCTCCATCCTGAAGCCAGTAATCCAGTTAAGAAAATGACAAAAAGTTTACAAGTGCTGAATCTTCTATCTGTGTGTATATTTGTGTTGTATGTTTATATATAAAGGAACACTGATGATTAATTGGCTTTGAAAAATAAGCACTTAAATGAAATATTTTCTCAAAAAATAGAAACTGTAATGCCTTTTGGTTCACATGACTTTAGAAATCTTTTGGAAATAAACACAGTTTTAAAGATTATTGGTAAAAAAAAGTCTTGAAAATGTAGACATTTCATCTAAATTAAGGTCAGATATCAGGTTTGCTAAATGCTTTAAGGTAAAACTGTTTCTTTGACTTTTGAAAATTGTTTGATTTACCTACTTCATAGCATTGGATTATAAATAAGGCCAGGGGACATAGGAAGAGCCATACCCACCCACTAGATGTGCTAAAAGAAGTCAGACCTCATCTTCATTTGTGGCTAATATCCTAGGGTCCAACCCTAGTACATAATTAAAATCACTTACTTATCAGGTTTTTCACTAAAAATAAAAGTTGCTGGCCCACAGCAGTGACTCACACCTGTAATCCCAGCATTTTGGGAGGTCAAGGCAGACAGATCACCTAAGATTGGGAGTTCAAGACCAAGCTGACCAACATATAAAACCCTTTCTCTATTAAAAATACAAAAATTAGCTGGATGTGGTGTTGTGTGCCTGTAATATCAGCTACTTCAAAGGCTGAGACAGGAGAATCACTTGAACCCAGAGGGCAGAGATTGTGGCGAGCCAAGATCGTGCATTGCACTCCAGCCTGGGAAACAACAGTGAAACTCCATTTCAAAAAAAAAAAAAAAAAAGTGCTGAAAGTTAACATTGTAACATGTAGTTGAGACCATTGGAAAAACATTTTACATACAAGGTGTATAGGAAATGTGTTTTTCATTAAAAAAATGTATATATATATGAAGGCATAGGAATATGGCTTTTGTTAAAGGTAATGTAATTTTGTCTAGTTCAAAGCGTTTTAAAAATTGTCTTAACCTAAAAGAGTAACGGAACACAATTAAAACTTTAAGCAAAGTGAAAAGGGTTTATAAAGGGTTAATCTTGTAATATTTCTGTGGGTATAAAGAATTTGGCTGCTAAGATTTAAAAGAAATCATTTAGCTTTTTTCCTTAAGTAAAAGCTTTAAAATCATACTAATTTGGGGCTAGAATCTGGGGCCATGTATCTGAATAACAGGGTTTTATTTATTTATTTTTTTATTTTTATCTGCTATTTAATGGAAATTTGTAAAGGGTTCTAATAAGTTTATGAAAATCTTACTTTATAGTCAAACTGAATAAAACTGGATACAGACATAAAATTTTATTTAATAAACTAGCTTTAACATTAAAGATGCACTAATGCAAACATAAAATTTGGTTTTCTTTTTTTTTTTTTTCGAGATGGAGTCTCGCTCTGTCACCCAGGCTGGAGTGCGGTGGCGTGATCTCGGCTCACTGCAAGCTCTGCCTTCCAGGTTCATGCCACTCTCCTGCCTCAGCCTCCCGAGCAGCTGGGACTACAGGCTCCCACCATCACGCCTGGCTAATTTTTTGTATTTTTAATAGAGACGGAGTTTCACCCAGTTACCCAGGATGGTCTCGATCTCCTGACCTCGTGATCCGCCTGCCTCGGCCTCCCAAAGTGCTGGGATCACAGGTGAGAGCCACTGCTCCTGGCCATTTTTCTTTTTTAAAGATGATTTTAAATAATGTTAAAAAATAATATATTTTTTTCCCTTTGGTAAATTGCAAAAGAAAAAAAAAAGGAGAAGGAGAGAGAAAAGACAGATTCAGTTGGCCTCATGCTATCTTCATGGGGTCTTTTTGGAAAGCTAGATCTCCACTATCAGAGTAAAGATTTTTCATTTAAAAATTTTTTTCGAGTTTATCATTTTGGCCAAATGAAAAACTTATGGTGACCTGGTATTCTATTTTGTGATATCTAGCATTTTAAACCTTAATATTTAACAAACTTTCCAAAATCAAATTATAAAATGTCTCTTTATTACCTAATATTTTAGATATTAGGTCCTCTAAAGTCCAAAAATAACTTTTGACTTGTTTGGTACAAATATGATACAAGGAGCATTGTCAAATATAAAATGGTGTATGGGTTTCTTTAGTCTAAATTCATATAAATGTTTTATTGGTATGTGTTCAAAAACTATGTACAACTCCCATAATTCTAATATAATTTAGCATATGTTACCAGTAATAATTATAATTACTACATTAACAGACTGTGTGCCACAGAGGTAACAAATTTCTTTGTCAATCATGTCTTTAACTGTGGCTGCCCTAAAATGATTTTGTCACCCACAGACAACTGTCATTCTGATCCTCCTTCAAAGATGATTTTATAATCAGCTTTTATATTTTATAAAATTTCACAGGTGCTCTTAAATGCTGGATACTAATTAATAGTACTGGAGATTGTGAGATTAAAATAAAGAAAACAGTTTCAAATAAAAAAGTAAATAGTATTTTATTTACTTTGGATTGTGTTTGTATAAATATGTTAGTAGTGTATGTTCCAAAATTATGGGAAGCTTCTATAATGTTGATATAATTTAATATACTTTTTTTTTTTGACAAAGTCTCTCTGTCACCCAGGCTGGAGTGCAGTGGTGCAATCTCATCTCACTGCAACCTCCATCTCCTAAGTTCAAGGGATTCTAATGCTTCAGCCTCCCAAGTAGTTGGGACTACAGGTGCACGCCACCACAGCCAGCTAATTTTTTGTATTTTTAGTAGAGATGGGGTTTTACCATGTTGGCCAGGCTGGTATCAAACTCCTAACCTCAGGTGATCTGCCTGTCTCAGCCTCCCAAAATGCTGGTATTATAGGTGTGAGCCACCACATCTGGCCACATTATTAATAACTAAAATTGTTATGTAAGATTGGTGTATGCCTGCCACAGAAGTAACCAAAATTCCTAATCACTTGTAGCTTTAACAGTGGCTATAAGCTTTTGTCATCCACAGACATTTTGCCTTGGGTTGTCCTTTTTCAAAAGGCAGTTTATAAACAGATATAAGACCATAAGTACAGGTCTCATATTGTAATGCCAAAGGTTCTTGCCTTAGCCATGCCAAAGAGAGACATGGATTGGACTGAGAGAAAAAAAGCTGTAGGCTTTATTGAGCAGAGTGACAATACAAGGCTTCCACCATGTAGAAGGGGTCCCAAGAAGGTAGCCAGTATTAGAATTTTTGATCACCTTTTAAACTCTTTAGGGCGGGAAATACATGCAGAAGGAAGATGTCACCAGAGCAAGAAACAAAGACAATTAATGTATCTTAGATCTTGATGGAAACCAGAATTGTAACTTAAGTTTTATCTACCTTATGACCTTGCAGCAGCATGGCAAAGGAGATGGGATCTCACAGGATTTTACAAATTGTGTTTACAAGGAATTAGAATTGGGAGCATAGATAAGGTCTGCTGGTCACAGAAATGTTAAATGCTTTTAACATTGTTTTTAGGTTCAGGGGATGGGGACGGGAGACAGGGGGTGAGGACACAGGGAAGCTTACAGCTTACAGCCAAGGTGTCCATTGGTTAAACATATTCCAGGGCCCTGAGTGTTGAAGCTCCTTTTTTCTACTTTCTGTTCGTTCTCTTATTTCTTTGACCTTTTCAGTAATGATTTCTGACTGGTTAATGAAATAGCAACATTCTTCTCGTAAGAAGAGGCAGGCTCCTCCCCTTTCAGCTGTTAATAAGTCTAGGGCTCTCCAGTTTTGAAGAGCTACCACAGCTAGAGAATTAAGCTGGCTTTGTAGGGTCACTAGGGAGTCGGCCACTCGTTCCATATCGTCATTTAATTCTCATGATAATTTATAATAGAATTGGATGGAAGAGGTTATGCCTCCAATTCCAGTCCCAATCCTACCCAGTATTCTAGTTCCTGCAATAAAAGGGACAATAAGGACTTGCGTGTGGTGAGATTGGGGTATAAGGAGACTTTGTAACTCCTGTTCGGTATATATGGACATGGGAGGTGCTAGAAAGGAGAGAAAGAGTAGTTCTTTTGGAATGCCATTTAGGCATTAATAGCTGTGCTATTATAGATGAAAAAAATGCCTGAAGTTAGACAGGTGTAACCTGAGGTCTTGTACTAGTCTCCACTGACCATTTGGTTTTTGTATTCCTAGTATTGTGATGTTGCAAGGAATGCTACACTTTCTTGAAAGATCCCACCACTTTTCCTTATCAAAGGCAATATCCTCAAAGGCCTGAAACTCTCAAAGGATTTCTTCAGTAAGAAAACTAAACCTTGAGCTTTTAATTGTCTAACGATATCCTGTAATCCTTTGAGAGCTTCAGGCCTTAAGGGATATTGACTTTGATAAGGAAAAATGGTGGGATCTTTTAGCCTGATTTGGACTGGATGGGCATTCTTTGCTCTTCCAAATTGTCCTTCTAAGGCCCAGACCTCAAAGTTGATTCCTTCTTCAGGTAGGAAACAATGAATAGGTAATTTGTTCCCCATATTAATGTAGATAATGGTCCTGGCTTTGGCTAATATGTCCCTCCCTAATAAGAGTGTGGGACTTTTGGGCTTAACAAGAAAGGCATGTGAAAAGAGCAAAATCTCCCAGCTGCAGCTGAGGAGGTGAGCGAAATACCTGGTTACAGGCTGTCCTAAGATTCCTTAGATAGCAAATGACTTTAAGGACAGTCATTCAAGGCAGGAGATTAAAACTGAGAAGGCCACGCCAGTGTCCAGGAGGAAGTCCACTTCCTGGACCTCAATGGTCAAACTTACCCAGGGCTCTGTGAGGGTGATGGCATGAGCTGGCACTTGTCCTGGGCACCCTCAGTCCTGTTGCTGAAACATCTGCTTGGGTGCTTCTGGCCCAGAGGGCCTTCATCCTCTAGGGCAGTGTGCCTTCCAGTGACTGCCTTGGCATATTAGACATGGGTGAGGCAACAGTTTTATTTTATTTTATTTTATCTTCGACAATCTTTCTTTTTCTTTTCTTTTCTTTTTTTTTTTGATATTTTGAGATGGAGTCTCGCTTTGTCACCCAGGCTGGAGTAGTGCAGTGGTGTGATCTCAGCTTACTGCAAGCTCTGCCTCCCGGGTTCATGCCATTCTCCTGCCTCAGCCTCCCAAGGAGCTGGGACTACAGATGCCTGTGATCACACCATACTAATTTTTTGTATTTTTAGTAGAGATGAGGTTTCACTGTGTTAGACAGGATGGTCTTGATCTCCTGACCTCGTGATCCACTTGCCTCAGCCTCCCAAAGTGCTGGGATTACAGGCATGACCCACCTCACCTGGCCTGGACAATCTTTCTTAAAAGTGTCCTTGCAAACTGCACTGATAACAAGCCCTACTATGCAACTGGCCTGTTCCTCTCTTGGTTCCCTCTGAGTCACCAAGGTCTGTTGTCTGAGGGCCATGACTAAGCCTGCAGCCTTTCTCTTATCTCACTTTTCCCTTTCTGCCTGTTCCTCTTGGTCCCTGTTATAGAACACTGAGGTTGCCAGGTGTAGTAATGTCTCCAAATTTTGTTCTGGGCCTAAAGCAGACTTTTGGAGTTTTCACCTAATGTCAGCCACTGATTGGTGATAAATTTATCCTTTAAAATAAGTTGGCCTCCTAAGGAATTTGGAGTTAGGGAGATGTGCTTTCTGAGGGACTACCTTGGCCTTTCTAGAAAAGCAGAGGTTTTTTGTTTTTCTTTTCCCTATGTAATTGTGGATAGCATTGACTAGTTCATAGGCTTTTTCCCAGTCTTCCTCAACCCTTCTAAAATGCAAGTTAGCAAATGCTTGTGGCTCCAATCTCCATGATCAGTCAGTATCCCAGAGAGGTTCTACAGTGGGAACTGCCTGTTGCCCTGTGGAGAATTTTTCCCTCTTCTCCAGGGTCATTCAATCATTTACCTGGCTAAGGTACCACAGATCCCCAAATTGCTGGGCTGCTGCTAAAGCTGATTTCTTTTCAGTAGGACTTAAGGTCTGATCAAGAAGCAACATGATATCTTTCTATGTTAGATCAAAGGACTGCCAGAATCCTTGCAGGACATCTATACCGTTATCAGGATCATCCGAGAATTTCCCTAAATCTGGCTTTACTTGTTTTAAATCTGAGAGTGAGAAGGGGGCATGCATGTGAATGGGCCCAAATTCTCCTCCTACTGTTTTTAAGGGACATAGGTTGGATGTCTGGCTTACGGAGTTTACGTTCTCTTTCTGGTGTGCCTTTAACACTTCAATGGGGATGGATGGAAGAGAGTCAATAGGGGAGGAGAATGGGTCTGAGGGAAGAGGCCCTGAGTATGGAGGTAGTAACTGTGGGCCTCTGTCATTTTGGCAAAGCTTGCAGGCTTGGCACAGGGCAGTATTGTCATGAAGGGCAAAGAAAGCCTGTACATAAGGGACTTTACTCTATTTATCTTCCTGTTTATAGAAAAGATCTAGCTGTAGAAGAGTGTTATAATTAATACTTCCCTCAGGGGCCACATTTTTCCATTTTTTAAGAAATTCCATGGCCAGGCAGTTGTACAGAAGAAAATCAGCTGCTTCTTTTTTAAGGTTTCATGGTTGAATTCGTCCCAGTTATTCAGGATATATCTTAAGGCAGAGTCTGGTTTTGAAGTTGTGGTGCCCATCTGGAATTTTAAACACAGAGATGCCCATACCCCTTGTTAGTCCTCGGACTCATCTTCTCTTAGGGTGTCCCCCAAGGGTCGGGTCCAGTTGTGCTCAAAGCTCATAGTGGCTTTTCCTGAGCCCTCCATCTACCAGATTTAACCATGCTTACCAGCAAGATAGAAACTTCATTTGCCCCTGCCGTGCACCCATTGACCACTAAATGGGGCACAGGGACTGTTGAATTTATTGTGGTCTTTCTTCCAACACATGCTCCCTGTTCCAGGGTTGTAAGGCCTGGGTCAGGGGCACCACTGATGACTGCATACTGAGGCCCAATTTACATGGGCCTGGCCATAAAACTGTCCTTCAAGGAGGAATCTCTGAATTAGCAACAAGAGGCTTAGTAAACTTTAAGAGGGTGATGCATGTCCTCTAGGCCAGGGCTGAGAAAACAGCTGCTGTACTCTAGCCTTCTGTCCCCACTTGCCATCAAAGGAGTAAGCCCCTCTCTTAAGGTGGTACAAGTATCTTGTGTCCTAACTGACTTTATTTTCTTTCTTCCAATACCAACTATTGAATGGTTCAAATAGCAATTCAATGGCTCTAAGAGCTGTGCCCATGCACCACAGATTGTACTCCAGAGGCCCCAAGGAAGGGGAAAGTCTATCTGGGGAGCAATGGAGGAAATGCCCTAAGGCTTTTATTATCCACATGAAAATTATAGACCTGTTTTTAAATTGTCCTGATGTGGGGGACCATACACTATGGTGGGGAACTGGCCCTTCAAAATAGCCATTGAATGGCAACACCTGTCTTAACCCTGGAGGGCACCATGAACAGGGATCTTCTGGACACCATCCCAAGAATTTAAGACTTCTAAATAGGGAATCTTGATCCTGCATAGCAGGAATAACCTTGCTTGTGAAATGAGGAAAGAAGTCTAGCCAGTGGACATTAGTACCTAGGAAGCTGGGGTCAGAAAACGTGGTGGTTTCATGCTCAGTAACCCTTGCAGGGGGAGCCTCTGCCAGGAGATCTGGGAGACTAGAACGTCTGCTGATAACTCCCAGGTGTACTTTGAGACCACCACGGAAAGTTAAAGAGTATGTACTGGGTCCAGACTAACTAACGTTCCCAGCCTCGGAGGGTTGGGGGTTGTCAGAGAACCCTTTTCCAGACAGCCTGACACCTGTGTCTTTAGTCCAGCGGCTGTGCTAATAGCTTTTAGTGGCTGACAGGTGCCTGGTTGAGCCTCCAAATTCTAAGGAAGGACAGGACAGCATAGCAAGCGAAAGAGGTCTAACCATACTCACTACGTGATGATCTGGATGCCTTTCCTGGAGATCCTCCTGGCTGGCTTGCCAAAATGTAATGCCAAAGGTTCTTGCCTTAGCCATGCCAAAGATTTAGTGTGGTGGCAGCCCACAGTGACAGAGGGACACGGATCAGACTGAGAGAAAAAAGCTGTAGGCTTTATTGATCAGAGTGACAGTACAAAGCTTCCACAGCATGGAAGGGGTCCCAAGTGGGTAGCCAGTGTTAGATTTTTTTCATCACTTTTTAAACTCTTTAAGGTGGGAAATACATGCAGCGGGAAGATGTTACCAGAGCAGGAAACAAAAACAACACGTCTGAGGTCTTGAGGAAAATCAGAAGCATAACTTAAGTTGTATCTGCTTTATGACCTTGCAGAGGCATGGCGAAGAAGACAGGAACTCACAGGATTTTGCAAATTGTGTTTACAAAGAATTGGAATTGGGAGCACAGTGAAGGTCCACTGGTCACAGAAAAACAGGCTTTTAACATTCCGGGGACACAGTGAAGCTTACAGCAAAAGTTTCACTGTTTATAGCTTTCTTGGGGAAGAAAACACATGCACAAATTCTGATGTTAGGAATATTTTAAGCATATATCTTCAATATTATTCATCCAGGACCAAAGTAAGTCCTGATGCAGGAAATCAGTGAGTTTCACAGCTTTCTCAGACCCTACTTGACCCAGGAAGCCCAGCTGTAACCTCCTCTCAAAATAACTTTAAAAATTGTTCTATTGGAGTAGAGAAAAGAAAACAAAACTTCTAGGATTCTCATGAAAATCAAATGTGTTAAAAATTGCTAAACATTTTGTTTTCAGTCAAAAGAACTTATTTATTTACAGCTATTTGTAACTTTTAACAAGTGAGTAAAATATACTCTTGTAAACAAAATTTGAAGCATATTTGTTCCTATCTGATTTCTCTGTAATTTGGAAACTGTTAGTAAATATTCACAATTTATAGCAGTTTAGTTATTTGTGTAAGTACAATTAGAATGTTTTCTTTTGTAACAGGACACGACAGGGAAAAACTAATTATTTTACCAAGGCTTTCAATGAAATGGTATGCTTTCTTTAACTAATTAAAGTTGACTTATAAAGCCAACAAAAGTCACTGGGGAATCTGGCTTCATACCTTGTCCACAAAGAGTCCCTGTACAGCATTCCTGACCTGTGGTAAGTAAAAATTGTCACTTACTAATAGGCCCAGGAACCCCAAGTTATCTTGGGACCTCAAGAGGAAAGAAATTTATCTAACTCATAGGTACTTGAGGGTACAAATCCATTGCTAGGCTCAGCTTTTAAAAGGTCTTATCTGAGATTCTTCATGAAATAGAATTATATCAAAGCTAATTTAAAATGCCTAAGTAAAAAATAATTATCCTTGATGAACTTTATGCAAATAATTAGCCAAGTACAATAAAATTGAAGTTTATTTTATAAAGAAAACAGTTCTATCATGATTTGTTTTTAATAAAAAATGGGACTGGAAAAAGAAAAATTACACTTTAAAAGAAAAACTATAGTAAGCGTTTGTTAGCTGTTCTTGAAGTTTTTTTCTGAAGTTAAGACTAAATTCTAAATTATATATTGTTTGGAAGTCACCAAACTAATGCTTTCAACTCTTTGCTTTTGAAATTGGGAATTGTAGTCCTCATCGTAGGACTCATTATTTATAATATACTAGACTGTTCACTTAAACCCTGCAGTAAAACTATAGATAAAAGTACTAATGATTCTGCCATGCAAGTCTTGGAAGCCCTGTCAGGCCTGCATGAGTACACTCAGACAGTAGCAAAGTGGTTCTACTCTTCTCAACTTGGGGTTCACTACTCTTCCCACTAAGTCGCCTGTCAGCAGGAAGAACCAAAGCTATCGATGACTTTTTCCCATCTCCATAGCCTACACCTAAAAATTAAGGTGTTACAAAACTCAAAGGGAGGGATTGAAGCCACGTTTGCAAGCTGTACGTGGTGGCTCACACCTGTAATCCCAGCATTTTGGAAGGCCGAGGTGGGCAAATCACAAGGTCAGGAGATTGAGACCATCCTGGCAAACATGGTGAAACCCCATCTCTACTAAAATACAAAAAAATTAGCCAGAAGTGGTGGTGCACACCTGTAGTCTCAGCTACTGGGAAGTCTGAGGCAAGGGAATTGCTTGAACCCAGGAGGCGGAGGTGGCAGTGAGCTGAGATTGTGACACTGTACTTCAGCCTGGTGACAGAACAAGAGACCATCTCAAAAAAAAAAAAAAAAAGAAAGAAAGAAGAAAGAAAAAAGAAAAGGCCTTTGCAAAATTATGACTGAGATAGTGAAAGAGATCTGACTTAACTGAACTCATCTTGCTTCTAACTTCGAAGTTGTCCTTTTTCATTCCTGGGCATAGGCTAAACTAACTTTGGGAGAAACTTAGTTTATGGTTTAAACAAACACTCTAACAGCCCCTTCCCAAAGCAGAATTTCTTCTTGCCTGCAGACTAAATTAGCTTTGCAGAACTAACATTAGCCGCAAAATTAGAAATTATGGCTTCAGAGTCATGTAGCTGGAGGCTACAAAACTCTGACCCTCCCTAAACTGCTCCTAAGATCTGTGTTTGAGATATTTTGCAGATCTTACACTTGATGAACAGCTGGCCCCACCCAGATCAATAAACTGGCTCATCTGATCTTGTGGCCCCCACCTAGGAACTAACAAGGCAGGAAGACAGCTTTGACTCCGTGTGATTTCATCTCTGACCAATCAGAACTCCTGGTTCAATGGCTTCCTCCAACCCCACCAAGTTGTCCTTAAAAACTCTGATCCCTGTATACTCAGGGAGATTGATTTGAGTAATAATAAAACTCCAGTCTTTCGCACAGCTGGCTCTGCATGAGGTTCTCTTTCTGTATTGCAATTCTCCCGTCTTAATGAATCAGCTGTGTCTAGGCAGCAGGAAAGGTTGAACACCTTGATCAGTTACAGGTTCAGCAAATAGATCAGGTGACTTCATGATTATTTTAGCTGTAAAACTTTGTTCTATTCTATCTGAAAAGTTTTTAGTCACAATAAAGTCAAGGGAGGTTTTCATGATCAATGGACTCTTTCTATACTTTTCAAAAATCAAGTTGGTTCAATGACTACAATTTAGTGGGGGAACTCTTTACAATACAGAAATTATTAATGACCTGTTACATATGTACTCATGTTACACTATTGCCAGTGATATAGATGCTCTGAAATACACTTCTTAACTTAAACTAAGTCCTGCAATGTTTCATCTCTGCTCTGATTTGTGCCATAATTATTTTTGAACAAAGAGAGATAAGCAGAACTCTGAGCTGTTAAATCCCTTAGATAGATTCACAGCCCAATGTATCCTTAAAGAAAGGGAAATAGGATCTGATGAAGATGTGTATTGGTCCTACATCAGCAGGTATAATTCACAGAAGCAATACCGGAAATGCTGTTGCCTGGCTTCTAACCCAGTAAGATTTCCAAAGCTCTCCTTAATACAACAGACCTGCTTCAACATCTGGCCACTTAATCTGTAGCTCATATATCGACATCATCTCAGCTAAGCCATGCAGTAGAGAAAGGCTCAATTATGCTTCTCAGCTTGGCTGCACCTTGGAATAACTTGGAAGGTTTGGAAAAAGAAATGCCTCCAAAAAGAGTCCATATATCAGAGACTTACTTAGGTGTTTAGAAATACGCTCGTGAAAATGCAAAATTTGAAATATTCCAAAGTGGTGCCAATGTGCAGGTAAATTCAAGAACGAATACTCTATGTATTCTTAGAAATGTGGGATCTATGGTCTCCCATGATGCATTTTGCATGGGCTTTCACTATTTTTATGCGTTCATTGAGCATGATACTTTATCTAAGCACGGTGCATGTTAATATGCATTGTAAAGGAAGTTGCATAGTTTTTTTTTATTTTATTATTATTATACCTTAAGTTTTAGGGTACATGTGCACAAAGTGCAGTTTAGTTACATATGTATACATGTGCCCTGTTGGTGTGCTGCACCCAATAACTCCTCATTTAGCATTAGGTATATCTCCTAATGCTATCCCTTCCTCCTCCCCTCATTCCACAACAGTCCCTGGTATGTCATGTTCCCGTTTCTGTGTCCATGTGTTCTCATTGTTCAAGTCCCACCTATGAGTGAGAACATACAGTTTGGTTTTTTGTCCTTGTGATAGTTTGCTGAGAAACATGGTTTCCAGCTTCACCCATGTCCCCACAAAGGACATGAACTCATCATTTCTTATGGCTGCATAGTATTCCATGGTGTATATGTGCCACATTTTCTTAATCCAGTCTATCATTGTTGGACATTTGGGTTGATTCCAAGACTTTGCTATTGTGAATAGTGCCGCTATAAACATATGAGTGCATGTGTCTTTATAGCAGCATGATTTATAATCCTTTGGGTGTATACCCAGTAATGGGATGGCTGGGTCAAATGATATTTCCAGTTCTAGATCCCTGAGGAATCACCACACTGACTTCCACAATGGTTGAACTAGTTTACAGTCCCACCAACAGTGTAAAAGTGTTCCTATTTCTCCACATCCTCTCCAGCACGTGTTGTCTCCTGACTTTTTAATGATCGCCATTCTAACTGGTGTGAGATGGTGTCTCATTGTGGTTTTGATTTGCATTTCTGTGATGGCCAGTGATGATGAGCATTTTTTCATGTGTTTTTTGGCTGCATAAACGTCTTCTTTTGAGAAGTATATGTTCATATCCTTTGCCCACTTTTTGATGGGGTTGTTTGTTTTTTTCTTGTAAATTTGTTTGAGTTCATTGTAGATTCTGGATATTAGCCCTTTGTCAGATGAGTAGATAGCAAAAATTTTCTACCATTCTGTAGGTTGCCTGTTCACTCTGATGGTAGTTTCTTTTGCTGTGCAGAAGCTCTGTAGTTTATTTAGATCCCAATTGTCAATTCGGCTTTTGTTGCCATTGCTTTTGGTGTTTTAGACATGAAGTCCTTGCCAATACCTATGTCCTGAATGTTATTGCCTAGGTTTTCTTCCAGGGTTTTTATATTTTTAGGTCTAACATGTAAGTCTTTAATCCATCTTGAATTAATTTTTGTATAAGGTGTAAGGAAGGGATCCAGTTTCAGCTTTCTACATATGGCTAGCCAGTTTTCCCAGCACCATTTATTAAATAGGGAATCCTTTCCCCATTGCTTGTTTTCATCAGGTTTGTCAAAGATCAGATAGTTGTAGATATATGGCATTATTTCTGAGAGCTCTGTTCTGTTCCATTGGTCTATATCTCTGTTTTGGTACCAGTACCATGCTGTTTTGGTTGCTGTAGCCTTGTAGCATAGTTTGAAGTCAGGTAGCATGATGCCTCCAGCTTTGTTCTTTTGGCTTAGGATTGACTTGGCGAAGCGGGCCCTTTTTTGGTTCCATATGAACTTTAAAGTAGTGTTTTTCCAATTCTGTGAAGAAAGTCATTGGTAGCTTCACGCGGATGGCATTGAATCTATCAATTACCTTGGGCAGTATGGCCATTTTCATGATATCGATTCTTCCTACCCATGAGCATGGAATGTTCTTCCATTTGTTTGTACCCTCTTTTATTTCATTGAGCAGTGGTTTGTAGTTCTCCTTGAACAGGTCCTTCACAACCTTTGTAAGTTGGATTCCTAGGTATTTTATTCTCTTTGAAGCAATTGTGAATGGGAGTTCACTCATGATTTGGCTCTCTGTCTGTTATTGGTATATAAGAATGCTTGTGATTTTTGCACGTTGATTTTGTATCCTAAGACTTTGCTGAAATTGCTTATCAGCTTAAGGAGATATTCGACTGAGACGATGGGGTTTTCTAGATATATAGTCATGTCATTAGGGCATACAATTTTCCTAATTGAATGCCCTTTATTTCCTTCTCCTGCCTGATTTCCCTGGCCAGAACTTCCAACACTATGTTGAATAGGAGTGGTGAGAGACGTCATCCCTGTCTTGTGCTGGTTTTCAAAGGGAATGCTTCCAGTTTTTGTCCATTCAGTATGATATTGGCTGTGGGTTTGTCAAAGATAGCTCTTATTATTTTGAGATACGTCCCATCAATACCTAATTTATTGAGAGTTTTTAGCACGAAGGTTCTTGAATTTTGTCAAAGGCCTTTTCTGCATCTATTGAGATAATCATGTCATTTTTGTCTTTGGTTCTTTTTGTATGCTGGATTACGTTTATTGATTTTCATATGTTGAAGCAGTCCTGCATCCCAGGGATGAAGCCCACTTGATCATGGTGGATAAGCTTTTTGATGTGCTGCTGGATTCAGTTTGCCAGTATTTTACTGAGGATTTTTGCATCAATGTTCATCAAGGATATTGATCTAAAATTCTCTTTTTTTGTTGTGTCTCTGCCAGGCTTTGGTATCAGGATGATGCTGGCCTCATAAAATGAGTTAGGGAGGATTCCCTCTTTTTGTATTGATTGGAATATTTTCAGAAGGAAGGGTACCAGCTCCTCTCTGTACCTCTGGTAGAATTCGGCTGTGAATCCATCTGGTCCTGGACTTTTTTTGGTTGGTAAAGCTATTAATTATTGCCTCAATTTCAGAGCCTGTTATTGGTCTATTCAGAGATTCATCTTCTTCCTGGTTTAGTCTTGGGAGGGTGTATGTGTTGAGGAATTTATCCATTTCTTCTGGATTTTCTAGTTTATTTGTGTAGAGGTGTTTATAGTATTCTCTGATGGTAGTTTGTATTTCTGTGGGATCAGTGGTGATATCCCCTTTGTCATTTTTTATTGGGTCTGTTTGATTCTTCTCTCTTTTCTTCTTTATTAGTCTTGCTAGAGGTCTATCAATTTTGTGGATCTTTTCAAAAAGCCAGCTCCTGGATTCACTGAATTTTTGAAGGGTTTTTCGTGTCTCTATTTCCTTCAGTTTTGCTCTGGTCTTACCTTCAACATGCACTGGCAAAAACTCTCCCTGCCTTCTCCATTGGGAATGCCATATGAGACAACGGCCAGCAGGTGGCGATGTTTATTTGACTTGCTAAGAAGGGAAATTTTCCATAAAAATCTGGCATCTCCATGTGACCCCCTCAATGGCTTTGCTTTGTTTTGTTTTAACTACAGCTGCAGTTGCAAACGCCTGAAGATGGTCAATTATCCATAACAAGCATTCATACTTGAGGTGCTGAAACCACAACTTTTTCATGGTATTTGCTCAGATCATGCAAGTGCTTCAATCGTGTATTTTTTTCAATATTCTGGTGCCATGAAAATATAAATACCTAAATGAAGTCTTTCCAGACAGGTATTTGGTGATGGGCATTGATTGCAGAAAAGGAGCATTCTCCAAAAAAGATGCTAAGGGGGAGAGCAAGTAAAACTTTTGGGAAGAAATATTTACCTGGGTGTGACAAAGGGAGTTGAACCAAACTGAAAAGAATTGTATTTCACCTAGTTATGTTAATGGACCCTTCAGTGAATTAAACATTATTTTTAATTTCTGCACACTTAAAAAATTGAATACCACCACAAAAATGGGGGAAAAGAATTAGATTTTCACCCATCAGAGATGAATTTGAAATGCTAATATGACCACGCTAGAACTAGGAAAAATACATAACCAGGAATATTTCTGGAGCATTCACTTAGTTTCCCATTCAGTGAAATGGTTATAGACAACACTGTAATTCATATTGGCTGGATTTTTCTTCCACACATATCAGTACAGGCATTAGACTATTAATTGAGTACTTCGTTCATTCGTTGAAGCTAGATCTAGTGCCCACTGTGCGGTAAAGACTGCACACTGTGTAGCCCTTCACAGACTAAAGTAGATTACTTTCAGTTTTTTCTAGAAGTTGTTCTCCCACCTTTGGTGCTAGATCTAAAGTCACCTACCCCTTGATTTCTATTCCCTTCTCCATGTTAATAAATATTCCCGACATTTGAAAATTTATGGAGAGAAACTACAACTTCACTCAGACTAATTCTTTTAAGGACACGCATTTGTCCTTAAAATGCATTTGAACATTCTACTGAATGCCAGCAATTTAAACTCAGGGTTTTAAGCAGATTAACTTGAAGCCCTTCTTCTTTATGAAATAAAAAGTTTAGCCTTCTAGCTTACACTTAGGATGTAGACAGCTGTCAAGAAGATCATTGCTCCTGCAATAAAGGCAAAATGAAGGACATATCAGAAATGAATTCAAATTTTCCTGAATCTGTTAGAAAACCACAGTTGCAGGGAGTGATGGTTAATATTAGGTGTCAACTTGATTGGACTGAGGGATGCCTTGGTAGCTGGTAAATTATTGTTTCTGGGTGTGTCTGTGAGGTTTTCACCAGAGGATATTGACACTGAGTTAGGGGGCTGAGAGAGGAAGACCCACCCTCAATGTGGATGGGCATCATCTAACTGGCTGCCAGTACAGCTAGAACAATGCAAGTGGAAGAAGGTGGGAGAAGCTGGCTTGCTGGGTCTTCAGGCTTTCGTCTGTCTCCCATGCTGGATGCTTCATTCTCTTACTTCTGATCTTGGACCTGAGACTCCAGGTTCTTTGGCTTTGGGGCTCTTATTTATTTTATTATTATTCAATATTAGTAGTAGTATTTTTATTATTTGAGACAAGATCTCACTTTATCATCCAGGCTGGAGTCCAGTGGCATGATCTTGGCTCACTACAACCTTTGTCTCCCGGGTTCAAGTGATTCTCCTGCCTTAGCCTTTTAAATAACTAGGAATACAAGCACTCACCACAATGCCTAGTGAATTTTTGTATTTTTAGTAGGGACAGTGTTTCACCATGTTGGCCAAGCTACTCTTGAACTCCTGACTGAAAGCAATCCACCTGCCTTGGCCTCCCAAAGTGCTGGGATAACAGGCATGAGCCACCATGCCCAGCCAGCTTTTGGACTCTTGGACTTACAGCAGTGATTTGCTGAGGGCTCTTGGGCCTTTGGCCACAGACTGAAAGCTGTACTGTCTGCCTCCCTGCCTTTGAGGTTGTTGGAGTCTGACTCAACTACTATCAGCTTCTGTCTTCCCCAGCGTGCAAACGGCCTACAGTGGGACATTGCCTTGTGATGGTGTGAGCCAATTCTCCCTAATAAACTCCCTTTCATATAGACATAGATTCTATTAGTTCTGTACCTCTGGAGAACCCTGACTAATACATAGTGAAAAGAATCAGCCTGGAATACAAGGAAAGGCAGGTGTTTCTAAGGTGAGATAGGATGTGTGCACATCTTGCCATGAACAGACATGGAAAACACCCAAATGGATAAGACACATGCAAATAAAGTATCAAAGGGCTTGACAGTGGACTAGGGTGAAGTTATAGGATGTCTGGGAGACATGGCCATAAGAGAAATTTGCAGCTTTCACTGAGTCTTCACAAAATTTTCCTGGTACCTACAAGGGAGACTGGGGACAGGTTGAGAGAACTGAAGAAGCACCCTCAAGATGATGTCTGGGGAGAATTGAACAGCAGTGGAGGAGACTCTTCTCCATGGGTCTCTTGTCCTCCATATCTTATGGGTGTGATAAGAAAGAATGACAGGCTCCGACCACCCTTTACCCGGAGCATTTCTCATGGTTGTTGTTCTACTCCCTGTTCAACCTTGAAGGAGGAGGTGACATATTCCTCCAGGACAAGAGCAGGCTCTGCTTATTGGGGGTTACAAAGTGGTAGAGTTTTCCCAAGTTCTGTGTATCCCTCTTGTAATGCAGCCCACGGCAGGTGTAGGTTCCTATCCAAGTTCATCCGCAGCACCCCTTTGTGATACTGATAAAAAAAGGTTGATGTTCTGGCAACGACTTTGCTGGAAGCAAGTTCCTCTATTCTTCGACCTAAAAGTTCTGTGTCTTCTGCCAGCATCCATAGAATTGCAGCAAGCTATTTTATTAACTTACAAACAGGATATACTCCCAGACTCCTCATAGTTCTTGATGGGTGGCCATTGTGAGAAAGGCAGGAAGCCTCTCCTGGCTTGCAGTTTGCAAGTGAAACAAAAGCCTTTAGCTTCAGGAAATCCTGTGTAGCTGAAGATACTATAAAGCCTTAAGAAAATAATAATAATAATTTTATTATGTATTATACTATATATAATGAATATTATATACAATATACACAGTTGATCCTTGAATAACATGAGTTTAAACTATGAAGATCTACTTATCAATGGATTTCAGTATGCTGTTAGTTAAGTTTTAGGGGATTTAAAATACGTGAACTATTTTTGAGATTGAGTCTCACTCTGTCACCCAGGGTGGAGTGCAATGGTGCACTTTTGGCCAACGGCAACATTCCTCTTCTGGGATCAGTAAAGTTTCCTGTCTCAGCCTCTTGAGTAGCTGGTTACAGGCATGTGCCACCATGCCTGGATACTTTTTGTATTGTTAGTAGAGGGTTTCAACACGTTTCACCATGTTGGCCAGGCTGGTCTTGAACTTCTGACATGAAGCAAACATTCACGTTGGCATACCAAAGTGCTAGGATTCTAAGCATGATCCACCATGCCCAGCCTACATATGAACTTTTAACTGTACAAGGGATTGGTGTCCCTAAGCCTCACCTTGTTCAAGGGTCAACTGTATACAATTATATATATAATATAATCATATGTAATATATATTATATAATTGCATATAATGCATTATGGATACTATATATAGTTATACATATATGATGTATATTATACATTATATTCTATATCATATATAATATATTTAAGTAGGTAATATATAATGTATATTTTATAACATATAATTAATATTTTGTTAATTTTTAATATAACATACTATGTAATATATACCTGTATCTGTCACCTATCTCTCTGTGTATTATCAAAGTATCAAATCTATCATCTACGTATCTTCTATGTATCATCTATATATCTATCATCTATCTATTATCTATTGATCTATATATCTATTATCTATCTGCTATCTATCTTTCCTATATCTATCTATGATGTATCTATTTCTCTATTATCTATCTATCTCTGTATCTCTGTATCATCTATATCATCTATCTATCTATCTATATCTCTCCATGCTAGTGAGATGATGAGAAGATTACTTCACTTCTGTAATATTCTTTCCAGCATCCCCTAACCCCATTCTTATAATAAGACAAACAACAGACAAATCTGGCATTGGAAATATTCCACAGACTACTTGAAAAGTATTCAAGACTGTTGAGGTCACGATAAAGCAAGAGAAGGCTGAGAAACAGCCACAAACAAGTGGAGATGGGGGAGAGGTGAAAAGTAAGTGCAGCGTGATCTTTCACTGGGATCCTGTGACAGAAAAAATATCATTCACAAAATGCTGGTGGAATCTGCCTAAAGCCTGAGGTGTGCTTAAGAGTGCTTTATCAGTGGTATCGGATTCTTAGCTTTGGAAAGTACACCATAACCACATTAGATGTTAATAATGAGAGGAACTGGATGAGAGTTGTACAGGGACTTCCTGCACTCTATGGCAATCATTCAATCAAGCCTATTTTAAAAATTCCATCTTAAGAAATGCACAGTCTGGGCCGGGCGCGGTGGCTCACGCCTGTAATCCCAGCACTTTGGGAGGTCGAGGCGGGCGGATCACGAGGTCAGGAGATCGAGACCATCCCGGCTAAAACGGTGAAACCCCGTCTCTACTAAAAATACAAAAAAATTAGCCGGGCGTAGTGGCGGGCGCCTGTAGTCCCAGCTACTTGGGAGGCTGAGGCAGGAGAATGGCGTGAACCCGGGAGGCGGAGCTTGCAGTGAGCCGAGATCCCGCCACTGCACTCCAGCCTGGGCGACAGAGCGAGACTCCGTCTCAAAAAAAAAAAAAAAAAAAAAAAAGAAATGCACAGTCTGGTATACCAAATCAACAATCTAATTGAAAAATGGACAAGTAGGGCCAGGCGCGGTGGATCATGCCTGTAATCCCAGCACTTTGGGAGGCCGAGACGGGCGTATCACGAGGTCAGGAGATTGAGATCATCCTGGCTAACAGGGTGAAACACCGTCTCTACTAAAAATACTATATATATATGCAAGGCGTGGTTGTGGGCACCTGCAGTCCCAGCTACTCGGGAGGCTGAGGCAGGAGGAAGACATGAACCTGGGAGGTGGAGCTTGCAGTGAGCTGAGATCGCATCACTGCACTCCAGCCTGGACAACAGAGCAAGACTCTGTATAAAAAAAAAAAAAAAAGGACAAGTAGTTTGAACAGAAACTTTACCAAAGAAGATATAGAGTATAGTCTCATGAAAAGATGCTCAACATCTTTAGTTAAAGAAATGGAAATTACAACCACAGGGAAATATTACTACACATGAGTGAGAAGGTCTAAAATTTAAATCAACATACAAGAACAAAAATACTGAAGCAAAACCCTAACAATATGAGTGTCAGTGAGGAGGTGGAGTAGCAGAGAAACTTTCTATGTTAGTGATGGGAATGCAGAATGGCACAGGCACAGGAAAACAGAGCAGTGGCTTCTTATGAAACTAAACATGTAAGTACTATTGAAACAGGTGAGTTCCCTGACCTTCCTTGTGGGATGTGTAACAGGGGTGTGACATGTCTCTTCATCTGCTGCTGCTCAAACCCCTTCTGGGAAGAGGACCATGCAGACAGGCAGGCACAGGAGCTGGGGTGAGTGACTTTGGGCCCTGATCCCATGGTAGCATCCAGCGGTGGGTACCTGCCACTCCTGAAGCCCCAGTGGGTGTGTTACAGTGCTCTTTTAGCTTTGCCATCCACAAATGGCTTATGTTTTAGCCATCTTAGTGCCCTGGTACCCAGGTTCTTGTCTGGCATCCAGGAAAAATCAGGGCACACAGACAATTTGGAGAATGGTAAATATGGGGTATTTTATTGCTAGATGGAGGTGGCTATCAGTGAGATGAATGGGGAGATGGAAAGGGGATGGAGAGGGAAGATGATCTTCCCCTTGAGTTTGGCCATCCTGTGGCTAACCTCTCTGACTGCCCCTGGTCGAACTCTAAATATTTAGCTACTCCTTCTCTTCCCTCCTCTGCTATGCCACTCTTCTGCTGCTCTGCTCCTCTGCTTGTAGAGCCTGGAGTTTATATGGGTACAGAACAGGGGGGTGTGTTGAGCCAAAAGGCAACATTTGGGTGTGAAAACAGGAATGCCTGTTCCTGTTTAGGGCCATGGGTTTCCAGGCTTGAGGGTGGGACTTTTGTTGGGTAATCACCCTCTTGAACCCAGTATTTCCCTCTCTCCCGTCCATATCATTACCTGACTCAACAGGACCCAGAAGTCTCTTCCTAAGTGTTACC
The DNA here is from genome assembly GCF_000001405.40 of Homo sapiens. Lineage (NCBI taxonomy): Eukaryota > Metazoa > Chordata > Mammalia > Primates > Hominidae > Homo > Homo sapiens. The sequence continues at coordinate 17,437,046 of NC_000024.10, forward strand.
AAAGAGAAATGAAAATTAATGTTCATTTTAAAAAAAGCCTGGTACTGAGCATTTATTGTTGCTTTAGTTGTAATCATTAAAAACTGGAAACAACACAGATGTCCTTTCAAAGATGAGAGGGTTAAGTAAAAGAAAATAAAACTGTAGTACATGTACAGAATGAAACACTATCCAGCAACAAGAAAGAAATGAATTGCTGATACATACAACAATGGGGGAAATCTCAACTGTATTAACCTACATGAAAAAAGCCATTGTAAATAGGGTGCATATTGTGTTACCCAGTTATAAAATATTCTGGAAAATGCACTATACAAACAGACTAGTGGTTAGATTAGTAGCACTTGAAGGCTGACGAGACAGAAAGGTTGATGACAAAAGGTCAAAGAATGATGTGTAGTTTGAGGCACTACTTTATGCACAGATTATGTTGTCAATATGCTTACTATTTTCATCAAAACTTGCAAAACCCTACAAAAAAAAGAATGAGTTTTACTTTATATATAAGATAATCACAATTATTTTTAAAATCATCATTGTGAGAACACACATAAGAAACATATGAAACATAAAACAGGTGTCAGGCTTGCAGAAATAAAATTTAGAATATTAGATTTTCCACAATTCCCTTTGTGAGTGAGAAAGCACGATTCATTTTCAGCATAGAAGAGAAAACCAAAGCTCAGAGCAGTTTGACCACAAGTCCTCAGTCACACAACTGAGAAATGCTCAAATGCTCAAAAGTCAATACCTTTCTGAGTATCTCTCTGCAGTTCTTAATTTCTGGCACAATCATAAAGCTTTGGGGGAAAACATAAAAGCAGAGAGCTCAAAGGGTAGTGAAACGGCAACTCACAACACATTTGTTATTAAAAAAGCTAATTAGTCATATTTCTTTCACATTACATGGGGCTGTAAGACTGTCAGCACTCGTGATAACAAAAAATTTATTCACAGACTTGAGGAGAATAAAAATGCCTCAGATGAAATGTATGGTTTTTTTTGTTAATTTTTGTAGGTACATAGTAGTTGTATCTATTTATGGGTTACGTGAGATATTTTGATACAGGCATACAATGTGTAATAACAAACATCAGGGCAAATTGGGTACCACACCCTCAATTATTTGTCATTTGTGTCCAGTTATTTGCAACAACATGGATGGAACTGGAGGTCATTATGATAAGTGAACTGAGACAGATGCAGAAAAACAAACTTTGTATATTCTTGTTTATTTATTAGAGCTGAAAATCAAAACAATTGAACTATGGAGATAGAGGGTAGAAAGATGGTTACCAGAGCCTGAAAAGGGTAGTTGGGGGGTTGTTTAATGGGTACAAAATATAGTTAGAAATAATGAAACCTCTAGTATTTAATGAACTTTATATGGCCTTTCAGCAAACAGATGCTAAACATACCACTTATATGGCCTTTCAGTGAACTGACCCTAAACTTAACATTTTAGAAGGGAATGTGCACCTTAAAGGGTTATATGAACCTGACTTTCAAGTTCTCCAGTGTTGGGACTGTATCTAATTCATCTACTTATCCAACTATATTAGTTTTAGGCATCTATTTAGGTGTGTTATTTGTAGTGTCCTGAAAAAGGCAGTTTTGTGGTAAAGGTTTTCCTTAGTTTTCTAGGTTTAGTGGCAGAACCCCTTTGCATTTGATTAATATTTTTCTACCAGCTGGGATGACTATGGAATAGCTGTGCATTGAGGCTAAAAGAACTTGTGATTCAAAAGACAGAAAGGTACACAAGCCCTGTTATCTTGGTATTCCAGAAGTAGCAATTCAGTGAATTTAGATAAACAATGACAGGTTGAGCATTTTGTAAATTGTCATTCCTGAGATCAGTGGGAACCGTCCACTCTAGGGACCCCAGCCTTTATATGTAGTCTTACTTTTAAAAAAGTCATCAATCCTGGCTTTTTAGCTGATGGAAAAAAAAATCCAGCTAGTTTTCTGGTATCCATACTATAATTCCCAAAAAGATGGAATATATTTAGAATATGCTTATAATATTCTTTCAACACTGAAATTACGATTACAACAGGACAATCTTCATGTAGAGTCTCATTCCATAGCTACTTTCTCCTTGGTTTTTCATTTACATCAGATTCTAATATTAAACAGACTTTAAATTTGTCATTCAACAGGACACAGAAGCAAATGCAGTTCTCTCAGTAATCAGCATTATGAGATTTTTTTTCTTACAAAGAGGCTAGTGCTTATATAAAGATGGCTGAAGAATATTTTTTCTAAAAAACCAGCTGAAAAAAAGTCGTTAAGGCCCCAGTAGAATTCAAGTACAGGATTAAGTCAAACAGCCAAACACACTCCTACATGGATAAACTGTTGAATCACATTCAGTGAAACCTGAAACAATAAACAAAAAGTCTCTCTAATGTTCTAAAGTAGTACCACAAATTAACTCTCCCTATGTATACTTAGTAAACCTGATGCATCATGTCATTAGTTAACATTTGTGCATTTTGTTGTTTATGTGCTATACTTTAAAGAAAAAAGCAACCAAAATAAAAATACATTACAAACTATGCTGTTTCTTTATAATCAACTTTTTCCTTCATCTCCCCTGGCATTTTGTGGTATGACAGTCATTTTAAAAGTACCACTAAATTTGTGACTTCTTTAAAAAAAAACTTTAAATTCTAGGATACATGTGCACAACATGCAGGTTTGTTACATAGGTATACATGTGCCATGTTGGTTGGCTGCATTAAACAACTCGTCATTTACACTAGGTATTTCTCCTAATGCTATCCCTCCTCCAGACACCCTACCCCCTATAAGGCCCTGGTGTGTGATGTTCCCCACCCTGTGTCCATGTGTTCTCACTCAGCTCCCACCTGTGAGTGAGAACATGCCATGTTTGGTTTCCTGTGTTTGTGATAGTTTACTTAGAATGATGGTTTCCAGCTTCATTCATGTCCCTGCAAAGGACAGGAACTCATCCTTTTTTATGGCTGCATAGTATTCCGTGGTGTGTATGTGCCACACATTTTCTTAATCCAGTCTATCACTGATGGATATTTGGGTTGGTTCCAAGTCTTTGTTATTGTTAATAGTGCCGCAACAAACATACCTGTGCATATGTCTTTATAGTAGCATGATTTACAATCCTTTGGGTATATACCCAGTAATGGGTTCACTGGGTCAAATGGTATTTCTAGTTCTATATGCTTGAGGAAATGCCACACTGTCTTCCTCAATGGTCGAACGAATTTACACTCCCAATAACAGTGTGAAAGCATTCCTATTTCTCCACATAATCTGCAGCATCTGTTGTTTCCTGACTTTTTAATGATTGACATTGTAATTTCCACAAGATGGTATCTCATTGTGGTTTTGATTTGCATTTCTCTGATGACCAGTGATGATGAGCATTTTTTCGTATGTCTGATGGCTGCATAAATGTCTTCTCTTGAGAAATGTCTGTTCATATGCTTTGGCCACTTTTTGATGGGGTTGTTTTTTCTTTTTTCTTGTAAATTTATTTAAGTTTTTGTAGATTCTGGATATTAGCCCTCTGTCAGATGGGTAGATTGCAAAGATTTTCTCCCATTTTGGAAGTTATTTGTTCACTCTGATGATAGTTTCTTTTGATGTGCAAAAGTTCTTTAGTTTACTTAAATCCCATTTGTCAATTTTGGCTTTCGTTTTCATTGCTTTTGATGTTTTAGTCATGAAGTCTTTCCCCATGCCTATATCCTGAATAGTATTGCCTAGGTTTTCTTCTAGGGTTTTTATGGTATTAGGGCTTACATCTAAGTCTTTAATCCATCGTGAGTTAATTTTTGTAAACGGTGTAAGGAAGGGATCCTGTTTCAGCTTCCTACATATGGCTAGCCAGTTTTCCCAGCACCATTTTTAAATAGGGAATCCTTTCCCCATGGCTTGTTTGTGTCAGGTTTGTCAAGGATCAGATGGTTGTAGATGTATAGTGTTATTTCTGAGGCCTCTGTTCTGTTCCATTTGTCTAGATATGTTTTGGTGCCAGTACCATACTGTTTTGGTTACTGTAGACTTGTAAGATAGTTTGAAGTCAGGTAGAATGATGTCTCCAGATTTGTCCTTTTTGCTTAGGATTATCTTGGCTATGTGGGCTTTTTTTTGGTTCCATATGAACTTTAAAGTAGTTTTTTCTAATTCTGTGACGAAATCAGTGGTAGCTTGATGGGGATAGCATTGAATCTATAAATTATTTTGGGCAGTATGACCATTTTCACGATAACTGATTTTTCCTATCCATGAGCATGGAATGTTGTTCCATTTGTTTCTGTCCTCTTTCATTGAGTAGTGGTTTGTAGTTCTCCTTGAAGAGGTCCTTCACATCCCTTGTAAGTTGGATTGCTAGCTATTTTATTCTCTTTCTAGTAATTCTGAATGTGAGTTCACTCATGATTTGGCTCTCTGTTTGCCTAGTATTCGTATATAGGAATGCTTCTGATTTTTGCACATTGATTTCATACCTTGAGACTCTGCTGAAGGTACTTATCAGCTTAAGGAGATTTTGGGCTGAGACGATGGAGTTTTCTAAATAGATAATCATGTCATCTGCAAACAGAGACAATTTGACTTCCTCTTTTCCTAATTGAATACACTTTATTTCTTTCTCTTGTCTGATTGCCCTAGCCAGAACTTCCAACACCATTTTGAATAGGAGTAGTGAGAGAGGGCATCTTTGTCTTGTGCTAGTTTTCAAAGGGAATGCTTCCAGTTTTTGCCCATTCAGTATGATATTGGCTGTGGATTTGTCATAAATAGCTTTATTATTTTGAGGTATGTTCAATTAATACCCAGTTTACTGAGAGTTTTTAGCATGAAGCGGTGTCGAATTTTGTCAAAAGCCTTTTCTTCATTTATTGAGATAATCATATGGTATTTGTCTTTGCTTCTGTTTATATGATGGACTCTGTTTATTGATTTGCATATGTTGAGCAGCCTTGCATCCCAGGGATGAAGCCAACTTGATTGTGGTGGATAAGCTTTTTGATGTGCTGCTGGATTCAGTTTTCCAGTATTTTATTGAAGATTTTCACATCAAAGTTCATCAGGGATATTGGCTTAAAATTCTCTCTTTTGTTGTGTCTCTACCAGGCTTTGGTATCAGTATGATGCTAGCCTCATAAAGTGAGTTATGGAGGATCCCTTCCTTCTCTATTGGTTGGAATAGTTTCAGAAGGAATGGTAACAGCTCTTCTTTGCACCTCTGGTAGAATTCAGCTGTGAATCCATCTGGTCCTGACTTTTTATTGTTGGTAGACTATTAATTATTGCCTCAATTTCAGAACCTGTTATTGGTTTATTCAGAGATTCAACTTCATCCTGGTTTAGTCTTGTGAGGGTGCATGTGTCCAGGAATTTATCCATTTCTTCTAGATTTTCTAATTTATTTGTGTAGAGGTGTTTATAGTATTCTCCAATGGTAGTTTGTATTTCTGTGGGATTGGTGGTGATATCCCCTTTATCATTTCTATTGCATCTATTTGATTCTTCTCTCTTTTCCTCTTTATTAGTCTTGCTAGTGGTCTATGTATTTTGTTGATCTTTTCAAAACTCCAGCTCTTGGATTCATTGATTTTTTCGAAGGGTTTTTGTGTCTCTATCTCCTTCAGTTCTGCTCTGATCTTAGTTATTGCTTGCCTTCTGCTAGCTTTTGAATTTGTTTGCTCTTGCTTCGCTAGCTCTTTTAATTGTGATGTTGGGGTGTCGATTTTAGTTCTTTCCTGCTTTCTCTTGTGGGCATTTATTGGTATATTAGACTGCTGTATGTAGTGGCCTTTGTCTCTTTTGATATTTGTTGATTTAAAGTCTGTTTTATCGGACACTAGGACTGCAAACTCTGCTTTTTGTTTTGCATTATTTATTTCCCTCTACACACTGCTTTAAATGTGTCACAGAGATTCTGGTATGATGTGTCTTTGTTCTCACTGGTTTCAAAGGACATCTTTATTTCTGCCCTCATTTAGTTATTTACGCAGTTGTCATTCAGGAGGAGGTTCTTCAGTTCCTATATAGTTGTGCAGTTTTGAGTGAGTTTACTAATCCTGAGTTCTAATTTGATTGCACTGTGGTCTGAGAGACATTTTCGTGTGATTTCTGTTCTTTTACATTTACTGAGAGTGTTTTGCTATTTTGTCAATTTTACAATAAGTGTGATGTGGTGCTGAGAAGAATGTGTATTCAGTTGATTCGTGGTGGAGAGTTCTGTAAATGTCTATTAAGTCCCCTTGTTGCAGAGCTTAGTTCAAGTCCTGGATATCCTTGTTAACCTTCTGTCTTGTTGATCTGTCTAATACTGACAGTGGGGTGTTAAACTCGCCCATTATTGTTGTGTGGTAGTGTAAGTTTCGTTGTAGGTCTCCAAGGACTTGCTTTGTAAATCTGGGTGCTCCTGTATTGGAGCTCCTGCATGTATATTTAGGATAGTTATCTCTTCCTGTTGAATTGATCCCTTTACCACTATGTAGTGTCCTACTTTGCCTCTTTTGAAATTTGTTGGTTTAATGTCTGTTTTATCAGATACTAGGATTGCAACCTCAGCTTTTTTTTTTTCTTTCCATTTGTTTGGTAGATCTTCCTCCATCGCTTTATTTTGAGCCTATGTGAATCTTTGCACATAAGATGGGTCTCCAGAATTCAGCACACTGACGGGTCTTGATTCTTTATCCAATTTGCCAGTCTATGTCTTTTAGTTGGGGCATTTAGCCCATTTACATTTAAGATTAATATTGTTATGTTTGAATTTGATCTTGTCATTATGATTTAGCTGGTTATTTTGCCATTAATTGATGCAGTTTCGTCATACAGTTGATGGTCTTTACCATTTGGCATGTTTTTGCAGTGGCTGGTACCAGTTGTTCCTTTCCGTGTTTAGTGCCTCTTTCAGGAGCTCTTGTAAGGGAAGCTTGGTGGTGACAAAATCTATCAGCATTTGCTTGTCTGAAAATTCTTTTCTTTAAGAATGTTGAATATTGGCACCCACTCTGTTCTGGCGAGTAGGGTTTCTGCTGAGAGATCTGCCGTTAGTCTCATGGGCTTTCCTTTGTGGGTAACCCAACCTTTCTCTCTGGCTGACCTTAACATTTTTCGCTTGATATCAACCTTGGTGAATCTGACAATTATGTGTCTTGGGGTTGCTCTTCTTGAGGAGTAGCTTTGTGCTCTTCTCTGTATTTCCTGAATTTGAATGGTTGCCTGCCTTGCTAGATTGGGAAAGTTATCTAGGATAATATCTTGAAGATTGTTTTTTAACTTGGTTCCACTGTTCTCATCACTTTCTGGTACACCAATCAAATGTATATTTTGTCTTTTCACATAGTCTTATATTTCTTGGAGGCTTTGTTCATATCTTTTCACTCTTTTTTCTCTAATCTTGTCTTCTCACTTTATTTCATTAATTTTATCTTCAATCTCTGATATCCTTTCTTCCACTTAATTGAACTGACTATTGAAGCTTGTGCTTGCATCATGAAGTTGTCATGCCATGGTTTTTAGCTCCATCACATCATTTAAAATTTTATCTACACTGTTTATTCTAGTTGGCCATTCATCTAACCTTTTTTCAAGGTTTTTAGCTTCCCTGTGATGAGTTAGAACATGCTCCTATAGCTTGGAGAAGTTTGTTTTACCCACCTTCTGAAGCCTACTTCTGTCAACTCATCAAACTCATTCTCCGTCTAGTTTTGTTTCCTTGCTGGTGAGGAGCTGTGATGCTTTGCAGTAGAAGAGACGCTCTATTTTTCGGGATTTTCTGCTTCTCTGCTCTGGTTTCTTCCCATCTTTGTGGTTTTATCTACCTTTGGTCTTTGATGCTGGTCACCTGCAGATGGGGTTTTTGTGTGGATGTCCTTTGTGTTGATGTTGATGTTATCCCTTTCTGTTTGTTAATTTTCCTTGTAACAGTCAGACACCTCAGCTGCAGGTCTGTTGGTGTTTGCTAGAGGTCCATTCCAGACGTGGTTTGACTGGGTATCACCAGTGGAGTCTGCAGAACAGCAAATATTGCTGCCTGATCCTTCCCCTGGAACTTTGTCCCAGAGGTGCACCCACATGTTTGAGGTGTCTGTTGGCCCCTACTGGGAGGTGTTTCCCAGTCAGGCCACACAGGGGTCAGGTACCCATTTCAGGAGGCAGCCTGTCTGTTCTCAGAGCTCCAAAGCCATGTTGAGAGAACCACTGCTCTCTTCAGAGCTGTTAGACATGGATGTTAAAATCTACAGAAGTTGTCTGTTGCCTTTTGTTCTACTATGCCCTGTCCCCAGAGGTGGAATCTATAGAGGCAGTAGGCCTTGCTGAGCTGCAGTGGGCTCCACCTGGTCCAGGCTGCCTGGCCTCTTTGTTTACACTGTGAGCTACTCAAGCCTCAGCTGTGGTGATGCCCTCCCCCTATCAAGCTGCAGCATTGCACGTCAATATCAGACTGCTGTGCTAGCCATGAGCAAGGCTCTATGGGTGTGGGACTCATTGAGAGAGTCATGGAAGGGTATCTCCTGGTCTGCCGGTTGCTAAGACTGTGGGAATAGCACAGTATTTGGACAGGAGTGTACCATTTCTCCAGATACAGTCTGTCACAGCTTCCCTTGGCTAGGAAAGGGAAATCCCCAACTCCTTGTTCTTCCTGGATGAAGTGATGCCCTGCCCTGCTTTGGCTCTCCCTTGGTGGGCTGTACCCACTGTCCAACAAGTCTCAACAAGATGAACCAGGTAACTCAGTTGGAAATGCAGAAATCACCCATCTTCTGTGTCGATCTTGCTGGGAGCTGCAGAGCTGTGCCTATTCGGCAATCTTGGAAGTGACCAACTTGTGACTTCTAATATCACTTTGTTCACTTACCTGTGGTTGTTTCAATTATTCTTCTATGGAATCTGTAATATTACAGTTTTTAATATTGATAAGGTTTTTCTGCTGGAGGCTTTTCATACAATAAATTGAGTTTTTTGTTTGTTTGTTTTTTACTTTTTTTTCCAGATTTTGTTTGTTAGTTTTGTTTTGTTTTAACACCATGATTATCTTTCTTCTTTTTAGAGTCTTTTTGGAGTCTCAAGTTTGATAAAAAACTACCAATAATGATTTGTTAGAAACAAACTTTTGCAACTTTTCTGTGCCTCCTCAGAGTGAATGCTGTAAGACCATGTATTATATCTTCTCCAGCATATAGAAAGGAGAGCTTTGGTCAGTTCAGGGTAAAACTTAAGCAGTAATGCTAACACATAATATGTTGTGATTTAATAAAGAGAGATAGAATAATAAATACCAGGCATGTGATTGAATGACCAAGTATCAAATATAGTATAACCTACAGCATTATGATTTGTGTCCTATTTTTTTTTTTTTTAAGTTCAGGAGTACATGTACAGGACCTGCAGGTTTGTTACAGAGGCTAAACATTTGGCATGGGTGTTTGTTGTACAGATTATTTTATCATCCAACTATTAAACTTAGTATCCATTAGTTATTTTTCCTGATCCTCTCCCCTCTCTCAACCCCCACTCTTTAATAGACCAGTGTATGTTGTTCCCTGCTAAGTGTTTATGTGTTCTCATCATTTAGCTACCATTTAAGTGAGAAAATATGGCATTTGGTTTTCTGTTCCTGCATTAGTTGGATAAGGATAATGGCCTCCATCCCCATCCATGTCCTTTCAAAAGACAAAATCTTTTTCTTTATTAAGGCTGCTTATTATTCCATGGTGGGTATGCACCACATTTTCTTTTTTGTTTAAATTTTATTATTATTATACTTTAAGTTTTAGGGTACATGTGCACAACGTGCAGGTTTGTTACATACGTATACATGTGCCATGCTGGTGCACTGCACCCATTAACTCATCATTTATCATTAGGTATATCTCCTAATGCTATCCCTCCCCCCTCCCCCCACCCCACAACAGTCCCCAGTGTGTGATGTTCCCCTTCCTGTGTCCATGTGTTCTCATTGTTCAATTCCCTCCTATGAGTGAAAACATGTGGTGTTTGTTTTTTGGTCCTTAAGATCATTTGCTGAGAATGATGGTTTCCAGTTTCATCCATGTCCCTATAAAGGACATGAACTCATCATTTTTTATGGCTGCATAGTATTCCATGGTGTATATGTGCTGCATTTTCTTAATCCAGTCAATAATTGTTGGACATTTGGGTTGGTTCCAAGTCTTTGCTAATGTGAATAGGGCTGCTATAAACATACGTGTGCATGTGTCTTTATAGCAGCATGATTTCTAATCCTTTGGGTACACACCCAGTAATGGGATGTCTGGGTCAAATGGTATTTCTAGTTCTAGATCCCTGAGGAATCGCCACACTGACGTCCACAATGATTGAACTAGTTTACAGTCCCACCAACTATTTAAAAGTGTTCCTATTTCTCCACGTCTTCTCCAGCACATGTTGTTTCCTGACATTTTAATGAGCACTATTCTAACTGGTGTGAGATGGTATCACATTGTGGTTTTGATTTGCATTTCTCTGAGGGCCAGGACCAATATTCACCATTCTTAAAGAAAAGAATTTTCAACCCAGAATTCCAAATCCAGCCAAACTAAGGCTTCATAAGTGAAGGAGAAATAAAATACTTTACAGACAAGCAAATGCTGAGAGATTTTGTCACCACCAGGCCTGCCCTAAAAGAGCTCTTGAGGGAAGCGCTAAACATGGAAAGGAAAAACCAGTACCAGCCACAGCAAAAACACACCAAATTGTAAAGACCATCAAGGCTAGGAAGAAACTGCATCAACTAATGAGCAAAATTACCAGCTAACATCACAATGAAAGGATCAAATTCACACATAACAATATTAACTTTATATGTAAATGGGCCAAATGCTCCAATTAAAAGACACAGATAGGCAATTTGGATAAAGAGTCAAGACCCATCAGTGTGCTGTATTCAGGAAACCCATCTCACGTGCAGAGACACACATAGGCTCAAAACACAGGGATGGAGGAAGATCTACCAAGCAAAAGGAAAATAAAAAAAGGCAGGGATTGCAATCCTAGTCTCTGATAAAACAGACTTTAAACCAACAAAGATCAAAAGAGACAAAGAAGACCATTACATGATGGTAAAGGGATCAATTCAACAAGAAGAGCTAACTATCCTAAATATATATGCACCCAATACAGGAACACCCAGATTCATAAAGCAATTCCTTAGTGACCTACAAAGAGACTTAGACTCCCACACAATAATAATGGGAGACTTTAACACCCCACTGTCAACATTAGACAGATCAATTAGACAGAAAGTTAACAAACATACCCAAGAATTGAACTCAGCTCTGCACCAAGTGGACCTAATAGACACGTACAGAACCCTCCACCCCAAATCAACAGAATATACATTCTTTTCAGCACCACACCACACCTACTCCAAAATTGACCACACAGTTGGAAGTAAAGCACTCCTCAGCAAATGTAAAAAAACAGAAATTATATGAAACTCTCTTTCAGACTACAGTGCAATCAAACTATAACTCAGGATTAAGAAACTCACTCAAAACCACACAGCTACATGGAAACTGAACAACCTGCTCATGAATGACTACTGCATAGATAATGAAATGAAGGCAGAAATAAAGATGTTCTCTGAAACCAAGGAGAACAAAGACACAACGTACCAGAATCTCTGGGACACATTCAAAGCAGTGTGTAGAGGGAAATTTATAGCACTAAATGCCCACAAGAGAAAGCAAGAAATATCTAAAATTGACACCCTAACATCATAATTAAAAGAACTAGAAAAGCAAGAGCAAGCATATCCAAAAGCTAGCAGAAGGCAAGAAATAACTAAGATCAGAGCAGAATTGAAGGAAATAGAGACACAAAAAACCCTTCAAAAATTAATGAATCCAGGAGCTGGTTTTTTGAAAGGATCAACAAAATTGATAGACCATTAGCAAGACTAATAAAGAAGAAAAGAGAGAAGAATCAGATAGACGCAATACAAAATAATAAAGAAGCTATCACCACCGATCCCACAGAAATACAAACTACCATTAGAGAATACTACAAACACCTCTACGCAAATAAACTAGAAAATCTAGAAGAAATGGATAAATTCCTCGACACATACACTCTCCCAAGACTAAATCAGGAAGAAGTTGAATCTCTGAATAGACAAATAACAGGCTCTGAAATTGTGGCAATAATCAGTAGCTTGCCAACCAAAAAGAGTCCAGCACCAGATGGATTCACAGCCTAATTCTACCAGAGGTACAAGGAGGAACTGGTACCATTCCTTCTGAAACTGTTCCAATCAATAGAAAAAGTGGGAATCCTCCCTAACTCATTTTATGAGGCCAGCATCATCCTGATACCAAAGCCTGGCAGAGAAACAACCAAAAAAGAAAATTTTAGACCAATATCCTTGATGAATATCAATGCAAAAATTCTCAATAAAATACTGGCAAACCGAAACCAGCAACAATTCAAAAAGCTTATCCACCATGATCAAGTGGGCTTCATCCCTGGGATGCAAGACTGGTTCAACACATGAAAATCAATAAACGTAATCCAGTATGCAAACAGAACCAAAGACAAAAAACACATGATTATCTCAATAGATGCAGAAAAGCCCTTCAACAAAATTCAACAACTCTTCACGCTAAAAACTCTCAATAAATTAGGTATTGATGGGACGTATCTCAAAATAATAAGAGCTATCTTTGACAAACCCACAGCCAATATCATACTGAATGGACAAAAACTGGAAGCATTCCCTTTGAAAACCAGCACAAGACAGGGATGACGTCTCTCACCACTCCTATTCAACATAGTGTTGGAAGTTCTGGCCAGGGAAATCAGGCAGGAGAAGGAAATAAAGGGCATTCAATTAGGAAAAGAGGAAGTCAAATTGTCCCTGTTTGCAGATGACATGATTGTATATCTAGAAAACCCCATCGTCTGAGCCCAAAATCTCCGGAAGCTGATAAGCAACTTCAGCAAAGTCTCAGGATACAAAATCAATGTACAAAAATCACAAGCATTCTTGTACACCAATAACAGACAAACAGAGAGCCAAATCATGAGTGAACTCCCATTCACAATTGCTTCAAAGAGAATAAAATACCTGGGGATCCAACTTACAAGGGATGTGAAGGAACTCTTCAAGGAGAACTACAAACCACTGCTCAATGAAATAACAGAGATATAGACCAATGGAACAGAACAGAGCCCTCAGAAATAAGGCCGCATATCTACAACTATCTGATCTTTGACAAACCTGAGAAAAACAAGCAATGGGGAAAGGATTCCCTATTTAATAAATTGTGCTGGGAAAACTGGCTAGCCATATGTAGAAAGCTGAAACTGGATCCCTTCTTTACACCTTGTACAAAAATTAATTCAAGATGGATTAAAGACTTAAATGTTAGACATAAAACCATAAAAACCCCAGAAGAAAACCTAGGCAATACCATTCAGGACATAGGCATGGGCAAGGACTTCATGTCTAAATCACCAAAAGCAATGGCAACAGAAGCCAAAATTGACAATTGGGATCTAATTAAAGAGCTTCTGCACAGCAAAAGAAACTACCATCAGAGTGAACAGGCAACCTACAGAATGGGAGAAAATTTCTGCAACCTACTCGTCTGACAAAGGGCTAATATCCAGAGTCTACAATGAACTCAAACAAATTTACAGGAAAAAAACAAACAACCCCATCAAAAAGTGGGCAAAGGATATGAACAGACATTTCTCGAAAGAAGACATTTATGCAGCCAAAAAACACATGAAAAAATGCTCAGCACCACATTTTCTTTATCCAGTCCATCACTGATGAACAGTTGGGTTGTGTCTTATTATAATGACTCCTCATGGTTTCCAGCATAGGTTAGATGAAGAATGAAAAATCCTACTTGGTTCAACCAGCATTTATGAAAAACTTTCAACAAGCATCAGGTGCCTACCAAGTCTAATCCATTTTTTTCCCAGAACTTGATGACGTCTGAGATATTGTCCCGATTTTATACATGTTGGACTTCCAGAATGATTATTAGCTGGGTCCTCTGTTTATCACCACACATGCTGAGGGTTGCTTGGAAGTGAGAGAGGATTTGGCCCAAATTGTGGTCTTTCTCCAAAATATTTTGTTGTTGTTTTCTAATTTTGGATATTTGCTGCAACCACACTTTGTCATTGAAATTGCTGCAGTTTCTCCAGCCCAGGTGCCCATCAGTCAACAAGTAGATAAAGAAACTAGTATACACACAATGAAACACTACTCAGTCATAAAAAGGAATTAATTAATGGCATTCACAGCAATCTGGATGGGATTGGAGACTATCAATTGTAAGTGATGTAACTCAGGAATGGAAAACCAAACATCGTATGTTCTCACTCATAAGTGGGGGCTAAGCTATGATGACACAAAAGAATAACAAAGACTTAATGGACTCAGGGGAGAAAGGGTGGGAAGGGGGTGAGGGATAAAAGGCTACAAGTTGGGTACAGCATATACTGCTTAGGCAATGGGTGCACAAATGTCTCACAAATCACCACTAAAGAACTTACTTATGTATACAAATACCACCTGTTCCCCAAAAACCTATGAAAATGAAAAATTAAAAGAAAAGAAAAGAAAAGCTTGAGATTTCAAACTGTCACATGCTGGTCGATTTCATTCTTAACTCATTGTCCCATTTTTCTAATGCTGACTTGCTATGGATATATGTTTGTATGTTTTTAAGTATTTGTAAGTACAGAAAAATGAAAGAACAATAATGAAATCCCAGTAGCCACCATCTAGAATTAAAAAATGCAAATATTACCTTTCCATTTAGATATTTATATTTAAAAAATGATTACAGGATTATCCCTTTAGACTTATGCTAAATCTGTCTCCCTCCTTCACCAGAAAATCATTTTCATGAATCAGCCTTGTAACATTCCAGTGCAAATGAGAACACTTTCAAAATACTAATACATGGAACCATCAATCATAGGATTTCTCTTTGTTTTTTACATTCAAATGAATCATTATTCTGCTTACAAACATTTTCACACAACATTAAATCATATACAATAGCTCTTGTTCATTCACTTCAACTGCTGAGAAAATTTTTATCCATTCTTTGTTACATGTATAACTATAAATTTGTCCATTTCTTTTTTTATATATAACATGTTGCTTTTTTTCTGTTTTCTCTTCCTCCTATTTTGTTTTTTTATTGGTGCCATCTCTTAGATTGATAATGTTCATCAGCCTTTTTTTCCCTTATATTGGTCTGGAATTTCACTTTCATTTTTAAACACTCCATCTTTAATAATGGTTAATTCTAAAATGTTAACATATTTGTATATGTATATGATTAACCAGTATCTCTAATTTTCTTCTAGATAACAAGTCATAAAACACTATAAACATCACCTTCATCTTCTTTCATGCAGTATTTTTCAATATATTAAATCTGCCTTTTTACATACTCCACAAAATTAAACATTTTATTTACTAGTATGGCTACAAAAAGAAAGAAAGAAAGAAAGACCTAGTATTTGATACCATAACAGGGGGACTGCAGTCAATAATAATTAATTGTACATTTTAAAATAACTAAAACAGGCCAGGCATTGCAGGCATTGTGGTTCATGCTTGTAACCCTGCTATTTTGGGAGGCTGAGGTTGGCAGATCAGCAGAGGTCAAGAGTTCAAGACTAGCCTGGCCAACACAGAGAAAACCCATCTCTACTAAAAATACACAAATTAGCCTGGCATGGTGGCAGGTACCTATAATCCCACTTACTTTGGAGGCTGAGGCAGAAGAAATGCTTGAACCAGGGAGACAGAAGTTGCAGTGAGCCAAGATTGCACCACTGTACTCCAGCTTGGGTGACAGAGCGAGACTCCATCTCCAAATAAAATAAATAAATGAACAAATAATTGAATTGATTGGCACACAAAAGATAAATATCCAAGGATTGGATAGACAATTTTGCATGCTGTGACTATTACACATTGCGTGCCTGTACCAAAATATCTCTTGTAACACCATAAAATATATGTCCCTACTATGTACCTACAAAAATTAAAAAATAAATTTTTTAAAGTACATTTACTACCATAGTTACTAGTTTCTGGCTTAGTATTGCTTCTTACATCACAACTTACTTTATTTATGCATCCAATTGTCATGATTTTGAAGCATATTTTCTGGAAATTGTTTTTATTAGGGTCATATTGGCAGCACATGATCTGTATGCCTGGGTGTCTAAAAATATTTTCTTGGGTCCTGAATCTTGAATGATATTTAAATGTTTAGATATTTAAAGGTTTAGAATTCTTTGTTAATATTTATTTCTATGCAACTTTTTAAAGATACCTATATATTCTGTAGTCTTGCATTTACTGGAGTTGTGTATATTTTTATTTCTTTATATATAATTTGCCTTTCTACATCAAAGCTTTAGCTCCCTGTTACAATTTAGAGTGTTATTTTATCTTCTAAGCTGACCCTTGGAATTACTCTTCCTTGCTTTTGAGGTCAGTGATGGCTTTAACGTTCCCTGCCCCCCCTCAGTATTCCGTAGTTTTTGCAGTTGCACAGGGATTCCTGCATCAGACAGGATGTGATACAACACTAGCTTAATTGAGGCCCTGATTTGTGTTTTCTTTTTGTTTAGACTTCATGAACCTTAATTTGTACCTACCTATGCTGTCTGGCTTTTCTTTAGCAGCGACTGTGTTTAAAAAAAAAAAAAAGAAAAGAAAGAAGATTTATAAAGCCAAGGCAATCTAGGTCACTGCTCTCCAGGAATGCTCTTGAGGAATGTTTAGTATACTCAGATACACTAATAATTACATATGTGTTTTTGACACAGTGCAATCATTTCTACCGCAGTGCATAGACAGTGCATTAAGACAGAGAAACATCTGCCTACCAAATACCTGGGGAAGAAAATATGTTTACTTTTGAAAGACAGTTGAACTCAGTTACTCAGGGTGTTGTTACTGGAGGAAGTGAGGCCAGTTCGACCTCTGGACAGGTTACTTTTTTGCAAAAGTTCCTTTGGCTTTCTGAGTCTCAGTTTTCTTGCATTGTTACACAGATGGCAACTGTGTGCCCCAAGTGAGCTCCTCCCCATGTTAAAGTAGATAATGCCCTGGAGACATTACCTAACACATAGGAAGGGCTTGCTACAACTTAGCAATTGTGATGTTTCAAGGGAGTGATATTTGGGCTCAGTGGTGCAATATGGACAGCAGTGAGCAAGTGGAGGAAATGGGAACATGTTGATCCATGGAGATGGACAAGCAGATAGAAATGCACAACAATGTTGGGCATGGTAGGCAGAGATGTGATATCTATATCTTCTATTTGCTTCAGCAATATTTGCTATATTTGCACATTCACATCTTATTTCCTAAAGCCCAGGGCAGTCAAGGCTGTGAACTGCAAATAATAGCATTATTCTACTGCAAATAATAGCATTATAATATTAATGTTAATATGCATGTTCAGATTTATTTGCAATTGGCATGGCAATTGTTACATGTCCTGAAAAATAATAAGGGAGTGACATTTGTATTGGAGAGGTTAGATTATATTCAAGGGAAAAAACTTAAGACAAAACAATTCAAATGTTCACTCTTGTGTGTACACACACATACACACACACACCCCTTTACAGAGATGGTCCAAGGTAAGGAGCATAGTTTCTCATAGAAGGGAAATAAAAATACACTCTTATATCTTCATGATAGTTATTTTTCCAGATGTGTCCTGGCTGGAACCAATCTCTGTAGGATTAATAGTTTCCTTGAGCACAATAAAAATTGTAATTTCTTAAAACTTTCCTCATATTATTTATTTTTTAATGTGACAAATAAAAATTATATAACTATTTAGGGTGTGCTATGTGATCTAAAGAATTTTAAAGGATCTAGCTGGTGCTTTAATTCTTTAAGAAACTGAAAATCATGTACATCTCAAAATATGATTTTTATACTAAGGGATGAAGAGGAGTTGGCATATGAAATGTGCGTTTAGGGATTCTTCCATAATGTTGTGTTTTAAAGGTGGTACTGCTGGGCATGGTGGCTCATGCCTCTAATCCCAGGACTTTGGAAGGCCAAGGTGAGCAGATCACAGGGTCAGGAGGTGGAGACCATCTTGGTCAACACGGTGAAGCCCCATCTCTACTAAACTACAAAAAATTAGCCGGGCATGGTGGCCCACACCTGTAATCCCAGCTAATAGGGAGGCTGAGGCAGGGGAATCACTTGAACCCAGGAGGTGGAGGTTGCAGTGAGCCGAGGTCATGCCACTGCATGCCAGCCTGGTGACAGAGCAAGACTCCATCTCAAAAATTAAACTAAACTAAACTAAACTAAACTAAACAACTAAACTAAACTAAACTAAACTAAACTAAACTAGTAAAATAAAATAAAGGTGGTGCTGTTTGCTGGGGCACTTCAAACCGAGGCTTATTCTTATAATTAAATGTCTAGGATGGTGCTTTTTAAGACCTCTTTGAAATATGTATTCATTTCAAGCTAATTAACATGCACTACATTATATACTTTTCATTTATTTAATGTTAGAACACTTAAATCTATTATTGTAGCCATTTTCAAGAGTACAATACGTTGTTATTAGATATAACATTGTATCAGGTAGTGTTAGACCCTTAACATAGTGTGATGCCACTATGTTGTACAATAGATTTCTTTGAGTTATTCTTCCTGTTTAACTAAAAGTTTGTATTTTTGACCAATGTCTCTCCAGGCCACCAACCACAATGTGCCACAAACTCTGAGACACATTTAAAGTGGTGTTTAGAGAAAAACTGATAGCACTAAATGCCCAAAAGAGAAAGCAGGAAAGATCTAAAATTGACACCCTAACATCAAAATTAAAAGAACTAGTTTAGTGAGAGCAAACGAATACAAAACCTAGCAGAAGACATAAAATAACTATGATCAGAGCAGAACTGAAGAAGACAGAGACACAAAAACCTTTCAAAAATCAATAAATCCGTAAGCTGGTTTTTTGAAAAGATCAACAATATAGATAGACCACTAGCCAGACTAACAAAGAAGAAAAGAGAGAAAAATCACATAGATGCAATAAAAAATGACATAGGGAATATCATTGCTGATCATCAGATAATACTCTGAACACCTCTATGCAAATACACTAGAAAATCTAAAAGAAATGGATAAATTCCTGGACACATACACCCTCCCAAGTTTAAGCCAGGAAGAAGTTAAATCCATGAATAGTCTATTAACAATTCTGAAATTGAGGCAGTAACTGATAGCCTACCAAGAAAGAAAATTCAGGACCAGACAGATTCATAGCCAAATTTTATCAGACATAACAAGAGGCACTCATACCCTTCCTTCTGATATTATTACAAAAAATGCAAAAGGAGGAAATCCTTCATAAATCATGTTATGAGGCCAGCATCATCCTGATAATAAAACCTGGCAGAGACACACCAAAAAAAGAAAATTTCAGGCCAGTATCCCTGATGAACATTGATGTGAAAATCCTCAATAAAATACTGGCAAACTCAATCCAGCAGCACATCATAAAGCTTATCCACCACGATCATGTCAGCTTTATCCCTGAAATGCAAAGATGGTTCAACATATGCAAATCAATAAACCTAATGCACCAAATAAACAGAACCAGTGACAAAAACCACATGATTATGTCAATAGATGCAGAAAAGGCATTCATCAAAATTCAACACCGCTTTATGATAAAAACTCTCAATAAAGTAGAAATGTACAGAATATATCTCAAAACAATAAGAGCTACTTATGCCAAACCCACTGCCAATATACTGATGGGCAAAAACTGGAAGAATTCCCTTTGAAAACTGGTACAAGACAAGGATGCACTCTCTCTCCACTCTTATTCAACCTAGTATTTGAAGCTTCTGGCCAGGGTAATCAGGGAAGAAAAAGAAATAAGGGACATTCAAATCACAAGCGAGGAAGTCAAATTGTCTCTGTTTGCAGATGACATGATTGTACACTTAGAAAACCCATCATCTCAGCATAAAATCTCCTTAAGCTGGTAAGCAACTTCAGCTAAGCCTCAGGATTCAAAATCAATGTGCAAAAATCACAAGCTTTCCTACACACAATAAGAGAGAACAGAAAGACAAATCATGAGTAAACTCCCATTCACAATTGCTACTAAGAGAATAAAATACCTCGGAATACAACTAACAAGGGATGTGAAGAACCTATTCAAGGAGAACTTCAAACCACAGCTGAAGGAAATAAGAGAGATAAAAAGAGATGAAAAATAAAAAGCTTCCATGCTCATGGATAGAAGAATCAATATTGGAAAAATGGCCATACTGCCCAAAGTAATTTATAGATTCAATGCTATCATCATCAAGCTATCATTAATTTTCTTCACATAATTGGAAAAAGAAAGCTACTTTGAAGTTCAAATGAAACCAAAAAAGAGCCTGCATAGACAAGACAATCTTAAGCAAAAAGAATGAATCTGGAGGCATCACGCTACCTGACTTCAAACTACATTACAAGGCCACAGTAAGCAAAACAGCATGGTACTTGTACCGAAACAGATATATAGACCAATAGAACAGAACAGTGGCCTCAGAAATAATACCACACATCTACTACCATGTGACATCTACTACCATGTGATATTTGACAATCTTGAAACAAGCAGGCAATGGGGAAAAGATTTTCCCTTTAATAAATGGTATTGGGAAAACTGGCTAGCCATATGCAGATAACAGAAACTGGACCCCATCCTTTCACCTTATGCAAAAGTCAACTGAAGGCGGATTAACGACTTACACGTAAGAATTAAAACCATAAAATTCCTAGAAGCAAACGCAGGCAATACCATTCAGGACATAAGCATGTGCAAAACCAAAACACCAAAAGCAATGGTATAAAAGCCAAAATTGACAAATGGGATCTAATTAAACTAAAGAGCTTCAGCACAGCAAAATAAATTATCCTCAGTGTGAACAGACAACCTACAGAATGGGTGAAAAATCTTGCAATCTATCTATCTGAAACAAGACTAACATCCTGAATCTACAGGGAACTTAAACAAGTTTACAAGAAGAAACCAAACAACCTCATCAAACAGTGGGCAAAGGATATGAACAGACACTTCTCAAAAGAAGACTTTGATGCAGCCAACAAACATATGAAAAAATGCTTATCATCACTCATTATTTGAGAAATACAAATCAAAACCACAGTGAGATACCATCTCACTCCAGTTAGAATGGCGATCATTAAAAAGTCAGAAAACAGCAGATGCTGGAGAGGATGTGGAGAAATACGAAGGCTTTTACAGTGTTGGTGGGCGTGTTAATTATTTAACCCTTGTGGAAGACAGTGTGGTGATTCTTCAAGGATCTAGAACTAGAATTACCATTTGACCCAGCAATCTGATTACTGGGCATATAACCGAAGGACTATAAATCATTCTACTATAAAGACACATGCATATGTATGTTTATCACAGCACTATTCACAGTAGTGAAGACTTAGAACCAACCCAAATGTGCATCAATGATAGACTGGATAAAGAAAAGCTGGCACATATACACCATGGAACAGTATGCAGCCACAAAAATGGATGAGTTCATGTCTTTTGCAGCGACATGAATGAAGCTGGAAACCATCATTCTCAGCAAACTATCAGAAAAATAGAAAACCAAACACCACAGGTTCTCATTTTTACATGAGAGTTGAACAATGGGAACCCATGGACACAGAGAGGAAAACATAACATGGTGGTGGGTGGTGGGATAGTGTAGAGATAACATTAGGAAAAATATCTAATGTAGATGATGGGTTGATGGGCGCTTTTCTCTAATGACCAGTGATGATGAGCATTTTTTCATATGTCTGTTGGCTGCATAAATGTCTTCTTTTGAGAAGTGTGAACAGACGCTTTTCAAAAGACATACAGGCAGCCAAAAAACTTATTTTAAAAAGCTCAATATTATTGATTATTAAAGAAACACGAATCAAAAGAGCAATGAGATATCATCTCCTATCTGTCAGAATGGTTATTATCATAAAGTAAAATAATAATATATGCAGGTGAGGTTATAGAGACCAAGGAATAATTATGCACTGTTGGTAGGAATGTAAATTAGTTCAACTGTTGTGCAAAGCAGTAGGGCAATTCCTCAAAGACTGGAAAGCAGAACTACTGTTCAACCCAGCCATCCCATTACTGGATACATACCCAGAGGAATATAAATCACTCTACCACACAGACACACGAATGCAAATGTTCACTGCGGACTATTCACAACAGAAGACATGGAATTAACCTAACTACCCATTAATGACAGATTGAATTAAAGAAAATGTGGTACATGCCCACAGGGAATACTATGCAGAGATTAAAAAAAATACAATTATGCCTTTTGAGGGAACATGGATGGAGCTGGAGGATATTATCTTTAGCAAACTAATGTAGGAAAAGTAAACCAAATACCACATGTTTTCACTAGAAGTGGGAGCTAACTGATGACAACTCATGAACACAAAGAAGGGAACCATAGACATGAGACCTACTTGAGGGTGGAAGGTGGGAAAAGAGAGAGCAGCAGGAAAAATAGCTATTAATTACTAGACTTAATACCTGGGTGATGAAATAATCTGTACAACAATGCCCCATGACACGAGTTTACCTACATAACAAAGTTTCACATGTACCCCTGAACCTAAAATAAATAATAATTTACGAAACAGGATAATAGGCAACATTTCCGTTTGAATTTCCAAAATGATGGCACTGAACAATCTGAACTCTGCTTTTATTTGGTGCCGCAGTTCAGCCAGAAGGGGGCGCACGGCTGCCTCACCTTGACCATGGGGGTCTTGCAGTTCTTCTGGCTGCCAGCAGGGGGAGCATGAGTCCGCCTTTTCTGACCCTGGGAGCACCATCGGGTTCAGCTCGTGTTGCCCGAGGGCTACAGCTGCCTTCTCCTCAGTACAGACCAGAGCAACACCGCCTTGCTGAGGGACAGCTGGAGGCTGACTGCTGAAATCAGGGACCAGTGGAAGGGCTTCGTGTGGAAAATTAAACAATAAAAATCAAATGGCTTTAATGCAACCCAACGTCCTTCCCCACACCCAAGGTGTGGCCACAATGCCAGGTCCATACAGTGGCCTCCTGACACAAATGTATCATCTGTCATATAACATCTGTAATAGAAATATAACATCTGTAAATAATTATATCACCCATAATACAGATGTGACATTTGTAATACTAATGTAACACCTGAAATACTGATCTAACACCCGTGATAACACTGTAACATTCATAACAGCAATAAAACACTCATAATACCAGTATAGCATCCGAAATACAAATATGACATCCCTAATACTGATCTAAGAGCCATAATACAATTGTAACTCTCATAACACCAATATGCAATCCACAATACAAATGAAACATCCATAACACTTATATAACCCTTGTAATGCTTTCCTGACACCTGTAATACAACTGTAACACTAATAATACCAATACACCATTCAGAATTCCAATATATCATCCTGCGGTACAAATATAACAACTGAAATACTGAAGTGACACCTATAATATTAACAACACCCATAATGACACTGTGACATTCATAACAGCAATAAAACACTCATAATACCAGTATAGCATCCGAAATACAAATATAACATCTGTAATACTGATCTAAGACCCATAATACAATTGTAACTCTCATAACACCAATATGCAATCCACAGTACAAATGAAACATCCATAATGCTTATATAACGCTTGTAATGCTGTCCTGACACCTGTAATACAACTGTAACACTAATAATACCAATACACCATTCAGAATTCCAATATATCATACTGAGGTACAAATATACCTGAAACACTGAAGTGACACCTGTAATATTAACACCCATAATAATAATACAACATTTGTAATACAAATAGAACAACCAGAATACTGATGTAACACCCACAGTTACTGATATAACACTCATCATAAAGATGTAACACCAGTAATACTGACATAACATTCCTACTCTTATGGGGGCACTTGGTTTCACGGCTTCCACTAAGCTGGATTTGGGGAGGATTTGGCCTCTATAATGAAGTTTAATGTTGTTGTCTCTGCAGTAGTGACAAGGTATGGACATGGTTGTTTTTATTAAAAGTAGTTTACTTCTCAATAATTTTATACTTCTAGGAAACTTCCAATAGCTGTTAGTATAATCTTTTCTCTCAGAATCTCCAGTGGTTTCTGCTGTGCCAGATTTGAACCTTTATGCAAAATATCCCAGGGGTTTTATGAAAAGTGAGGACACTCTCCAAGGATACCATCACATAACTATTAAATCAGGAAATACAGGGTTAGTAATGGTAATGGTAATGACAAAATATTCATTTACAATTACAAATTTCATCCTGTCACCCTCCTGATTTAATTTTGCCCATGGTTTCCCACTGACCTTAGAAGAAGAACCATAGAATGCACCATGGCTGCAGACCCCAAGTTCTCCTAACTGTTTCTCTTACCCATTCAGCCTGCTCAACTGCCTGGAGTCTCGTCTGCTTTCAACTGTGGGAACACAGGATTTTGGGTGTCTCAGGAATTTTATGTGCAATCTCTCAATCTATTCACCCAGTGCCCACCATTATCTAATTGTCCAAGGCTTTGTCCAGCTAAGACTTTAAAGTCAGAGGTTCTGATATCTAACTGTAGAAAAGCTAATAATGCACTGTTTCTAAAGATAAAAAGAAGTTCATTATTTGTTAATGGATGAGATCACTCTCAACTTATAAATCAAGGAAATAATAGTTAATGAAATGAAAGTCCATGTTTGGGATAATTAGTAAAGAAAAAATCTTAGTGCTGAAGACAAATAACACAAGTAAATATTGAAATTACATTAGAATTTATTGGACAGACTATTACCGTGTTATCTTCCTTAACTGTGTGTTATTAGCTCCAAGTTATGTTAGGTTTAAATACTTACATTTTATGTAGTCTGTCAGTACATTTAACAGAAAAAAAAGTCCTAGCACACATCATGACAATTTATATAAATATTTGTAAACCTCCTTAACTGTACAGTGTGAAGTAAATAAAGTAAGCTTAGTTATTTACATAGATGAATTATTAATATTTAAATATTGAAATACTGTGAGGGTATGTAATTATGTCACAGTTTTGGTATGGAAATGGGGCATTTGTGTATCCATGTACCCCGTTAACTTAATAACTTCCCTTCTTACTTCCTGCTGCATGATAAATTTTGGGCCCATGAAGGCTGAGGGACAAACTGTCACCTTTATTGGAAACTTTAGTCCAGCATGAAAGTTTTAATTTCAAAACATTATTTCCTGCCAGATATTTTATTTTCTCTTCTAAGGAAAAAATGCTCCCCAGCAGTATTGTTACCTTAGCTGTTCTTCAGGTGGACCTGGACAGGACTAATTTTACCACAAAGAACCTCATGACTATGAGAAAAGCGAAAGTATGAAACACTTCATGGAATAAAACTTATATATTTTACTGTTCATATTTTTATGTGCTTGATATACATGTCTTTCTGGTGAATTGTATTTCTCCATTTTGTAACTGGATTTTTTTTATTGTTGTTGTTGCTGAGTTATGCAAGTTCTTCATATATTGTGGATAACAGACTGTTTTTACATACGTAACATGGAAACCTTCCTTTCTGTAACACGTCTTTTCATTTTCTTGATAGTGACTTTTGATGCACAAAAATGTTTAATTTTGAGAAAATGTTTTCTTTAGTTTTCTGCACTTTTGATATCAGATCTAAGAAACCACTGCTAAATCCAAGGTTATGAAGATTTATTCTTATGTTTTCTTCTAGAGTTTATGTTTTTCCCTCTACTATGTAGGCTTTGAACCATTATGAGTTAATTTTCTGTTGTGAGAAAAGAGTACAGTTTCTTTGTCTGAGTGTGGTAGTCAGTTGAATAACAGCATTTGTTGTATTTACTGATCTTGCCTACATGTCAAAAATCCATTGACCATAGAGGTATTGTTGGATTTAACATTCAGTTCCATTGAACTCTGAGTATGTCCTTATGCCAGTATTATGCTGTTATGATGACTGCTGCTTAGCCGTAATATTTGAAATTGAGAAATACGAGCCTCCAAGTTGCTTTCTGTTCTTAAGAATATTTTGGCTATTCAGGATTCCTTGAAGTTTATGTGAGTGTTAGAACTGGCTTGCTCATTTCTACCAAAAGGACTTTGGTATTTTCATAGGAATTATAATGAATTTGTAGATTGCTTTGTGCAGTATTGTCACATAAAAATCATCTTCTAGTCCAGAAACATTGAGTGTCTTTATATTTATTTAATGTTTCTGGAATTTATTTCAGCAGTATTTCATAATTTTTCATGTCTAATTCTTGCACCTTGGTTAAATATAGTCTTGAACACATTATAGTCATCGATTTTTTGTTGTTGCTTTTTGCGATAGGGCCTTATTCTTTTGCCCAGGTGGGAATATGCTTGTGCAATCATAGCTCACTGCAGCTTCAAATACCTTGACTTGACAATTCTCCCACCTTGGCCTCCCAAAATACTGGAATTAGAGGTATAAGCCACCACACTCAGCCTGTTGTTTTTTTGCTTTCTGTTTTGAAAGTTGAAAAGGATGAATTGCTTCATAATCAACGAAAACACAGTACTTTGAATTGCCCAGAAGACATAACGCACAAGAACTCTAAGTTGTATAATTGACTTGTTGACGATCTGGGTAAAGTTCAATTACTTATTAAAATTTGGACTTGGTAACATTCCAAAATTGTCTTTAAATAAACTTCTTAAATTGTAACAATACAAAAATGACAAGACAAGACATATTTATACAACATTGAAGTTTATAAAAGCACTTAAAAATTTTCAACTCATATTCTTTTTTCTTTCTTTCTTCTCTCTTTCTCCCTTTCTTTCTCTCTCTCTCTCTCTCTCTCTCTCTCTCTCTCTCTCCCTCTCTCTCTCTCTCTCTCTTTCTTTCTTTCTTTCTTTCACAGGGTCTCACTTTTTCTCGAGGGTGGACTGCAATGGTGCCATCATGGCTAACTGAAGTCTGCAGCCTCTCAATCCTGAGCTCCTTTTATCTTTCTACCTTTGCCTCAGCCACAATACCTGGACAATTTTATTGGTGTGTGAGTGCAGAGATGATGGTTTGCCATGTTGTCTGGGTTCATCTCAAACCTCTGTGCTGAAGTGATGTGCCTGCTTGACTTCCCAATGTGCTGAGATTATAGGCATTAATAAAACACTTTTTGCATTAGGGTCATTAAAAGTAAATCAATGTTTCGGCTAAGGTATGAAAATAACTATAATGCAATTTTTTGTATAACTCCATCAATGCTATGGGCAGCCACAACATAAAAATAGTTTTATTAACAAGCAACTAAATACATAAAAACACTTGGCAAAATTGTTTAATTGTAGTACATGTTTATTATTTCTAGTTTTCAGCATTTTCTAGATCGTTTTTCATTTTAAAAATTGTATCCATAGGATAAAGCAAAACCACCTATGAATTGCCATATTTGTTTATTTCTGCATTTGTGAAAATGTCCTCAATTTGTTGACATTGCAAACAAAT
This sequence comes from Homo sapiens, assembly GCF_000001405.40. Taxonomy (NCBI): domain Eukaryota; kingdom Metazoa; phylum Chordata; class Mammalia; order Primates; family Hominidae; genus Homo; species Homo sapiens. Next base: position 17,464,680 of record NC_000024.10, read on the forward strand.
TTCAACTCTGTTATGAAAAAAACAGAAGACAACCTTCTTAGCAATTAATTTTATAGTTACATTTCATACAGTGAATGTACTACCTGTGAAAAAGTACAAACTCAACTGCTGGTCTTAAACACTGAAAAGAGTTTCCAGTTGATTAAAATGTATTTTATTATATCAATATATTGTATTTATAAAACATCAATTGTATTTACATACAATCTAGAAAGTTTACAGCTGTCAGAAATTCTAGTGCAGTTTCAGATGAAATGGGAATTTAAAAATCCCTGTGGAGCTGTAGGTGTAGTAAAATGTGTAGGTAAAATATGTGCATGCTCTTGACAGTACTTATGAAGGGATGTCTCTCAAACTGACCTCAATGGTTTTCTTCTCAGCAAATTGACCTGGGCCACTCAACAAGGGTTTCATTATTGCTGATGTCTGTTCATGTTCTTTTATAAAAAAATTATGACTCAAAAGATATTTATATGACATCATGGGGTTAGGGCTTTCAAAAGCACTGGAAGTTTTCTCTTCTTCATCCATTACGTTTTAAAGTAATTCTACTTTGATTTCTCAGAAACTTGAAGAGTTTCTTGTTAGCCCCATAGCCACTGCAGCCAGGTCCCAATGTAGCAGCACAGCCTCAACTCCAAGGCTGTCCCTCCCCCAGCTGCCTGCATCTGTGGCTTCCAGGGCAGGGGGAAAGATTCCAGCCTCTTGTTTTTTTGAGAAATAAAATTGTTGTCTTAATTTCATTTTTACATGGTTTATTGCTAGTGAATAGAAATAGATTTTGTGGCCGGGTGCAGTGGGTCACACCTGTAATCTCAGCACTTTAGGAGGCCAAGGCGGGCACACCACCTGAGGTCAGGACTTTGAGACCAGTCTGACCAACATGGAGAAATCCAGTCTCTACTAGAAATACAAAATTAGCCATGCATGGTGCGGCATGTCTGAATTGCAGCTACTCAGGAGGCTGAGGCAGGATAGCCACTCAAACCCAGGAAATGGAGGTTGTGGTGAGCCAAGATCATGCCATTGCATTCCACCCTGGGCAACAACAGCATAACGCCATAAAAAGGAAAAAAAAAAGATTTCATTTGTTGAAATTTTCTCCTGTTATTTTGCTTAATTTGTTTACTAGATTTCATAATTTCTAGATGGTTCCTCATGGTTTTCTGTGTATGAGATCTGTGAGTAGTTTTACTTTTCTCTTTTGCATATGAATGGTTGTGTGTGTGTAAATATACATATATAAGTATATCTATATAGTTGACCTACTGGGACTTCTAGTAAGGGGTTTAATATAGTTAAGCATCAGTGCAGTGTTCCTCATCTTAAAGCCTTGGTTCTCAACAATTTAGATGATTGTTATGGGTTTTGCATAAAGACGTTTTAGCACGTGAAAAAAATTTGAACCACAGTTTATTGGATTTTTAATTGTTAAATATGCTGTCTTTACTTTCTGTAAAAGTCGAGACAAACATGGTTCCATCATTTGATTTACATAATATATTGAAAAGGGATGGCATTGGAATGGTAAAAATTCTTTGATTTTCTGAGAAAATTTCTTAAATATTGTGGTCTATAATGTCTTCGCTGTGTAAAAAATTCCATGTACTATTATTTGGTTAAACTTTATGATGTCTATAATTATCAGATTCAGTAATATTTAGTTTTTTATGCTAGTGATATCATATGTTTAATTCAATACTCACTTGGGCTTAGAAAGAGGTATGACTGCTTGTATTCTTATGGGTATAAGGGGTTAGAGGTTAGAGTCATAGAGGATGTATTTAAAGTTTTTTAAGCATAATGGGGTAACCTTAAGGATAGGATAGAAACGGAGGATTAGGATATGGTTTACAATTGCAGAACAACTTCAGTATTAGACTGAGGGTTAACGCTGGACTTGAGATAAGATTTAGTGCTGTGGTAGGATTACGGTTGCAGTTAGAGTTAAGATTAGGGTTATGGGCTAGGGTTAGGGTTGACTTCAGGGTTAAGGTTCATAATCAGGGTTAGAGGTTAGGTTTGGGGTTGGGTTATGCTTAGGTTTAGCATAAAAAGCCAGGCTTACAGTTAGAGGTTAGGAATTAGGATCATGGCCAGGGTTAGGGTTGGTGTTAAGGGTTAGTGTGAGGGTAAGGGTTAGAGTGTTAGTGTTAGGTTTCAGTGTTTGGGTTAATATTTAGCATTAGGATGGGGCTTATGGTCATATTCAGAGTTAGGGTTCAGGGTTCAGGGTTAGGGTTCAGGGTTATTGTTAAGGTTAATGTTCATCATTTTTGGCTAGATGTTAGTGTTAGTGTTGGACATACGATTAGGACTTTGTATTTAGGTTCAGCATGAGAGTGCTGGGTCTGTTTTGAGGTTGAGGTTAGTGGTCATGATTAGGTTTACACTTAGGTTTGGGTTTACAGTTTAGGACTAGGGTTAGAGTTTAGTGTCAGCGTTTTGTTTATTGTTAGGGTTAGGGGTGAGCATTTATGGTTAGTGTTGGTATTATGGTTTTTCTAGAGTTAGGGGCTAAGATTAGGTTTAGGTTTAGGGTTTAGGTTTAATTATGGTTACAGGTTTTGTTTTAGGGCTAGGGTTAGTGTTAATGGTTAGGGTTTATGATCTATGGTTAAGGTTATGATTAGGTTCAGTGTTTAGGGTAAGAGTTATTTTTGGGTTTAGTGCCAAGGTTAAGATTATGTTAGAATTATGTTCGTTTTACTGTTAGGATAAGGGTATTGGGGTTAGTGTTTAGTCTGAGTTTCAGAGTTATGGGATGCATTTAAAGTTATCTTAAGTGTTTTTGGGATTTCAGATTTTATAGTTAGAATTAGGGTTAGGTTTAGGTGGTAGTGTAAGGGTTCGCATTACGGTTTGGATTAAGGTTAGGTTTAGGATTCAGAATGAGGGTTAAAAGTAGGGTGAGCGTTATGTTTAGTGTTAGTGTTATGATTAAAGTGTTTGGTTTAGTGTTAAATTTTAGGGTTAGGGTTTAGTGCTGGTTTACAGTTTAACGTTGGGTACCTGGTTGTGGTTTAGTTAGGGTTAGGATGATCTTTAAAGTGTTTGGCTAAAGCATTTGGCTAAAGATTAGGATTAGGGTTAGTGTTAGGGTTAGAGTAGGGCTTGGGATTGGGTGTTAGTGTTAGAGTTAGGGTTTATGGTTTGGCTAATGTTTAGAGTATTTTTTAGGGTGAGTTTTACAGTTAGGGTTAGGATTTGGGCTTAGGAATCTCTGTTTAGAGTAAGGTAAGGTTTATGTTTATATTTGGGGTTGTGTTCATGAAGGTGTAGGGTTAACGGTAAAAGCTTTAGGAATAGTGGTAAGGGTTGGGCATACATTTGGTGTTGGTGTTAGTGTTGAAGTTAGGGTTAGGATTTGGGGTAGGTATTAGGGATTGAGTTTTCTGTTAGTGTTAGGGTTTAGGATTAGTGTTAGGGATTAGCGTTTGTGTTAGTGTTACAGTTAGCGACTAAGGTTTAGTTTAGCATTTAGGGTTAGGGTTTTGGTTAATGGTTAGGATTATGGGTTATGATTACAATTTATGAAATGATTAGGATTATGGTTAGGTTTTAGTTTTAGAGACATGGTTTAGGCTTATTTTTAGGGATGGGTTTAGAGTTAGGTTACTTTTAGTGTTAAAGTTCAGGATTTACGATTTTACAGTTAGGATTGGTGTTATTGTTAGGGTTATGTGTTGAGCTTATGGTTAGGTTCACTTCTTCAGTGTTTCATTGTTAGCATTAAGATTACTTATAAAAATAAGAGATTGGCTTTGGGTTAAGGTTTCAAGGTTAGTTTTAGAGTTAAGTTAGGGTTAGTATTTAGGGTAAGGATTACCTTTAGGTTACCAGATAGAGTAAGTTTTAGGGTTAGGGCTAGAGGATATGGGTTAAAATTTAGGGTTAGGGTTAGCTTTAGGATATAGAATTTGTGTCAGGGGTTAGTGTTAGGGTTGGTGTTTAGTGTTACTGTTCGTGTTTTCATTGGGCTTGTTGATATGGTTCTGTTGGTGTTATAGAAAGGAGATGGTGTTAGAATTAGGATTATGTTTAGAATTATTGTTTAATGTTACTGTTAACATTAGGGTAGGAGTAGGTTATGCTTTAGGGTTATAGTTATCGTTAGTGTTTAAATTTAGATTAAGGGGTTAAGGTTATGTTTAGAATTATGATTACAGTTAGGGTTATGATTATTGGTTAGAATTAGGGTTAGGGTTTGCATCAGGGTACAAATTGGGTAACACATTAGGGTTAGAGTTAATGTTACTATTTAGGCTTAGGGTTAGGGGTTATGGTTAGGTGTAGGGTTAGGGTTGGGCTAAAGATTAATGTTAGGATTAGGGTTTGGGTTTTATGTAACAGCTAGGTTTAGGTTTTGGGTAGGTGTAGGGTTAGGGTTGTAATAAGAGTTCTAGGATTGGACTTAGGGTTTAGTATTAGACTTAATATGAGTGTTATGTTCCTGTTCAGAAAGCAGGTTTAGGAGCTAGAATTTAGGACTAGGTGTTAGGTGTTGTGGTTAGTGTTAGGGGTAATATTTTAGGGTTAACATTAGCTTTTAATGGATAGAGATAGGGTTTTTTGTTTAGGATTAGTGTTTTTGTCTTAGGGTTAGGGCTTTAGGGTTAGGGTTTTAGTCTTAGGGTTTAAGTTCATGTTTATGTAATGTTTGGATTACCCTTGGGTTAGGGTTATTATCAGGGTCAGGGTCAAATTCAGGTTTAGCTGTTAGAGTTAGGATTTAGAGTTGGGATTTGTTTTGGGGCTTCGGTTTTGGTGAGTGGTTAGGCATAGGGTTGATGTTGGGGTCAAGTTTGAGGCTTGAGGTTGCTGTTAGTGTTAGGGATCCTGGATTAGGATTAGGGGTAGAAGCAGGGTTAAGGTTAATGTTATGATTAAGTTTAGGTTTAGGGAGGCACTGGGCAGCTGGGTACTGTATTAGGTCATCAATCTGGTTTGCAGAAGGGAGGACTAAGACTTGCACCCAGAACTTTTCTGTGTCTGAGCGCAGGGCCATCTTAATGCTCCTTGTAGAGCCTAGTAGATTTGGAGCAGAAAGGAAGCTGCTTTCTGAGGCCACAGCTTTTCTAAATGTCAACCCAGAGTTGACCAAATCCACAGTAGTTTGTTTTTGAGTGTGATAGGTGTTTTGAGGTAGTCTCTGGAAGGCCCAAAGGAAGGGAAGGTAGTGACAGCTTACACCACAGATACAGTTTGGTAAACCTTAGAGGTAACAGTGGAAATAATTAAATGCTGGTGGCCAAGCAGCCACAAGTGGAGCTCTGTGTACCAGCCATAAGTGGAGACTGACTTGGCACATTCTCCTGCACCAGCAGGAGAAAGCAACCTGCAGATTCTGACTCCAGTCTCTAGCGCTACAGTTGCGTGAGATGTGGAATGACAGCAGAATTTAAAATCAGCAGAATTCCAAGGTGTTTGGCCTATTAAATCCTGGAAAGGCTGTTGAGATTGATGGTTGTGGCAGTTCCTGTCTCAAGAGGGAGGCTGAGGCCCGTGACTGGTGAGCCTGGTTCATGTGGCCTGGTATGACTGGGCTAAATGTTGTGGCCACTTCCATACTTTACAGTCCTTGTTGTAGCACATATGAGCTGTGCTCCTCCCTCCAGGCCTGTGTCCATTAGGGGCCACAGGGATCAGGTTCCCAGGGCATGAAGCTCTCCTTTGTCTGGGAGCTGAGACCAGGTTGGCTCCAGGCAGGTGCCCAGTGAGGACTGAATATAGGGGATGCATGAGAAGAGGGAGAGAAGTCCCCCGAATCACATGCTCTCCTTGTTGAAACAGCTAGATTGTGAAAAAATCCACTCTACAAACATGGGCTCACTTTTCTATTCACTGCTGTAGTTGAGACTGGGCAGAGGCTGCCACAACCACTGTGGTCCCTGGCACTTGCCTACCCTCTCCACTTGGCTGTCCTGACCCTTCCTCTTGCTCCGCCAACTCTTATGCCTCCTGCCCCTTTTAACCTCATGGAAATGCAAGTCAAAACCACAGTAAGATATCACTTCACATCCATTATAATTCCAAAAAACAAACAAACAAACAAAAGCTAACAGTTGTTGAAAGGAAGTGGGAAAATTTGAAAGTAAAATGCTTCCACTGCTGTGGGAAGTAGTTTGGTGGTTCTGCAAGTGCTAAATATAAAATTACCAAAGAACGCAGAAAATCCACTCCAAGCTATACACACAAAATGTAAAACAGGTATTCAAACAAAAGCTGTATACATATGTTCATAGCAGCATTCACAATAACTAAAATGTGGAAAGAAACCAAATAAATATTCACCAACAAAAAGTAAGAAGCAAAATGTAGTATATCCATACAATGGCATAATGTTCAGCTGTAAAAAGGATTACAACACTAATGCTACAATGTGGAGAAATTTCAAAACCATTTTGATTTAAGAAGTTGAAGACAAAATTCACATACTGTATGATTTTATTTATATAAAATTTAGAATAGGTAAATCCATAGAGACAAAAAGCAGATTACTGGTTGCTAGGTGTCAGAAAGAGGACAGATTGGGTAGTAGCTCCTTAATAGGTAGGGTTTTTTCTTTTCTGGATGATGAAAACAGTTTGGAACTTAGAGGTGGTTGTTGCATACAAATGTGCATGTCCTAAGGATCACTAAAGAATTCATTAAGAAACAGTTAATTTTATATTATGTGAAGGAACTTCACCTCACTAAAAAGACAAAACTTCTTCCTCAGCATTCCACAGAGTGCTCTCAGAATGGGGTTCTGGTCCCTCCACAGTCCAGAACTGCCTGGGGCCAGGCCCACCACATACTAGGCATGTACTCCAGCCACACTGTCCACCAGCTCCTCGACCTGTTACCAGTGAAAGTATCTGTTACTGCTGTCAAATCTATCATGGTCTGCAGTAACATCAACTCTTGCCTCCTCAGAAGAAAGAATTTGGCTGAGGGGAATAAAGTAGCAAAAGAGACTGAGAAAAGTTTCACAGCAAACGTGGATGTTTATTTAAAAAGTTTTAGCGTAAGAAAAAATGGAAAGTGCAGTTGGAAGAGATCCAAGTGGGTGACTGGAATATATAACATACATAAGACTTGCAAATATTTTGTCCCATGCTGTTGGTTTCCTTTTAACTAGACAGTGTCCTTTGATGCACCAAAGTGTTTAGTTTTGATGAAATTCGATTGATCTATCTTTTCTTTTGTTTTATGTTCATTCAGTGATAAAGCCAAGAAATCATTTACAAATCCACAGCCAATAAACACCTAAACCACCATGGGATTACCACTTTATCCCCATTGGAATATCTATTTTTGTTAAGGAAAAGTTTGAGAGTATGTGGAGAAATTGGAACCCTTATACATTGCCAGTGAGAATGAGAAATTGTGGTAACGGTTGCACAGTGTGAGCATAGTTAATGCTACTGAACTATACATTCAAAGATGTTTGAAATGGTAAATTTGTTTATGTATGTTTTATCACATTCAACAAAAGCTTCCTCAGAAGTTGTCCTAAAATAGTTACATGTGTGATGAAAGAAGACACTCCTCTCTTATCATGAGTAGAAGCCTATTTAGTTATTCATGCTGTTATACACATTCCTAGCTCTTCCGCACGACCAGCATGATCTCATCAAGCAGAATGAGTCCCTTCTCACCCAGCCCATTTGTGTTTCTTTCCATCATTGCATTCTCCTATTCAACTCACTACCTGCCTGCTACAAACCACTGTAAATTACAAATCTATTTACCGTTTCTGTAGACATTTCTTCTCTGTAATGCAACAGAAATGAAATCACACAATATGTCATCTCCTCAGAGTGGCTTTTATCACTTAGCTTTATGTATACCTGATGCTTCCATGGCTTTGCATGACTTCATAAATCACTCTTTTTCTTTTAATGAATAGTATCACATTTTATGAATTTATCTGGCTTGGTTAATATTGAAGGGTATCCTGTTTCCTTAAAGTATTTGGCCATTGTCAAGAGAGCAGTTATACATAAATGCATGTGGTTTTTGGTTAGATGCGAGTTTCCAAATCTGTTGTCTAAATACCTAAGTGTGCAATTGTTAGCCTATATGATGAGATCATGTTTTCCTTTGGAAAAAACTGCCAAACTGTGGCAGAAGAAAACAGCCATATTTTAAGGTTGTTGTACAATTATGCATTCCATCAGCAATGAATGAGATTTTCTGTTGCAGTTTTGATTATATTTAAAAAGATATTTAGACATAGTATAGCTGTTTAGTGCTCTCATTCTTATGTTAATTTGCCTTCCCCAGATGACAATTGTTGTTAAGCATTATTTTGCTGTTATTGCTTGTTCATTAATCTATGATTGCTGCCAAAAAACATGCATGTATTGTGCCACAGAAAATCAATTTTTAAAAACACATTATAAGCTCTACTTGGTAAAAACTCAGAACATTATGCTGGTCCACATAGTCATTTATCCTGCTATTTTTTCTAATTTTATGGTTACTACAATAAAATAGTGAACTGCAGCTACTAAGACAACGTGGTGTATTAGTGTGATGCTTCACTTTGTTGAGATCTCTTTCAATCAAATTATTTCTTTACAGATGTCAGGGGAGCAACAGGAATTTCTAGAGCACAAGCTAGTTTCTGTTGGAATTGACAAAAAGCTCTGATTTCAACTTCAGTACCTATCTTGCAGTGTTGAATCATTGACAAAGATTAGAACTATGAAGGTTTTGGTTCTTAAATCTGCTTCTACAAAAGTAAGCCAAAATTTGAAATCACATGTGTTTGGTCTGTTAGTTTTTCATCTTTCACAAAACATTCCACTGTATCAGAATGAAATTTGAAGACTGAGATTCATTTAATAATGGTTTACTAACTTTTGTCTCTTTTTGCATTTAGACGTCACAAATAAAACATCTGATAATTTCAGCAGTACACATTTTAAATAACAAAAGCCAGAAAGAATGATAGATGAAATTAATTCCAGGAATTTATAATGACTTGTTATTTGGTTTTTACTTATTGCTGTCACTGTGTTTTCTATCTTCAGCATACTAAAATAATAATGAATTCTACCAATCATTCTAAAATAACTGCCTAATAAAGCAATTGAATAGTTTTGTTTGTTTGTTTTTGTTTGTTTGTTTGTTTGAGATGGAGTCTCACTCTGTTCCCATGGCTGGAGTGCAATGGCGTGATCTAGGCTCTGGTAATGTCAGCTTTCCGGGTTCATGCAATTCTCCTGTCTCAGCCTCCTGGAGATCAGGGATTACAGGAGTCCACCACCACTCCTGGCTAATTTTTTATATTTTTAGTAGAGAGCTTGTTTCATCATGTCGATCAGGATGATCTCAAATACCTGACCTAAGGACATCCACTTGGCTTAGCCTCCTAAAGTGCTCAGATTACAGGTGCAAGCCACCATCTCTGGCCAAGCCCATTATTTTATCTCTTTATGGGACAAGTGTAGGTTGAAAACTGTCTTTTCTAATACTTGCCAAGGCCTCAAGATTGTTACAATAAAAATAAAACTTCCAACCAAAGGATACTTGTTGGCATAGATAAAATTAAGAAAACCTGAGAAAGAAAACAGCCAGCTTCTGGCTGTTTCCTGGAGATCATGCCTAATGTCTGGGGAACGCTTGCACCCTGGAGGAAGGGTAGAGCTGGGGTAGGTTGGAATAGTCTTTGGAGCCACTGCCACTCTGGCAGCCACTGTTGTTCCTCAGAAAATGGCTTGGAGCTTCAGCCTTCAGCAGATGAAACAGGGGCTTAGCGATCAGTATTTCGTTTGCCTGTTTTCCATCTCCATATCTTGTTTGGTGAGGTATCTATTCAGGTCTTTACCTATTAATTGGGTCAACTTATTTCTTTGTATATTTCGCATGAAAGTCACTTTTCAGATATGTTTCCTAGACTTTTCTCAGCCCGCATCTTATTTTTTGGTTCTTCTAATTGAATCATATTTTTTGTTTTGTTTTGTTCCTTTTTTACTTTTTTGTTTTTTGCTTTTTTTGAGATGGAGCCTCACTCTGTCACCCAGGCTGGGGTGGAAAGGCATGATTTTGGCCCAATGCAACATCTGTCTCCCGGGTGTAAGGGATTCTTCTGTCTCAGCCTCCTGAGTAATTGAATTACATATGCCTTCCAACAAGCCCATCTATTTTTTTTTTTTTTTTTTTTTTGGATTTTAATAGCGACAATGTGGCAGTCAGTTACTATAGGATGAAATGAAGGGGAGTGAATGCAGAAATGAAGACAAAGACAAAAAAGTTCTGTTTTAAAAGAAGAGTCAGGGGGCTTATTCCTTCCAGGGAGCAAAGGTCCTGAGCTTCTACAGGACTTCGTATTGACTAGGCAGAATCAATAGGGAGGAAAGGTAATTATTGGTCAGCTGCTCGATTTATCGCAATCTCACGTACTTGCTTGCTTTATACTACAGGCTTCAGTTGTTCCTGTATATAAAACCACAAGGAAAGCTGTGCTTGGGGCATGACTGCCCTCAGCATTCCTTCTGGCACCAGAGGTGGTGTATCAGTTTGCCAACATCCTGCTTTCATGAGAAGAGTTTGCTGTCTGCTCATAGACTCTCCAGTCATTACTGAATTGGTCACAACCCTCATTCTTTTGACCTCCAACGTCTCCTCCTTTTTGTTTTTGAATTAGTTGAGTAAAGGTAATTGCAGACTGTGCAGCTCTCAATTGCTATTTGGTGGTCCAGCTGATTTTACAGACAATAGACATAAAATGGAGACACAATAATATCACTCTGATAATCACAGAAAAGACATTGAGGTGCTGTTTGGAGGAGATCCAAAGCTTAAGGCTCTCTAAACCCTGCTGGAATACCACCCAAGTTTTTAAAGAGGGCTGAAATACTTGAATGTTTATTCAAATTAAGGATTTTACTTTGTAAATCATTCATATCAAAAGTAACATTTGATGTGAAAGCCCCCTGCAAATGGGACTTTACAAGGTTTCATTGATATTCACGTTAGTTTTATTCCAAATTGGTTAAACAAATACAAGTATAGTTAAAATGAGAATGCAATTGCTGCTGCAACTACAAACTTTGTACTTGTTTTCCTAGCCACAGAACTATAGTCTTTAACATTGCTACCTCCATTTGTATCTCCGTGTTTCATTTATTTTTAAGCATCCATGCCTGGTTGGCTGCACACATCCTATTTTCTTCATATTTAGCTGTTTGAATGGAGCTGTGCATTGCTACTAAGGACACCACAACAGAAGTGATTAATGTACCTAAGGAGACTTTCACAAAAATTATCATGCCTAAGGTTCTACAAGCACTATGAGTAAGCTGAGTAAGAAAAAGATTTACAAAATGTAAACCAGAGGTGGCCACGGAAGACTCAGACAGATTTACAAGAATCCGTAATTGGGGGTTGCAACCTAGAATTATTAGGGTGGATATGCTGCATGTTTTTATTGTGCTACAATTAAGGGAATTATACGGTTGAAAGGAATCACAAGTCAAATGGGCATCGTTTACCTTAATTTTTTTTTTGCTGCTAAAAAAATGTAAGGTTTAAAAACACAAATTGCAAATTGAGTGGTAATATTTTCTACAAAAGTAACATTAAAACTGTGTTGAGCAGAATTACTATAATTAAATAGTGTTCCGACACAAAAGCTGCCATCCATAAAGGGGAGTGCTGCCTTCCCTATCAACTCCTGAACTGGAACTGTCTTCCTTGATAATGTCATTGAGGAAAGGTGGTCTAAAGCCTGTTCCAAGCAAGGTCTGCTGCACATTGGGATTGAATCCCAGTGAGATGTAGTGAAGAGATGCTAAAGTTTCTTCACCAGTGTCAGTGAAGTTTATGCCATGAGGTCGGATTCTCATGGCATAATGTCCTACAAAATGTTGATATAACATAGGATTGATGAGCATGTTTTTGTGTAAAACTTTCCACTGGTAATGAGAAACAAGCTGTTTTTGTTTGATAGAAGGCACAGAGAAGGCAAATGAAGGCTTATCCTTCACATGTAAGGGTATAGTAAGAAAAGAATTTTAAAGATCTACTCCTATGAGAGACCAGTCCCTTGGAATGGCTGCCAGGAATTGCAGACCTTGTTGTAATGCACACATTGATTTAATCTGTGCATTAGTAGCTCTGAAATCATGTAGCAATTTGCTGGCAAAATTGTCTCTTCTTTATATACTAAACATTTGCTGAAACTTTACACTTGTTCTCACACTACTTAATCATTTAAATTGCGTGTATGTATTCCAACTAAGTTTTCAAAGAGGAATGTCTTTCTTCCTGTTGGGAATAAAGATTCTGCTGTTTACCTTACTTTTGTCTTTCACCCTCCATTGTTCTAGATTTTTCCCTGTATACTTTTAGACTGGCTGTAGTAAATACCCTGTTCATCTTCAAATCTTTCTGTTGCCTGAAAAGCTGCCAAATTTTCTGCCAAATATAGAATTGGGTTTAGGAGTAATGTGGCATCTTTCTGCATAAAATGAAACACCTCTGTTAGATTTCAGAATGTCTCTATATATCTATCAGAGTAATCAGATAACTTGACTAGATGTATATTTATTTATTTTTAATCCTGCAATAAAAAGGAAACCTGAAGTTTAGTAGTACCATCTGGCATTTTCTGCAGGGCCTACAGTGAAGGTGGGGGTTTATTGGGTGGCACAGGGAGAGAAACTCATGATAGGAATATTGGAAAGCCCTTAAAAGAGGGGCAGGTAGGGTGTTTAAAAGTTGCATTTAAGGGCTACCTAGGGGTTTGTCTCTCTGATTTTGGGAAATTATCTTCTGTAACCTTGCTTGACAAGACTGCCAAAAGGCCAGAAAATATTTTACAATGCTTACAAAGGTCTGGGTTATCGCCTAAGGTAAAGAAAGCTTGTCCATCAGAAACTCATACTAATGGCTCTTTCATCTGAAAAAGAGACCTGATAATTATATACTATTAAAATAAACTTTTATCTCAGAAGGCCACATCTTTTTGTCTTAGAGCTAGTGTAATTTCCATGCCTTTGTGCAGTATAATATAAGCCATATTTTTTTCTCAGAGCCTCGAAGGTAAAGAAATTCCAGTGTTTCAGAATGCACTGGAGAAAAGTGCAGACTGAAGATAGTTTTACTGGCAGCAGCTGATATTTGGTTAATGCCATCAACTGTGTGGTACTGTGTTGGGTTACTACTGCCTCTACAGTTGACTGAATGTTCCTAATATACAGAGTTAAAAGGCAAGGGAGGATGAGGCAGATGCCAAGAATAAACAAAAACCCACCAATGAGGGTTTTGAATTCCCCAAAGGTTGAGAACCATTTTCCAAACAAGGAATCCGGGAACCATCTGGACAAAGTCCGAACTGGAACATGGGCCAACTTGTGCATTTTAGCTGTGGATTTTATGACAGCTTGGCCATTATTATCAATTTCTAGGCAACAGTTGGTTAAATTAAATGTTTACATACTTTCTTTGAGGCTAAGAGATAAGCTAATTTATTTTGATATATAGCATTTTTTTGTGTTGCTTGTATTGTCAATAAATTTAGTGCCCTTGACGTTTCATTGGTTATAATTTCTAGGACTGCCTGTAACCTTATGATGTGGTTGAGCATATAGATTTTGGTACGATACCCCCATGACCCATCTTGCACCCAAGTAGCTGGCCCATAATATTTAATGATTTTTTCAGGAGGCCATTTATTATCTTTGTAGTCTTCTGTGTTTACACTTTTTCACATTTGTGTTTAGTTTTGTGATTATGTATTTTTTTAGTTTCTTTAACTTTTACTATAAACTGGATACCCTAAGAGTTCCCCTTGCTTTAGAGGAATTAAAAAGAGGGATGGCTTGATTGTTTCTAACACACATGCCCCTGTCCATTTAGCCAGCAGTTGCCGATATGCCCATGCTCCACAGACCCAATATAGGCCAGAGGGTGCTTTCCAAGCATTTGGAGTCTTTAGCTGATGCCAAGAGTGGCTTAGGGTAGAGAATCAAGAGAAAGCATTTGGATCTGGTAAGTAGGAGTCGTTCTGGGCATTTCTCCCTAGAGTTCTGTTTTTAGTCTTATCATAATACTGTTGTCCTAGGCAGGTTGTTTTTCCTGCTGCCTCTGTGAAAAGCCTTTCCCCATTAGGCGATACAGTACTTTCCAATTATGGAGGTTTTTAACAACCAAACACTGGCTAAGGCTGTGGGTTCACTGGCATGGTTAGGTGAAGTGAAGTTACTTGTGGCATCAATTTCTTAGCCTCCCATAGCAACTGGTCCCCCATATCAGTTTTTTGACATGCGTAGCATGAGGAAATTCCTAAGCTGCCAGCTATGTTTTTACTTAGTTGAGTAAATAAGTTTTTGGTTGATGAAGGAAACTCAGTCACTGACTGATCAAAATGCTTACAGAATGACTTATAAACCCGGAATTTCAGGGTTGGATGCATTTGAGTCCTTCTATTCTTTTTGGCAATTAGTAGTAGAACTCCAAGGTCTGCTCCTTGTCTATTAACCCATAATAGTGTCATCTGTCCTGTAGACCAAAAAGATAGCTCTGGCTTTAGGAAAGTAAAATTTAAAGGAGTACATGTCCTTGTCTTAGAATTTGGTTTGGTTGGCATACTACTTAGCAGAAGAGTCCTTCCTGAATATAAGTGTTGGAGCTGTGTTAGCATAGAACACTGAATATTACAGTCTGGGCATCCGATTTGTGTTTTTTCATACAGATGTTTAGGTCTGCTTCTGCTAAGCCTCTTTTGTGTTAAACCATTGCAGACAGCTTCTGTTTTTTTTAGGATTAGGAACATATGCAGCATGGCAGGAATTAAAGTACAAGGAAATAGGCCCCTTATAGGAGGGTGAGGTTTCTTTTGTTTGAGCTATAAGTTTTTTTTTCTTTTCTGATTTAATATGTACCTCAAACCAGAATTCACAGGGTAAGGGCTCAGGGTCATAAGATACATACAGCTGATTATTTCCTCAGTCATAGACTGAACAGGTGGTCTGGTTGTATGTGCATGTCCCTAACTTGGTTTCTGTACATTCATAGTAGGTATGGTACAGTAGAGTTTTAACTATGGTATTTTTTACCGAGGTAGTGTGTACACAGTGTGGGCATCCCTCTAAAGATTTTTCCCCTTCTAGCATAGGCAGAAATGATAGCAACATCAGTGTATGTATTAGAAACATGCTTACACTACACGTGGGCATGGGAAACCTTCCTCTGGGCATAGACATTTGCAGCATTTGCAGTAATAACAAAGCAACAGAAAAATCAGTATTAACATAATTATAATGAGGGTTATAAATTGTGTTCATATTTACTTATTCAGAGATGGCCCTCTTAGCTTTGGCCGTGTGTGGACTACTCAACTTCCAGGATGGCTAGCCTGCTGTCAGACAACAGCCACCATCCACCTTTAATATATATATATATATATATTGTTTTTCTGACAAAACCAAGTTTTTTACTGAAGAGTAATTGGGTAGCTCCAGCCAAGGGGGCTCTATAAGGAGAGGAATTGCTAAAGTTTTTTCTTCAGGTAAAGCCTTGATCATTGCTGCCTGCCTAGCCTCTCGGTCTGCCTTTCTATTGCCCTGTGTCTCAGCTTTTCCCAATTTGGTGTCCTTTGCAATGAATGACAGCCACTTTCTCTGGAGCCTATATGGCTTTTAATAATTGTAAATTTTTTTCTTTGGCCTTTAGTAGTCAAAACTCCTCTATCTTTGTATACTGCCCCATGGGTGTGCAGGATTGTAAAAGTATATCTTGAATCAGTATATATGTTTCTTTTTTTTTCAGTATATATGTTTACTTTTTTTCTTGGCCAATAATGGTGCTCTGGTTAATGCTATTAATTTAGCCTTCTGAGCAGAAGTCCCAGAAGGTAAGGCCTGAGCCTGGACCACCGAGTGTTGGATCAGTACTGTATACCCTGCATATTGTACCCCATCTCTTATGAAACTGCTACCATCAGTGAAGTATTTAACATCTGAGCTCTCCAAGGGGATATATCTGAGATCTTCCTGGCTCTAGAAGACTTTGTCCACCGTATTTATGCAACAGTGGGGAAGTTCCTGCCAGCAGTGAGGCAACCCACTGTCCTTTCAATCCCGTTTCTCCACAGGCAGCAGGGTAGCTGGATTTAAGGTATTTACAGTCTCTAGTGTTATCTGGGTATTTTCATACAGAAGCCCTTGATACTTTAGCATTTTAGAATTGGACAGTCAATGATGTCCTCTTTGCTCCATTAAGGTGATTACAGCATGTGAGTCCTGAACTATTAACTTTTGACCTAGGGCTAGCTTGTTGGCATCTTCTATAAGGATTGCAGTAGCTGCCAACGCCCTGAAGCAGTGGGGCCAACCTAAGGCCACCAAGTCCAGTCTTTTGGGTAAGTATGCTACCAGCTGATGCCAAGAACCCAACAATTGAGCTAAGAGTCCGACTGTCATTCCCTTTTGTTTATCCACATACAAAAGGAAGGGCTTTTTTACATCTGGCAACCCTAGCACCGGAGTTTGGATGAGAGCTTCCTTTATACCTTTCAAGGCCCTTTCTTGTTTCTTTTTCCATAGGAGGGGCCCTCTTTTTCTTTTTCTTTGGTAGTCTCATATAAGGGCCTTGCTGTAAGGGAGAAGTTTGGAATCCAGGTTCGGCAGAATCCCGCTACACCTAGAAATTTCCTGAGCTGCTGCCTTGTAACTGGGGTGGGCAATGCACGCACAGCCTCCTTGCATGCACTTTTAAGTCTGCGCTGGCCTTGGGATACCATGAATTCTAGATATTCAACCTCCAAAATCAGACTTTTGCCTTGTCCTTGGACACTTAGTAACCAGCTTCACAAAGCAGGTGAAGAAGGCTCTCTGTTCCTTAGAGGTATTTCTCCCTCGTGGGGGCAGCGAAGAGCAAATCATCAATGTGTTGTAATAGCACACAATTGTCACTAGGTGGCGCAAAAGCCTCAAGGTCGGAAGCCAAAGCCTCGTCGAAAATAGTGGGAGAATTCTTAAACCCTTGCGGCAGCCTTGTCCAGGTATACTGCGATTGTCTCCACTAGAAGGCAAATATAGGCTGATTTTGGGGAGCAAGTCTCAAGCAAAAGAAAGCATGCCTTAAGTCCAGACACGTGAACCAGGCGGCGTCAGCAGGAATCTGTCCCAGCATTGTGTATGGGTTGGGTACTATGGCATGGATAGTGACAGTGGCCTTGTTTACCTCCTGGAGGTCCTGCAGTGGCCTGTATTCACCATTTGGCTTGCGCACAGACAACAGAGGAGTATTCCAGGAAGACTTTCATTTTATTATAATCCCATGTTTATAGGGCCGATTTAAATGTTTCGTTATGTCATCAATTGCCTCTCTGGGTGGGGGGTGTTGACGGACTAGTACCGGGGCAGCATGAGATTTAAGCTTTATTATCACTGGGGGTCTGTTTGCAACAAGTCCAGGGGGGTTGTCCTCAGCGCATACACCTGGTACCTCGAAAAGCATTCCCCACGTATTGTGTAGGTCAGGCTCTGGCAGCCTCCTGGTACACAGTTTATAGAGCCGCCATTCCTCAGTTTTTGGGACAGTTAGAGTCAATACCATTGCCTTTGGCTTCCCTATCTCCAGGGTCATATCCCCTTTAGGTGTAAAGGAAACCTGTGCCTGCAGTTTCTGGAGGAAGTCTCTTTCCAATAAGGGCACTGGACATTTTGGCATGTATAGAAAGTCATGCTGAATTCTTGTCCCCCAATAACACATCTCTTGAATTTGTAGAGAGGTCTCCTGTCTTTGGCCCCAGTAGCCCGTATGACAGTAGGACAGTTTTTTGTGGGGCAGTTAATTGGATGAGTTACCACAGAGAAATCAGCACCAGTATTGACCAAAAAATTCATTAATCGGCCCTGTACTTCCATGGAGAATATAGGCTCCCTGGGGCCTAAAAGGATGAAGCCTGGTCTGTCTTAGTCTTCTAAATTTTTGGCCCCCACTAAGCTGATCAGATCAAGATCTGCCTTTGAAGCACCACGACTAGCAACCGAAAGTTGCACTCGGGTGTTAGACAATTGACCGTCATCTTCATTTTTTTTTTTTTAATCGGGGCACTCATTTTTCCAGTGGCCCATTTGCCTGTATCTTGCACATTGGTTCCTGTCCAACCGGGACTGGCTTTCCTCTCCCGGTCTTGTCTGCCCTCTTCCTTGGCCTCTGCCTCAGCTATACCCTCTAGCAAATCCAGGGTTAATTTCTGTTAGTGCAGTAGCTATAAATTGAGCTGTCTTTTGGTTTTTATTTTTATTTATTTTTTCTTTCTTTCTGCCTCTTCTTTCTGGTTTACATATATTTTGTTTGCTGTTTTCAGGAGTTTACTAATATTTTTTCCTGCAAAGCTTTCCAGCTTCTGAAACTTTTGATTTATGACTCCCTGAGCTTGCCCGATAAAGGTCATATTTATCATAATTTGGTTTTTAGGAGCCTCCAGAATAACTGGAGTGTACAGTCTATATGCCTCCCAAAGCCTTTTATGGAATGCACTTGGGCTTTTCTCAGAATTTTGGCTCACTTCTGATATTTTACTTGTATTTATTTCCTTCCTTTCTCCTGCTTTATCCCATTTAGGAGTGCCTTTCTATATAGCGGCAGCCATTCCATGTTCCTTGCCTCATTTGGTTCCCAGTTAGGGTTCTCATTTGGGTATCACTCCACGGTGAACTGGTGAGGGTTAGGGGTGGTCTCTGGGGCTCCCCTTCTAAACAGATCAGAGCTGCCGGATTAACTCTTTTATGCTCCTCTGTATTAAATGAAGTTAGCAAAAGTTATTCACAATCTGGCCAGGTCAGGTTATGCGTGTTAATAACAGAATTTACCAAATCAATAAGAGCCTGAGACTTTTCTGTATAGGAGGGGGTGGGCTGTTTCCAATTTAAGAGATCAGTAGTGGAGAAAGGCTGATAAACATAAAGCCTAGGGCCACCTTGTATCTGCCTCTGGTCATCATAAACTTGTGTCCTGGTTTCTCAAAGTGGCATCTGCAAATCCCAGGGTCGGCCTGAGTGGAGATGCCCAGCTGCCTCACCCAGTCCATTTTTTGGTTGTTTTTCTCTAACAGGGGTTTCTGTTCCTCTGGGTGTGGGGACACTGAGCCTCACTTTTCTCTGAGCCTGACTCTCCGGATGATCCTGACTCTGCCTCCTGCTTTATTCTGACCAAAGATGAGTAGACTGGCACATATGGGGCAGACATTCCCTTTCATCAGGTGGAACCTGAAGAACTGGTTTTGGCTAAGGCTTCAAGGATTCCCTTTCCAGGGAGATGCTAGGGGCTTTAGTTTCCTCTGCTTCCTTTGGTTGGGCTGCTCGAGCCACTAATGCCTTGCAATATCCCTCTAGGCAAGGCTGCAGCCACTTGGGGTGAGTTTGTGCCACATTGAGCCAAGAGTATATACAGAAACTGGTCTGGGTATCCTGGTTGTCCTTCAACTCCAGTGACCACCTTAAACATGCAGTCAATTCATACCCTGTCTATTGTACCTTCAGAGGGCCAGCCCTCATTGAAAGCAGGCCAGGCTATCTCACAGTATGTTCTTAAATTTTGAGCATCCAGTTTTATGCTATAATCACCTCTAAATCCTTTTGAAAATTCTTTATTGTGCACTCCAATGGAGTTCATTTATACACTTTTCCTTTCATTTTCTCCCTTGTGGTGCACTTTCACTTTTACTTTTACTCTCAGGTTCACCATACCGGGTCCTATTACAGGAGTTTTGGACACTGCTTAGCCAGGAACATGCCTTCACCTCTTACAGCCTGCTGCAGCCATGGAGCTGGTCCTATCAGTCATACAGAATGTTCTGGTTCTGATTTTCCCCACAATTGCCTCAGAGAACACAGCCCACACTAAGGGCTCTGTGCCTCCCCCACGTCACTCCCCACATTGGCCTCTTCCAAGACCATTTCTTTCACCCACTTTTACACACCTCCCCCACCCAAGGACTCCTCATTGGATGAAATGAGCCTCTCTCATGTCCCAGGTGAAACTAATTAGGCTTCCACATTCACACACATACACACACCACTCCTACCCTAGGACTCCTCATGGGACAAAATGAGCCTCTCTTGTGTCCCGGTTAGGTCCACACACACCCACTCCCAGTTGGGGTTGCAAGCCACTCTTGCCACCCTGCCAGCAAACTCTTCCTTGCTGCACTTGCCTCTCTATCAGCCCTTTTTCTCCACCAGTGAACCACTTTTACTCTGTTAGGGGAATATGAGGTTCATCCAAATTGGCAGGCCACTCCTACCACACCCAGCCACTCTGGGTTGGATTAGTGGTCAGTCACTGGGAGGTGATCAAGCTCCATTTCCTCCCTATGGGAGGGGCTTTCCTGCCTTGGGCAGTTTCTCCTTACCACAGTTCCTGAAGTGCTAGTATTGTCCTGCAGCTTTTTCTGCAGTTTCTTTGCACTACTGGGTAGGCTGCCAGGATGCAGGGAGAGCTGGTCTCTGTCTGGGTGAAGCACCTCCATGGTGCACCTTGCATGCTGGGTCTCCCCCAGCCCTGGGGCTCTAGTCCCACAGGCAAAGGAGACAGTAAATCTGTCATCTCCAATCCCTGTATGGGCCACCAGAAATGTTTCAGGATAATTTAGGAATCAGAGAGACTAAGGGGTTGAGAAGGATTTATTATTATTATTTATTATTATTATTATTATTATTATTATTATTATTATTTAGGTGCACTGGCCCAGTCAGATTAACATTCAAAAATGACTGAGCCCCCAAACAAGGAGTCAAGTTACCTTTTAAGCATTTCATAAGGCTGGGGGAGATCTGTGTGGGGGAACATATTACAGAAGTGAGAAACAAAGACAGTTATTCAGTTGAGACTTGTGTTACACCATTTGTTCCTTTTCAAGAAAAAACATGTTTTACAACTTGAGTTTATCTGTCTAGTGACCTTGCAGCTGCACAGCTAGAGAAACAGGTCTTCACAATGACTGGGAAAGGGAGAAATAAGGCTCACTAGCCAGACAGAAAAACAGGCAGTTAATTCTTAAAGTACTCCACCTCTTTCTGTTTCTCAGGGGGAATTGAGTCTTCTTACATACAAGTGAGTTTTTGCTTATACATTCTTTAATTTATTTTAATTCTTGTCACATTGGTTCTTTGAAAGGACAAATAAAATTGAGAGACCGTTAGCAAGATTAACCAAGACAAGAAGAGAAAAAAATCCAAATAACCTCACTAAGAAATGAAACAGGGGATATTACAAGTGACACCACTGAAATAATAAAGATCATTCATGGGTACTATGAACACCTTAAGGCACATAAACTAGAAAATCTAGAAGAGATGGATAAATTCCTGGAAAAATACAAATGTCCTAGCTTAAATCAGGAAGAATTATATGCCTAAACAGACCAATAGCAAGTAGCAAGATTGAAATGGTAATTTAAAAATTACCAAAAAAAAAAAAAAAAATCCAAGGACCAGACAGATTCACAGCAGAATTCTACCAGACATTCAAAGAAGAATTGATACCAATCCTTTCACACTATTCTACAAGATAGAGAAAGAAGGAACACTCCCTAATTCATTCTATGAACACGGCATCACCCCAATACTAAAACCATGAAAGGACATAACCAAAAAAGAAAACTACAGACCAATATCCTTGAGGAACACAGATGCCAAAATCCTTAACAAAATACTGGCTAACCGAATCCAACAATGTGTCAAAAAGATAATCCACCATAATCAAATGGGTTTCATACCAGGGAAACAGGAATGGTTTAACATATGCATGTCAGTAAACGTGATACACCACATGAACAGAATTAAAGACAAAACTCACATGAACATATCAACAGATGCATCAACAAAATAGGCATACAAGGGACATATATTAATGTAATAAAAGCCATCTATGACTAACCCACAGCCAACATAATACTGAATGGGGAAAAGGTGAAAGCATTCCCTCTGAGAACTGGAACAAGATGAGGATGCCCACTCTCACCACTCCTCTTCAAAATAGTATGGGAAGTCCTAGCCAGAGCAATCAGAAAAAAGAAGGAGAGGAAATCTAAATCGGTAAAGAGGAAGTCAAACTGTCACTAGTTGCTGATGATATGATCTTTCACCTTGAAAACCCTATGGACTCCCCTAGAAAGCTCCTAGAACTGATAAAAGAATTCAGGAAAGTTTCCAGATACAAGATTAATATACACAAATCAGTAGCTCTTCTCTACACCAACAGCTACCAAGCAGAGAATCACATCAAGAACTCTACCCCTTTCACAATAGCTGCAAAAAAACAAACAAAAACAAAAACAAACAAACAAAAACTTAGGAATATATCTAGCAAAGGAATTGAAAGACCTCTACAATGAAAATTGCAAAACACTGCTGAAAGAAATCATAGATGTAGCCAAGTATGGTGCCGCACACCTGTAATCAGCTACTCAGGAGAGTGAGGCAGGAGAATCGCTTGAACGCAGAAGGCAGAGGTTGTGGTGAGCCAAGATCATGCCATTGCACTCCCATCTTGGCGACAAGAGTGAAACTCCCTCAGAACAAACAAAAACAAAAACAAAAAAACACACACACAACAAAGAAAAGAAATCATAGATGACACAGACAAATGGAAACTCACCCCCATGACTATGGATTGGCAGAATCAATATTGTGAAAATTACCTTTCTGTTAAAGGCAATCTACAAATTCAACGCAATCTACAAAAACAATTCTAAAATTCATGTGGAACCAAATGAGAGCCGCATAGTCAAACTAAGACTAAGCAAAAAGAATGAACCTGGAAGCAACACACCTCTTGATTTCAAACTGTACAATAAGGACATAGTTACCAAAACAGAATGGTAGTGGTTTAAAGCTAGGCACATAGACCAATGGAACAGAAGAGAGAACCTAGAAACTAACCCAAATACTTACAGCCAACTGATCTTCGACAAAGTAAATGAAAACATAAAGTGGGGAAAGGACACCCTTTTCAACACATGATATTGCGATAATTTGTGAGCCACACGTAGGAGAATAAAACTGGATTCTCATCTCTCACTTTATACAAAAGGCTACTCAAGATAGATGAAGGACTTAAACCTAATTCCTGAAACTATAAAAATTCTAGAAGATAACACTGGATAAACCCTTCTAGACACTGGCATAAGCAAGGATGTCATGACAAAGAACCCAAAAGCAAATGCAATAAAAACAGATAAACAGAGATAAATAGCTGGGACCTAATTAAACTAAAGAGCTTTTGCATGGCAAAGGGAACAGTCAGCAGAGTAAATAGACAACCACAGAGTGGGAGAAAATCTTCACAATCTGTACATCTGAAAGAGGACTAATATCCAGAATCTACAACAAATCAGTAAGAAATCTAAAACAAATCAGTAAGAAAAAAACAAGCAACCCCATCAAAAATGGGCTAAGGACATGAATAGACAGTTTTCAAAAGAAGATATACAAATGGCTAACAAACATAAATAAAAATGCCCACCATCACTAATGATCAGGGACATTCAAATCAAAACCAAAATGCAATACCACCTTACCTCATGCAAACAAAAAATAAAATAAAAGTAGATGTTGCCACGGATGCAGTAAACACGGAACACTTCTACACTGCTGGTGGGAATGTAAACTAGTACAGCCACTGTGAAAAACAATGTGGAGATTCCTTAAAGAACTAAAAGTAGAACTACCATTTGATCCAGCATTCCCACTACTAGGTATCTACCCAGAGGAAAATAGTCATTATTTGAAAAACATACTTGCACACGCATGTCTATTGCAGCATAATCCACAAAATCGTGGAACCAACCCAGGTGCCCATCAATCAAAAAGTGGATAAAGAAACTGTGGTGTGTGTGTGTGTGTGTGTGTGTGTGTGTGTATATGGTGTGCGTATATATATATGGTGTGTGTGTGTATATATATATGGTGTGTGTATATATATGGTGTGTATATATATATGGTGTGTATATATATATGGTGTATATATATGGTATATATATGTGGTATATACATATGTGATATATATATGTGGTGTATATATATGTGTGTGTGTATACATATATATGTGTGTATATATATATATACACACACATATATATATATATGATGGAATACTACATAGTCATAGAAAGGAATGAATTAACATCATTTGCAATGACCTGAATGAGATTGGAGACTATAGTTCTAAGTGATGTAACCCAGGAATGGAAAACTCAACATCGTATGTTCTCACTGATATGTAGGAGCTAAGCTATGAGGACACAAAGGCACGACAATGATGCAATGGACTTTGGGGACTTTGGGAGAAAAGTGGGAGGGAGGTGAACAATAAAAGACTATGAGTATGGTGCAGTGTATACTTCTTGGGTAATATGTGCACCATAATCTCACAAATCACCACTAAGGAACTTACTCATGTAACCAAATACCATCTGTACCCCAACAACTTATAGAAAAATAAAGTTAAAATAACAAATGAAAAATAAACTATAACACACCAGGAAAGCGAAGAGACAAGCCACAAAATGGGAAAAAAAATTGAAAACTATCCATCTGACAAAGGATTAATAACCACAATATATAAGGAGCTCAAACAACTCTACAAGAAAAAATCCAATAACCTGGTCAAAAATGGCAAAAAAGACTTCAATATATATTCCTCCAAAGAAGACATACAAATGGCAAATAGGCATATGAATAGGTGCTCAACATCATTGATAGAGAAAGGCAAATAGAAACTGCAGTGCAATATCATCTCACTGGAGTTAAAATGGCTTATATTCAAAATACAGGAAATAACAAATGCTAGGGAGAATTTAGAGAAAAGGGAACCCTCATATATTGCTAGGGGGAATGTAAATTAGTATAATCACTATAAAGAACATCACTAATGTTTTTTATAGTTTTGAGGTTTTTTTATGTTTTGATGTTCCTCAAAAATCTAAAAATTGAGCTACCACATTATCTAGCAATCCTACTGTTGGGTATATACCCAAAAGAAAGGAAATCAGTATGTTGAGATATCTGTACTCCTGTGTTTGTTGCAGCACTATTTATAATAGCTAAGATTTGGAAGTAACCTGAGTGTCCATCAAGAATGGATTAAAAAATGTGGTAGATATACACAATGGAGTACCATTCAGCCTTAAAAAAGAATGAGAACCAGTCATCTGCAAGACCATGGATGGAACTGGGAATCATTATGTTAAGTGAAATAGCCAGGCACAGAAAGACAAACATCATATATCCTCACTTATTTGTGGGATCTCAAAATCAACCCACTTGAACTCATGAACATAGAGCATAGAAGGATGATTACCAGAGGCTGGGAAGGATATTGGGGAGATAGGGTGAGGTGGGCATTGTTCATGGGTACAAAAAATAATTAGAATGAACGACAGTTGCTATTTGATAGCACAATAGGGCGACTATAGTCAATAATAATGTAATTGTACATTTTAAAATAACTTAAAGAGTGTAATTAGATTGTTCACAACTCAAAAATAAATGTTTGAGGGGATGGATGTCCCATTCTTTGTGATGTGATTGTTTAACTTTGTATGTCTGTGTCAAATCATCTCGTGTATGTTATAAATATATACACTTATGTACCTACGAAAATTAAAAATTAAAAAATTATAAGACACTTGACTCAATTTGAATTTTGTGTAAGTAAGGTAATTATTTGTATAAATATCTTCCAATACTTGCTTAAACATATTACATACAAATATGCAAATATTGCGTAGCCATACTAAAAAGTTATTCATTGCTTATCCCAGTTTTAAACTTTACTGTTGTTTCTTATATTTTCTTTCAGTGAATCTGAAACATCCATTATAGAAGTATCATGGGATTTATGGTAACATTGTACAGACATGGGGAAAAAAGAATGAAAGAAAAATCCTTAGAGGTCATATGGGTTGGTAAGAGTATAAAAGAAAACTGAGTCCCATATGATACATTAAAAACAGAAATCAGGATGTACATCTCAGCTCTCACCAGGAGATGTGGCAACCAGATTGTCCTTGGGCTGAGGGGGACGTCGCTGAGCACTCTCAGAGACAGACAATGCAAATCAAGTTCATTCTCACTGTGCTTGCTTACCCTTCAAAATTGTGTTAAGTCCCTAAGTATATATATAATCATGAGTAGTTGTGGGAAAAACAACACCATTAAATGTACCAGAACAAAAGACTGCTCACAAATACTGCAGATGTTTAGATCAGATGTCTGAAGCAAAGAAAGGGAGTATAATAAAAAATAATTTAAAGAAAATGGAGCTCAATAAATCTGTTTCTTCATCGTTATGATAATGTCAAATCTGTTGAAATTTTTTTAAAATGACATGATTTGTCTACAGATCTTTGTGCTCTGGCTTAAATTAAATGTATATACAACTTATATAATAAAATACTGAGGTGTTTCATTATTATATTGATAATTTCTTGTTCACAATCATTTTGGTGATATTCAATAAACAGCACTGTGAGACCTATGGCTGGATATCAACAACATAAAGTGATTATGACAGTTTCATGGGACAGATGAAGGAAGGTTGGTTTGTGCAGTGGCAATACTTGGCAACCTGAGAAACTGATTTCACAATTTTAGAAAAGTATTATTCTTTCTAACTAGATATTTCCATGAAAAGAACCTTGTGAAATGCAGAAATGCCAAAAGAATAATTGTAATAACCAAAGAACTAAAATACGTCTAAATTTCTCTGACAATTTAATTTAATGCAGGATGAAGCCAGAATAACATTGTTTACTAACATAGATATTCATGATCTCAATACATTTAATTCTTAGCTCGTTGAGGAAAAAAGTAGTAGAGCTGCTATTGCAGAGACAAAAGACAGAAAACAGGGGAGGGGCTTGATCACAATTCATGTTACAATTTTTGGAAACTTCTAAAAATCCTGCCTGGTGATAGGTTTTTCTTATCTCATTATTTAAGAATATATGAGCAGGCAGGGCATGGTGGCTCAAATCTGTAATGCCAACACTTTGGGAGGTCAATTTTGGAGGACCGTTTCAGACCAGGAGTTCAAGACTAGCCTGGGCAACATAGAAGACCCTGTCTCTACAATTTCTTTTTAAATTAGCCCACTGTGGTGGCATGTGCCTGTAGTCCCAGCCACTAGGAAGGCTGAGGTGGGAAAATTGCTTGAGCTCAGGTGTTTGAATCTGGACTGATCTATGACTGTGCCACTGTACTCCAGCAAGAATGACAGATCTAGATCCTGTGTAAAAAAATGTACATATTGTATATATTGTCAATGACCAGTCACAGGTCTTACAATGCTGTTTATACAGTATGGTAAAAATGGTGTTGATAAAGAAATTATCACAATAATAATAATAATAATAATCATAATCATAATCATAATAATAAAAAAAATAGCCCAGTGTGTTATTTTATTATGTAAGTTGTTCATAAATTTAATATAAATGATGTAGATCTACAGTAATGGAGATGTGTAGACAAATCATGTCATTTGTTTTTTAAATCTCAACATAATAGAATTTTTTCTTTTTTTGGGATGGAGTCTCACTCTGTCACCCAGGCTGGAGTGCAGTGGCTCAATCTCAGCCCACTGCAACCTCTACCACCCTGGTTCAAGTGACTCCCCTGCCTCAGCCTCCTGAGTAGCTGGGATTACAGGTTCCTGCCACTGTGCCTGGCTAATTTTTGTATTTTTAATAGAGACGAGGTTTCACCATCTTGGCCAGGCTGGTCTTAAATTCCTGACCTTGTGATCCACTGGCCCTGGGCTCCCAACGTGCTGGGATTACAGGTGTGAGTCACTGCACCCAGCCAACGTTTCTTTTTTAAAGTGTGCAAGCTCTTTGACCAACATGTCCCTGTGCATCACTGTAATAAGATACCCAGAGCAACTGTTTCTACCGTGGATTTGGGAGGAGATTAAGACACATCCTTTCTACTTTGGATGCTCTTATCAGGATCAGGGGAGGTCCCTGCACTCTGATTTTCTCTCTCTTAAATGTGCAAAGTACAGAGATTTTTATCATGAATAATTTTAATAGAAATTAAAAATTCCATCATATTCAGGGACATGCAGGTTTTGTATTCATCATGTTTCTTCTTGATATTTTTAGGCCCTGGCCAGCTGCAAATGAATAATCTCTACCATCATCATTGTTTTCCTTTGTGTTTTAATCTTTCCTGATTCCATTCTCTCTACCTTTTATTTTGAAGAAGAAGACACCAAAAAATCCTGTCACTACCAAATGCAAAAAAAAAAAAAAAAAAACAAAAACAAATTACAAATAGTAACATTTACAAGTCACATTTGTGAATATATGTTTTAATTAGAAAACTGCAATTCTAAACTTTCAGAGGAAATGGTAGTAATATAAAACAGGGACATTTTTGTAATAAGGAACTCATATTCTTAATATTTTACAAATTATTATTCTCTCATCACCAAATAGTGTTACCTAAAGTAATATATAACCAATTTAATAAGTTTAGTTTTAAAAAACACAAAATTATAAAACAATTAATACAATATTTGAAATCGTGATGCATATTGCCAGCCTTCTGGTAAAGTTCTATTAACTCTACAAAAAATTTATAAATGGCAGACGATACATTTCCAGATAGTTTTGTGGCAATCAAAAAAGAATTGATTTATTAGCAATTTTTATATCACTTTGTGAAAAAATATTATTTGTGATAAGTATCATTATTTTTATTTATTTAAAACAGCTCATGTATTAAGAAATCATACTTTAGATGGGGCCAAGCTGGTCGATTAGAAGCAGCTGTGGCCCGTGGCTCTCACGGAGAGCAATGAAAACTGTGAGTGAATTCTACACCTTCAATTGAGGTACCCAGGCTCTTGCATTGTGACTGACTAGGCAGACAGCTCGACCCACAGACAGTGAGGAAAAGCAAGTGGGGCGATGGCCCACACAGGTGTGGCACGAGCTGGGGGAGCACTCACTCGCAGCCAAGTGAGGCGGTGAGTGATTGTGCGACTTTGTCTGGCAAACCATGCTTCTCCCACGGATCTTTGCAACCTGTAGATCAGGAGATCCCCTCGTAGGCCCAGGCACCATGGCTTGGGTCTGAAACACAGAGCTGTGTGGAGTCTCAGCCTAGTGCTCGCTGGCTCACTGGGGCATGCATGGAAATCCAGGAGTTTTGCATACTCTGCCCCGAGAATTCCAGCAAAGTGGGAGACATATCCATGCATTCCCCTAGTAAGGGGGCTGAATCCAGCGAGCCAAGTGGCATCATTCTGTGGGCCCCACTCCCACAGCACGTCACAAGTTAAGACCCACTGACTTAGAATTCCAGCTGGCCAGCGGCAGCAGGCTGGAAACAGCTGGAGATGGACCCAGTTCCCGGAGGGAGGGAGGGGCAGCCACTGTTATCTGTGGTTTGAGTTGGCCGCTGTAGCCCGCTGGCACCAAGGACCAGGAGGAGCTCCCCATAACACAGCACAGGTGCTGTGCCTGAATGTGGCCAGTCTGCTTCTTTAAGTGAGGCCTCAATCCATCCCTCCTCACTAGACAGGACCTCCCCATCAGATATTTAGCCGCTCTAGCCAGAGTTCTATGGACAGAACTCTGATTTCTCCCTGGGATGAAGTCCCCAGGGAGATGGATAGCTGCTGTCTCCCCAGTTCAGCCAACCTAGCCTTTCCAGCCTGATGTCTCTAGAGATTCCCAGGGGTCAGCACAGCACACCTACTCTGCCAAGGGGCAGCCAGACTGCTTCTTTAAGCAGTCCCTGATCCTGTTCCTCCTGACTGGGCAAGACCTCCCAAAAGGGGTCTCCAGACACCTCCTACAGGAGCGTTCCAGCTGGCATCAAGTCAGTACCCCCTTGGAATGGTGCTCACAGAGAAAGGACCATACTGCCATCTTTGCTGTTTTGCAGCCTTCACTGGTGATACCTCCAGGTGCAGGAGAGACTGAGGTGACTAAGATCCAGAGTGGACCCCCTGAAAACCACAGCAGCCCTAGGAAGAGTGGTCTGGCTGTTAAAAACAAACAGAAAGCAACAACATCAACAAAAAAGATCCCACAAAAACCCCATTCAAGGGTCAGCAACATCAAGGATCAAAGGTAGATAAGCCCACAAAGATGAGAAGGCATCAACACAAAAATGTTAAAAACTCAAAAAGGCACAATGCCTCTTCTCTTCTAAATGACAACAACACATCCCTAGTAAGGGTGCAGAACTGGCCAGATGCTGAGATGGCTGAATTGACAAAAGTAGGCTTTAGAAGGTGGGTAATAAAAAACTTCACTAAGCTGAAGGAGCAGTGCAGGAGCTGATAACCAGAATATTCAGTTTAAGGGGAATATAACTGACCTGACAGAGCTGAAAAACACAACATGAGAACTTCACAATGCAACCATAAGTATCATTAGGAGAATAGGCCAAGTGGAGGAAACAATCTCAAAGCTTGAAAACTGTCTCTCTGATATAAGACAGGAAGAGAAGAATAGAAAAAAAAGAACAAAAAGAATGAACAAAAACTTCAAGAAATATGTGATTATGTAAAAAGACTGAACCTGAGACTGATACAGATACATTGATCCACCATGATCAAGATGGCTTCATCCTCGGGTTACAAGGTTGCTTCAACAAAGCCAAATCTATAAATGTAATTCATCACATAAGCAGAAGTAAACACAAAAACAGTGTGATTATCTCAATAGATACAGAAAATGCCTTCAATAAAACTCAACATCCCTTCATGTCAAAAACTCTCAATAAACTAGCTACTGAAGGATCATACCTCAAAATAGTAAGATCCATACATGACAAACCCACAGCCAATATCATACTGAATGGGCAAAATTTGAAACTATTCTCCTTGAAAACAGGCACAAGACAAGGATGGCCTCTCTCACCAGTTTTATTCAACATAGTATTGAAACTTCTGGCCAGGGCAATTGGGCAGGAGAAAGAAATAAAGGTATTTAAATAGGAAGAGAGCAAGTCAAATTATCTTTGTCTGCAGATGACATGATCCTGTGTCTAGAAAACCCCATCATCTCAGCCCCAAACCTTCTTAAGCTGATAAACCACTTTAGCAAAGTCTCAGGATACAAAATCAATATGCAAAAGTCACTAGCATTCCAATACACCAACAACAGGCAAGCAGAGAGCCAAACATGAATGAACTTCTTTCACAATTGCTACAAAGAGAATAAAATACCTAGGAATATAGCTAACATGAGAAATGAAGGACCTCTTCAAGGAGGACTACAAACCACTGCTCAGAGAAATCAGAGAGGACACAAACAAATGGAGAAACATTCCATGTTCATGGGTAGGAAGAATTAATTCATAAAAATGGCCACACTGCCCAAAGTAATTTGTAAAAGAATTCAATGCTATTCCCATTAAACTACCATTGATATTCTTCACAGAATTAGAAGAAACTATTTTAAAATTCTTATGGAACAAAAAAGAGCCCAAATAGTCAAAACAATTCTAAGCAAAAAGAACAAAGCTGGAGGCATCACACTACCCAACTTCAAACTACACTATAAGGATACAGTAACCAAAACAGCACGGTACTTGAACGAACACAGACATATAGACCAATTGAACAGAATAGGGAACTCAGGAATAAGACCATACACATGCAAGCATGTGGTGACAAATCTGACAAACACAAGCAACAGGGAAGGGATGCTTTATTTAATAAATTGTGTTTCGAAAATAGGCTAGCCATATGCAGGAAACTGAAACTGTATGTCTTCCTTACACCTTACACAAGAATTAACTGAAGATGAATTAAAGACTTAAGCATAATACCTAAAACCATAAAAACTCCAGGAGAAAACCTAGGCAACATCATTTAGGACATAGGCATGGGCAAAGACTTCATGACTAAAACAGGAAAAACAATGGTAACAAAAGCCAGAATTGACAAACGGGATCTAATTAAACTAAAGAGCTTCTGCACAGCAGAAGAAACTATCATCAGAGTGAATAGGCAACCTACACAATGTGAGAAAATTTTTGCAATCTATCCATCTGACAGAGGGCTAATATGCAGAATCCAGAATCTACAAAGAACTTAAACAAATTTACAAGAAAAAAACAATCCCATCAAAATGTGGGCAAAGGAAACAAGAGGACACTTCTCAAAAGAAGTCATTTATGCGGCCAAAAAACATTTGAAAAAAAAAAACCTCATCATCATTGGTCATTAGAGAAACGCAAATCAAAACCACAATGAAATACCATTTCACACCAGTTAGAATGGTGATTATTAAAAAGTCAGGAAACAACAGATGCTGGACAGGGCGTGGAAAATACGAACGCTTTTACACTGTTAGTGGGAGTTTTAATTAGTTCAAAATTTGTGGAAGTCAGTGTAGCAGTTCCTAAAGGATCTAAAACCAAAAATACCATTTGACCCAGCAATCCCATTACTGGGTATATACCGAAAGGAGTATAAGTCATTCTTCTGTAAAGACACGTGAACACATGTTTATTTCAGCACTGTTCACAATAGCAAAGACTTGGAACCAATCCAAATGCCGATCAATAATAGACTGGATAAAGAAAATGTGGCAAATATATACCATGGAATACTATGCAGCCATAAAACGGGATAAGTTTCTGTCCTTTCCAGGGACAAGGATGAAGCTGAAAACCGTCATGCTTAGCAAACTAGTATAAGAAAAGAAAACCAAGCCAGGCACCAAGGCTCACACCTGTAATCCCAGAACTTTGAGAGGCTGAAGCGTGCAGATCACCTGAGGTCGGGAGTTTGAGACCAGCCTGACCAACATGGAGAAACCCTGTCTCTACTAAAAATGCAAAAAATTAGCCAGGCACCGTGGCGCATGCCGGTAATCCCAGCTACCTGTGAGGCTGAGTCAGGAGGATAGCTTGAACCTGGGAGGCAGACGCTGCAATGAGCCAAGATTGTGCCATTGCACCCCAGCCTGGGCAACAAGAGCGAAACTCCATCGAAAAAAAGAAAAGGAAGAAAAGAAAAAAAAAGAAAACCAAAAACCACATGTTCTCACTCATAAGTGTGAGTTGGACAATACAAGAGAACACATGGACACAAGCAGGGGAACATCACACACTAGGGCTGGTCTGAGGGTGGGGGGCTGGGGGCGGAATAGCTTTAGGAGAAATACCTAATGTAGATGACTGGTTGATGGGTGCAGCAAACCACCATGGCATGTCTATACCTATGTAACAAACCTGCACGCCCTGCCCATGTATCCCAGAACTTAAAGTATAATTTTAAAAACTTTACATAAATGCAAAAGTCTGGTATAGCTAATATACCATAATGAAATGTCAACTATAATCCCAGCTCAAAGAGAACACCATAAAATTATGAAGGCTTTTCCATAAATCTCTAAATTTATGTCCTCATAAGATTATATTTCTATTTCTTCTTAAATAATTTCCTTATTTTAGCTATGATTTAGTGATAGTAAGATGGTAACTATGAGGAGAAAGTTCTAACACTCCATTGAGAAAATTCTGCCTCATTTCAATGCACACCTGAGTCTTAAGCAGTCACTTCCTTTTCCTTTTCTTTTCTTTTCTTTTTTTTTTTTTTTTTTTTTTTTTTTTTTTTGAGACAGAATTTCTCTCTGTCACCCAGGCTGCAGTGCAGTCATGAAATCTCAGCTCACTGCAAGCTCCACCTCCCGGGTTTATGCCATTCTCCTGCCTCAGCCTCCCGAGTAGCTGGGACTATAGGCTCCTGTCACCACATCTGGCTAATTTTTTGCATTTTTAGTAGAGATGGAGTTTCACTATGTTAGCCAGGATGGTCTCAATCTCCTGACCTCATGATCCAATTGCTTCGACCCCACTAAGTGCTGGGATTACATGAGTGAGCCACTACTACCGACCTAACCAGCCACTTCTAATGCAGCTGAATAATAGATACTCACCCAACTCAGTCTAAGAATTGAATCCATGTATGGGAGATAAGGCCCCCAAGGAGTGGTAATAAGCGGGGAATGCCATCAGCTCATCTTCCTTCAGGCCTGTATTTGTCATTGTCACTTGAAGAAGCAGGACAGCCCTGGCACTGGGATTGTTAGAAACAGACAGTATCAAAGGGAAAACTGAACTCTCCTAATTTTTGAAAAACAGCAGATAGGAAACAGATGGGCTCCAACGTTTTCCATGTGTGAGGTCATTGTCCCAGGTAGCCTTGCTCAGGACCACATTTCTTCTCAGCAAAACAGAAGTCAAACAATATTTCTACCTTCCAGGAGAATAGAACTTAATGTCAGATTTTCTCATGGATTTCCACAAGTTCAAGAAAGTTTCATGGTCTTCATTTATTTCTTCTTTAGTGGTCTTAGGGTCACCTAGAAATATAAGCTACTTTGTTGGAATTTGGAAGATAACTCATGCTCCAAAAGTACTTAAAAGATGTGCTTTTTCCCCTGGGAACAGATCCCTAAGTCAAGGCATCTTGCAGGGGAAACAGAATGTAGGCTGCTTTTCACCTGTCACGTAGTAGGCCTGGTATATTTATCAAGGGCAGAAAAAAACCTCAATTACAGGCAGAATTGATGACTGAGATGCACATTGTCCTTCTTTATATATCTGATTTTGACATAAATTTCCAGGAACTTGTGTTTTCCATGCCATCCCTTTTTCTTTTTTCTTTTTTTTTTTTTTTTTTTTTTTTTTGAGACAGTCTCGCTTTGTCACCCTGGCTGGAGTGCAGTGGTGTGATCTCGGCTCACTGCAAGCTCCGCCTCCTGGGTTCACAAAATTCTCCTGCCTCAGCCTTCCAAGTTGCTGGGACTACAGGCACCCACCACCATGCCCAGCTATTTTTTTGTATTTTTTAGTAGAGATGGGGTTTCACTGTGTTAGCCAGGATGGTCTCAATCTCCTGACCTTGTGATCCACCCGCCTCGGCCTCCCAGAGTGTTGGGATTACAGGCGTGAGCCACCATGCCCGGCCCATCCCATCCCTTTTTGTTATCTTCTGTCTCTAGTCATGGGGATATTTTATTTTGCAAACTAGAATGCCCACTTCTTGGCAACAGACACATTTTTTGCTTTGTGACACCCACCAACCAAACCTGAAATATAACTTTAACCTTAATCCTGATTATAACTGCACATTTATGATTTTTTTAAATACAAATACACTTGTTGTTATGATGGTAGCTTTTCTTCCCATAAACCTATATTTCTTAGTGCAGAGCAACAGCTCAGCCTGTTTGGGTTTGGCATGGTGTGTCCCCATGCATTGTTTTTGATTCTGTAACAAAAAAATATTCCAGTTGGCTTCATTTTGGACACCCTCACTCTCTGACTTCTACTCTCTGCAAATACAATTCTGCTTGAACTCTCTGACTGGATCCAGTCTATCATTAGCTGCCATAAATACAACCTCAATACTCAATCTTTGTTTTTTCTTAGCTCTTTATTTGTTCATTTAATTGCCTTATTTAAAGTTTCTCTATTTCTTCTTTTGAAACTTTCCTTGGTCACTGCTCACAGAAAAAAAAAATAAAGCTCTCGACTAAGAATCCTACACCTAGCATATTTATGTATCAAAAATTGAGGATTGCTTGAGTTCAGGAGTTCAAGACAGACCTGGGCAACACAATGAGACCTCATCTCTGCTAAAAATAATATATATATATATATATTAGCCAGGTGTGGTGGTGTGCACCAGTAGTCTCTCGGCTACTTGGGAGGCTGAGGTGAGAGAATTGCTCGAGCTCAGGAGATCTAGGCTACAGTGAGCTGTGATTGTGCCACTGAACTCCAGCCTGAGTGAGAGTTAGGTCTTGTCTCAAACAAAGAAACAAAACAACAACAACACCAATACAGAACCTTAGGGAATCTAATAAAAAAGTAGTTTGGGTCAATCTTTGCTATTTTAAATTCCTGTTTTTTCCATACATTCTAATGCAAGGTAAATGAAAGCACTGGTGAGACCCAGCCTGGAGGGGCTTGCCCTAAGCTTAGTGTTTGTTATCTCTGGGCAACCCCTACAAAATTTCCAGAGACATCTGGTGTGTGGAATAAGCCAATGTCAGCATCTCAGAAAAGGTTTTCACTTTAGGCCTTCCTGAATCAAGAGCCTAAGAGTATTGGGATCTACCAGGAGCATATTGTGCTCTGTTAAACATTTTCCATGAGTGACCTGGGCACAGGGTTGTCTCTAGGATGTAGGTGCTTGGTTACCAGAGTTCTAAGTTCTGTTGGGGTCTGTCACAAAGGAAGTAAGATCACTTTTTCAAAGTTTCATCCTCTGGCTCCTTGCTTTCCTCCATAAAACCCATCTAAAATGACCTTCTGGGCTACTGACTGCTCACTATCCCTGCGTGTCAACTCTTTAGCTGTGCACAATTATGCAAGAACAGCCCTCCTCACTTCCCTGAAAAGACCTGAATGAAGCCAGGGTCTCAGGTTTGAGGTCATAGATCTGGGTAAGAACCTAGTATTTCTTATTAGTTCTGTGACACTAGAAAAGTTATTGTAGGTTTTGGGGCCTTTCAACCTGTACAGTGGGTAATATGCCAGCATCTCCCTAGGGAACTCATCGGGTGTGTATGAGATAAGACCTGTAAAACTCATGGTGTGGCATCCCATGTAGACAATGCACGCATTTAGAGATAAAATAATTATAAGAAGGAATGGGAGGTAACATAGAATACAACACAAGCAGGCCTGTGTCCAGCACTGTGATATTGGAAAGTCGCTTCCCCTCTCAGCCTCATTTTTCATTCTACACTAGTAAGAATTTGAGGTGAAATGAAATTCACATGTTGTCATCCTCTGACATTATTCTTTTTAGAGCCTTCTCATTATATTCAGAATCAGACCCATGTCCCTCATTTTGGCCTATGTGGTTGGCAGACTATAGGAAGGCTCATAACACTAAGGGGTCTGCAGCTCACTTCTGACAAATGGAATGCAATAAATGTGATATGATAACATTTCTGTCTTAGATTGGCTGTTACAGCAAAGATAGAATGAGCCGCTTATCAACAGTACAATGTTCTTCAATGTTCTTTCTCACAGTTCTGGAGGACAGAAGTTGAAGATCAGAATGCCAGCATGGTCGAGCTCTAGTGAGAACTCTCTCTTCTGAGTTTCAGACTGTAGTCTTTACATTCTATATTTGCCTGACAGATAGTGGAGGATGGAGTTCTCTGGGTTTTTTGTTGTGTTTTGTTTTGTTTTGTTTATAGAGCCAGTAATACTGTTCCTGAGGCTTTCACCTCATTTTCTCCTCGTCTCTTTCTTCTGTGTTTTGTCCCTCAATCTATTTCTCTCATTCTTCTACTTACTCTGCCCATTGTTTTCTCTCCCATTTTCTGCCAATGTCTTTCTCTTTCTCTTTCAATGTGTATTTATTTCCCTGTCTTTCTACTGCATCCCTCAAGTTCAGAAAACAAGATCCAGAGTTATGAGCTGCCTATGCAGTGGCCTACACAACAGAGAATGAGGGAGTGCCCAGGCCCCAGGAAACACTCAGGCTCTCAGTCTACACTGAATCTGGACAATACCCATATGAGTGTGCTTGGAATCTAATCCTCTCACAGCTCAGCTTCAGCTGAGAGCACAGCCCCAGCTTCATGGAGCCCCATGTGCAGGCAACCAGCAAAGCTGTGTCCAGATTCTGGTCCACATAAATTGTGAGATAGTAAGAATTTGTTGTTAAAGATGCTAAGTTTGGGGAGAATGTTGTCAGAGAGAAGCAGATCACTGTCTTATTCTTCTAGGTCCCAGAGTCCTCCTTCCCTCTCCTTTTCTCTTCCCCAGGCTCCCTCTAGCCCTGCCGGCCTCTTTCTCTCATCCTCTGCCAAAGTCACTTCTGCCTGCATTTCTCTGCACCAGGAGTGGCATCTCACTGACACTGTATCCCCAGAGTTGTGCAGGGCTGGTCATCTGTTGCCACAGAGAGGCATTTGGGTCCCTAGAATGCTATGGCTCCCCGCCCTGCCTTTCAACATCCTACTTTATTTTAATTATAGCATTTACTCTTCATTTACTTGTACTTGCTTTAGGGTTTTTGTCCATATATCCTCAGACTGCAGGCTTCTTGAGTTGGGGAAAGGGCCACTCAATCATTTCTCAGCACCACATGCTGGGCCCATCATGGCACTTAGCACAGATTTAGTTCTGTGACAGGGTCGCTGAGTGAATAAATGAGGAAATGTCTAACCTCCTTGTCTGCTTCTGATCACCTCATAATGGTATATTTATTTCTTTTAAGAAAAACAATAATTATAGTTGATAGTAAAATATAAATGGCAAAATTAGTATAATTTCTGAAGTCTTCTGTTCAGTATTTGTGATAGCTTTTATTATGTAATTATCCCTATTATTATTTTATGTTTTATAACTTTTACATAAATATTGATCTTCAGAAAAACCTGTTTTAACTGAGTTGTGACAAAAAATTTTATATTCTATCTACAAATCTTCTATAGTTTAATAATTGTATTATTGTTTTTATGAATGATTTTGACCCTGATATTTTGGAAAGAGGAATTCTACAAGTTTCCTAGCAGGTCAGGCCAATCACATTTTGTCATCCAGGATTTAGCATCTGATGTTCCATCTAACAGGTGTACAAGTTGATATGTCAAGTAACCCTAAGCCATATGTGCCCTAAATAATTCTAAATTATTTGATGAATATTTAATTTTCTTGTTTAGTTTTTAAAAATCGTTAATTATAACTTGTTAGTTCATGTGCAACTCTGAACTCATGCACTAGATTTGAATTCTGCAGTTGCTTACCAATCTGGGTCATGGGAAAGGTGGATACTTAGGTGAAACAAACAATTTGGGAATGTGTGACAGCTCAGAAAATAATTTCATATTAAAAAACTAGAAGGAGAAGTCAATAGTTGGGCAAAAGATGAGATATTAGAATCATAAGGGGCAGGAGGGAGAGCAACATGCAAGGAGGCAACAGAAGGACAAGGAGGAGACACATTTACTAAAAAATGTGTCTGGTTTTTGTTGCTTCTGATTGTAAATTTTTCATCTTTAGACATCTTTAGCAATAGAATATTTTCGTGGAGCAATGTCTCATTCATAATTATGTGTACAGTCTTCTTGGCTCATTATATGTACCAACTAGAAATACTTCCCATTGGACCTGAAGATTCTTTGTCTTTCTAAAGTGCCTCTCAAAGGAAGAATGTTTGTCTCGTCAACATTCATTAATGTGGTCATTAAAGGTTCAAATAATCATTGAACTAATGGTATTCAGAGAAATAAGTGTAAGAATTGTAATTAAAGTATATATAAGTACCAATACTTTTATCCTAAAATGAAGAGTATTTGGAGAACAGTTTGTGTGTAATCCTGTGCACCTAATGTCTCAGCCCTAATCCAATGGTTGGCCATAACTTAAAGCAGAAAAATGCCTATGACTCCAGTGGGTATAAAACAAGAGAAAACATGCTGTATGGATTAAAGATGTTTTCTTAAGATGAAAAAAAGTGAAAGGAAAATGTAACCAGTTTCACAGTAACTGACAGCAACGTTTATCCAAATTAATGCTGATCAAGGGAAAACCACTAACTGTTCTCTCTGTGAGGTTGGCTGAAACAATAGGCACAAAGGTCCTATGCCTATGGTCTACCCTCAGATTGTTCTTAAAAAAAATGACTTTACACATTATAATACATGACAGTAACACAAGGATAGCACAATGGGATGAAGATGGCCTGATTCTACCAAGAATGTCAACGAAATAGGGTCTACAAAATCTAGGTACCAAACTGATAATAAATAGCTGCAGAACCCAACAGAAAGAGAACAGAGTTCAGCTCTTGTGATGACTTAGCACATAATCATGCACTTGAAAAGTCAGGAAAAGCAAGGGAAAGGCGACCTTCATGGGTGGTGCACATAGTCAAGGCTGCCACCTATGGCAGTGGGTAGTTCAGAATATATTTCAGTGGAATCTTCATGTGACCATGAAAATTAGCAGACCACCTGAGGTAAGTGCCTTATTCAAATATACCATTTTTTAAATCTTTTATAACATAAATTTGCTGTGCCTTTTATGTTTATGTATACAAATGTTGACTATAGTGTTACAATTGCTTACAGTATTCAGCATAGTAACATGCTGTCCAGGTTTGTAGTTTAGGAGCAATAGGCTATACCATATAGTCTAGGTCTCCAATGGGCTATACCACCTAGGTTTGTGTAAGTACATTCTATGATGTTCACACAGTAATAATACTACACAATGGTGCATTTCTCAATATATATCCTCATTATTAAAAATGCATGGTTGTATAAAAAATAAAATGGATGTTGAAAGAGTGAAGTTGCTATGTATTGTTTCATAACATGTAACCCCAAAACTTTATGGCATAAAATCACAATATTTATTACCTGAATTTCTGTAGATGAGAAATTCAAGAACAATTATCCTGGTGGTTGTGCCCCAGGCCATCTCATGTGGTTACAGTCAGATTTCAATTGGGGCTGTCATCCAAACTCTTGACAGCAACTAGAAGATCCACTTTCAACTTTGCTAACATTCATGGCCTGCAAGTTGGTGGGGTTTTTAATTGAAGGTCTCAGGTTCTCTCCACATAGATATTTTTGTAGGGATGATTGACTGTTCTCACCAAATAGTGGCTGGTTTCTTTCAGAGAGAGTGGCTTAGGAAAAACAATGCATTAGTGGCAAAATCTTTTATGACCTAGACTCAGAAGTCACACATGGACACTTCTGTCACCTTCTATTCACCAGAAAGGATTTTTAAGCTTGACATACCTTCAAGAAGA
Source organism: Homo sapiens (assembly GCF_000001405.40). Classification (NCBI taxonomy): domain Eukaryota; kingdom Metazoa; phylum Chordata; class Mammalia; order Primates; family Hominidae; genus Homo; species Homo sapiens. Next base: position 17,505,453 of record NC_000024.10, read on the forward strand.
AAAGAATTAGGGTCTATGAAAGGACTTCAATAAGTTTGTGAAAAAATGAAAGTAAAACACAAAAATAAAATATATAAACTTTATTTCTCAACATTAGCTTCATCAAGTCAAGTTCAAGACACTTTTATAAGCAATAATACCAGCCTTCAGTCTATCCCCACAAAAAGTAAGGTCCTGGGAATTTAACAATGTCAGGAAAGTCTCTTTTACATTATTAACTGTAGAAAATGGGTGTCTTTTAAAGCTGTTTTAAAATCAGAAGAGAAAAAGAAGTTGGAGGGAGCCAAATCAGGGTTAAAAGGTGGATGCTTAATAATTTTCCATGGCAAGTCCAGCAAAATTGTCCTTTGATTTTTTTTAATGAGAGGAAAGAGGAGGAACATTGTTGTGGTGGTGAAGAATTCTATGGTAAAATTTTCTGGAAATATTTCCCCTAACGCTTTGGGTAACTGTCTCAAAATACTCCATAATAGCATGTTTTATTGCATTATGTATTGTTTTGTTTTGTTTTTGGCCCTCTAGAAAGCCAACAGGCAAAATGCCTTGAGCACCCTGACACTGTTGCTATGAGCTTTGTTCTAGACCAGTAACCTTTTGCTGAGACTGGACCACTTTCACTTCTTGGTAGCCGTTGCTTTATTTCTGTTTTATGTTGAAAATTTCATGGAACAGCTGTGTTTGACTTCCTCACACAATTATTTGAAGAAATGCCTCAAGATCTTAATAACATTTATGTACAATTTCAGTTGAAAGCTCTGTTCTTGTCTGCAGCTGATCTAGGAACAAGAGTTTTCTAATCTATTGAGTGGAAAAATTCTCAAAATTGTGTGAATTTAAGAGATGGCCATGGTGTTGACTGTTGTTTATACCGTTGTCATTCCTAAACTGTTGTTTATACCGTTGTCACTCCTAAAGCACGGCATGAACAAGATTAATTTCTTTTCTGGTGAGTTAATGTGAATTGTCTTCCACTGTGGGCTTTATCTTCAACACCTAATCATCCCTTCTTAAAATGAGTTATTCATTTGTATGCTTGTGAATGTCGGGGGGCATTGTCCCCATAAATTGTTATAAAGAATTAGTTATTTTACTATTCTTTCACCCAAAATGGCCATAAATTTGATGTTTTTTCTTGCTTTAATTTTAGTAGAATTCATGCTGCTCTAATACGATCTCTTTTCAAATTGGTGTCTTAGTTTCCTTATTATAATTCCCCAAATTAGATCCTGTTCAGACATGTTATAACAAAGTTAGTAAAAGTTTATTTAGTTGCAAAATATTTTTGAAGTCTATGCAGAATTTATTCTCAATATGCATTTCTCATGAACTTTTTGAAGATCCTTCATACTTTTTGAAGAGTTTCAAATAATTTTTGAATGTATATTTAAACTATTACAAGAAAATTATCTATAGAACCAAATTTCAGATTTATCAAGTTTGTGATAGGTATAATAACCAATGGAAATATCAAATGGGCAGCTTAGCTATTGAAATAGAATTAGAGTTAAATGATTATAGAAGTATTCAGTAAAGACCTGCAGGTATTGAAAAGCATTAAAAATTTTGAAATAAAATAACAGGATTATATGTACCATTTAAGAGGAGAGATATCAGGAAAAAATAAGAACAGGGAGAAGAACCTATAATAGCAAATGTTATGTAAAATTTAAGGATAGTGAAGCCATTGCTGTTCTTCTCCATAGCAGCGTTGACATCTCTTTGTTAACAGTATCACTGAAACTCCTGCTTCCATTTCCAAAATCCTGTCTTTCTGAAGCAGAGTTTTTTTCCAGTGACAGCAATCAAAACAAAATTATGAAGTAGACTGGACATAAGCACCACATTTTGAGTGTCACAGTCTCCCATCACCGTCAAATGGAACTGACTAGTTGCAGGAAAACTAGCTCAGGGCTCTCACTGATTCTACATTACAGTGAGTTGTATAATTATTTCATTATATATTACAATGCAATATAATAAAGTATGAAATAAACGTAATGTGCTTGAGTCATCCTGAAACTGTCCCCCTGCCCAGTCCATGGATAAGTTGTCTTCCACGAAACTAGTCCCTAGTGCTGAAAAGACTGGGGAGTGCTGCAATATAGAAAGAAAAATTTAAAGAGAGGAAAACACAAAATCTATAACAGCTTTAATAATATATGCACTAATGCTGTACAGAATACACTAATTTCATTCATTTATTTAAGTATCAACCAATACATACAGACCAGTACAAATGCCTGTAATTGTTTTAGGAGAACATTGAATGAAACAGCAAGAGAGAAAGATAGCAAATTAAAAATATACGTGTATGATTATCAGAGAAAGACCCCCATCTCTATAAACAAAAATCTACATGTGCACGTCAAGTTGTAATGAGTACTAAGAACAAAAAAGAAGAATGAGAGAAGAAAGAGACAGATACATTAATTCATGTAGAATGATCAAGGAAGTTTGTCTGGGATTACAGTGGTTAACATTGCAGGTTTTAGAGTCAGACAGATGCCAGTTTTTATCCTGGCTCTGTGTCTCGTAGCTGGGTGTCCCATGGACAATTTATTCCACTTTTAAATCTCAGTTTTCAAATTTCTAATTTCTAAATGTTTATTAGAAATAAAAGCACATGAACAAACTAAACATACATAAAGAATCAAGCACAGAAAACTGATGAGGGTGTATAATGAATCAAGAATAATGGTTATAAAAATGGAGATAATAAATTTGTCAAACTTATTAGACAATTCTGAAGATTAGAAGATGAATATACATAAAGAATTTTGCATGTCATGTGGCATAACACTCATGGTAACTACAATTATTATCCTCATATTACTAAAGGAAAATATGTGTCGTTCTTGGGCATTAAAAAAGCTGTGGGCCGTACTTTTTCAAATTATGCAAACACATAAAGATTCATTTTTATGTTAAACAGTTCTTCCTTTAACATTTTTAAAAGAGATTTCTTGAAAGCATATGTCAAAAATCTCATGTAATGCTTTCTGCTTCTTAACCAAAGTTTAGAGAAACTTAACAATGAAACTTTTAAAATGTAGTTACATTACATAAACTATTTAAGGCAAGAATAAGCACAACAGCTTTAACTTCTTAAATATGCTTAAGCATTTCAACTAAAAAATTATTTCTTTCAAATTCACAGGAATCTGTTTAGAAAAATTTTAACTAGGAAAAGTTGGAATTCTAAAGTAAACAGTGCCTAAGGCCATAAAGTTTTTTATGGCTTTTAATTTCAATGTCAACGAGGGGGAAAAAAACATTCTCTGAAATTTGCTTTTATTCCATTAAAGACTTATTTTTTTATTACCAGCAATACAGAGTGACTCAGGTTGAATCTTGAAGGTAAACTGTAACTTAATTTTAAGTTTTGGCTAATTTTTAAGGATTTCTCAGTCACCTATCATGATTTCATCTCAGAAACCAAGATCTCAATTTCATATAGACATTTGGAATATTAAAATAGAAGGATAATGCTTCAAAATAATATTCATGTAGAGGCTTGCATATGTGGACCAGGAATCTTCATGTATTACAAAGTTTATGAGAACATAACAAATGCTGATACACACATTTAAGTCTGAAACAAAAATTTACAACAAACAAAATTGTAACAAATCAAGAAAATTCTGTGGGTTACACATTTTATGTCTAAAAATACAGGTATTAAACACTCAAGGATGGATAGAAGAATAAATCACAAGAGAAAACAGAAAATATCTAGAGACAAATTAAAAATATGAAATACCAAAAGTTAAGACATACATCAAAAGCAGTAGCATAAGAGAAAAATTTATAGTTATAAATGATTATAAAAAGTAAGATATCAAATCAACAACTTAACTATATAGCTAATGAACTAAAAACAGAGGGAAAAAGAGGGAACAACTAAAAGCTAGCAAAATAAAAAATGATAAAGATAGCAGTGGAAATAAGTGAAAGAGAATAGAAAAATATCAAAATACAACAAAACCAAGTTTGTTCTCTGAAAAAGTTCAACAAAACTGACAAACCTTTAACTAGATTGACTAAGAAAAAAAGAATACTCAAATTACAAAACTCAAAAATAAAATGGATTCATTACTACCAAATTTTTGGAGTAAAAAAAGAATGTAGGAGGGTACCATAAGAAACTGTACACTTAAAAATTGAATAACATAAATAAAACGAACAAATTCCTAGAAACAAAAAACCCACTAAGACTGAATATGAAAAGTTGAATAAACCTATTCAGAAAGGAGATTCCGCAAGAAGACTGCATCAGTAATCAAAAACCCAGCAACAAAGAAAAGCCTGGACCAGACGGCTTCACTGTTGAATTCTACCCAACATTTAATGCAGAATTAACACCAGTTTTTCTCAAGCTTTTTCAAAACGTTGAAGAGGAGGTAACATTTTCTAACTTATTCTATGAGGCTAGAATTACCCTGACACCAAGCCAGAAAAAGACACTATAAGAAAACTACAAACATCCCTTACAAATGCTGATTCAAAAATCCTCAACAAAATACCAGCAATTGAAATTTATCAGTACATTAAAAGGATTACACACTATGAATGAGTATAGTTGACTCCTGAAATAAAATTATGTTCCAACACATGAAAATCAGTTTAATATCACATTAACATAAAGAAGGAAAAAACCCTCATGTGATCATTTTAATCAAATAAAAGAATTTGTCAAAATTTAACCCACAATCATAAAAATATACTTAATAAGCTATAAAAATAAATAAAATATCGATGTAATGTTATATTAAAAAATGCACACACACACACACACACACACACACACACACACACACACACACAGCTAACCTTATGGTGAAAGACTGACAGATTTTACTCTAAGAGCAAAAACAAGGATGCCTGTTTTCACTACTTCTATTTAATATAGTACTGAAGATTCTAATTAGTTAAAACAAAAAGGCAAGTAAAAGAGTGAAAGATATTCCAATTTTTGAAAAAGTAAAATTATCTGTTCGCAGATGACATAATCTTATATGTTAAAAATCTTCTAGTTTCTGTGAGTTAAACTGTCAGATGCAGTAAATAAAATTCAGCAAAACTGCAGGATAGAAAATCAATACACACAAATTAGTTGTATTTCTGCAATAATAATAAACTATGTGAAGAAGAAATCAAGACAACAGTATAATTTATGATAGCATCAAAACAATAACATATTAGGAACAAACTTAACCAAGGAAATGAAAAACCTGTACAGCAAAAACTATAAACATTGCAGAAAAATATTAAAGATGATACAAATAAATGAAAAGACGTCATGTGTTTATTATGGATTGGAAGACAAAACCTTGTCAAGATGCCATTGTTATCAATAGTCATCCATGAATTCAATAAAATCACTATAAAAATTCCAATATTTGCAAAAATAGAAAAACCTGTTCTAAAATTCAGATGAGATTTCAAAAAACCCCAAGTAGCCAAATCAATCTTAAAAACTAACAAAATTAGAGGACTAACACCTCCTGGTTTCAAACTTACTGCAACGCTTCAGTACCCAAGACAATGTTGTACCGGCATAGAGACAGACAGAAAGACCAATGCAATAGAAATAAAGAACCAAAACATATGGTCATGATTTTTAACAAGGTAGTCAAAACTATTCAATGGGAAAGGACAGTATTTTAAAAACGGTGTTAACAAATGAATATTTACATGAAAAACAACGAAGTTCAACCCTTACTTTACACCACATAAAAAACTTAATTTAAAATAGACCAAACATCTAATTGTAAGTGCTGAAACTATAAAACCCTTAGAAAAAAACATAGGAAAAGAGTTTCATAACATAGAATCTGGCAATAATTTCTTGGATATGTCAGTGAAAGCATAGACAACAACAAAAACAACAATACACAAAAATAACTTCATCATAGTGAAAAGCTTTTGTGTATCTGAGATACAATCAATAGATTGAAAATACAATTCACGGAGGGGGAGAAAATATTCACACATTTATGTATTTCACAAGTAATTAATATCCAGGCTATATAAAGACCTCAGAAACAACAACAAAACAATCAAATTTAAACATGAGCAAAGGTTTTAAAATACACATTTCTTTAAAGAAGATATACAAATGACCAGTAAGCACAGTATAAGGAGCCCAGCATCAGTAATCATGAGAAAAAAGTAAATCCAAACCACAATGTCATACCAACTGACACATGTAAGTATAGCTACCATCAAAAAAACCACCAGCAGCAAACTAAAACAAACAACAAAGCTCCAGAAAGCAGCAAATGCTGGATGTGGAGAAGTCAGGACTCCTGCACTCTGCTGGTGGGAAAGTAAGATGGCACAGCCACTGTGGAAAACAGTAATCACTATGTGATCCAGTAATTCGACATCTGGGCCTATACCCCAGAAAACTGAAAGTGGGAATTTGAACACCCATGTTCGTAGCAGCATTCAGAATAGCCAAAGGGTAGAAAAAGCCCAAAGGTCCATCTACAGATGAATGGATAAGCAAATGTGAGCCATACACACAATGACATATTATTCAGCATTAAAAAGAAAAGAAATTTTAATACATCCTACAACATAAACCTTGAAAAGATTAAAACAAAAAATGCAAATACTCCATGCTTTTCACTTTTATAACAAACCTACAACGGTTAAATTCATAGACACAGGAAGTGGGATGTGGTTTCCAGGGGATAGGGGGAAGGGAAACGGGAGCTATTGTTCTGTGGATACAGTGTTTCACTTTGGGATGATAAAACAGATTTGAAAATGGATAGCGGTGATAGTTGCACAGCAATGTATTTGTACCTAATGTACTTAAATTTTCTATTACACATATTTTACCACAGTAAAAAATTAGCAAATATTTAAAAATCTATGTGTTGCTTTGAACTGTTTCTTTACATCCCTTGTCCATTTTTCAATTTGACTGCTAGTCTTTTAATAATTTAGGATATATATATATTACGTAAATTAGCTTTTTGTCTGTCACGTATGTTGCAGATCTATTTCCACAGTCTATGAGTCATTTGAAGTATTTTTCTCTCATAGAAAGTTTGAATTTTTATGGAGTCAACTGCATCAGTCTTCTATTCAAAGACTTATTTATGGGTATAGTCTTTCAGTTTAGGACGATAAAGAAGTTGTAGATACGGATTAAGGAGATGGTTTTACAACACTGTGAATATACTGAACTGTGCATTTAAACATGGAAAAAATAGTAAGTTTTATGTTATATATATTTTACCACCAAAAAAGGGTCAGGCTTAGATGTTTATAGGTTAGGGGTTTGTTGTACCTTTAACATTTATTCCCCTCCAGGGCTTTACTTTATAAAACACCCACACAAGAAAAGTAGATACTGACTTCACAAATCTCATTACAAGTCCCACAGCAGAGGCTGCCTTGGAAAACAGAGGTGGAAAAAGTCACAGAAACTTGAGGTCAATGTGAGACCTCCCATCCCCTACTCAGAAATCAGATGAGGGAATGCATGCATGCAGGCTGAGCTGGATAGATGAGATGGGGTGGGCAGAACAGTCCTCCAATCAGCCTAGACCTTAAGTGCTCTCACGTGCTCTCAGGCATGTATCAAACCAAGAAAGCAGGCTAGGAGGATAACACATCTACCTTTATACAGGGAGCTATGAAATATCTGAGATGAGCAAGTGATTCACAAGGAGACAGAAGCAGTATGACCTTTACCCTGTGACCCGGTTCAATTATTTCAGGCTCTCATTAACCAGGCGAGCTCCTCTTTCTCTCAGAGGTAGGTAAACTTGAGGGGGTAAAGTAGGATTTGGGATTTGGGGATAATGGAAAAGAAAGCCTGGTAATATTTCTTCTATCTCTGTTTTAAATAAAAAGTAAAACATAAATGCCCTTTCTCAGGGCCCAAATGTTAGGCAAAAACAATGTTTGTCATCTCAGTACACACATGGTCATTTATTTTTTCCCTCTGCATGTTGTGCGCTTTTTCAGTTTATAATGTCCCTGATCCACTTGTCTCATACTAGCTGCAAACAAGGAAACTGAATGTCACACCAGGTGGCCAGCATTTCTGTGAAGGGCAGAAACCGGGGCAGCCAAACAGCTGGCAGAGGCCAGCTAGTAAGTACCTGATGCCCACTCCGTAGAGGACTCCACACTTAAAAGACCAAATAAGCAAGTGTCAGGCTGACTCACTTGTTATCCCCCCAAATAAAAAAATAAAAGTAACCCCTCCAGGGAAAGTGTGTGTGTACATGCCAAAGTACATGCACACAGTTACATGCAAAGGGGAAAGTCTGGGAAGGAAGAAAACCCACCCCTGAACACAAGTTACTTGTGGGGAAGGGGCAGGTGAAGCCAACTGTCAGCATTTCTTACCTTTTCAACAGATGAGCTTGCATGAATTTTGGTAATTTCTCATAAAAAGGCAATTTTCACTCCTTGGGTGATCACCCAGGTCTTTCAAAACTGAGCCACCAACAACCACCTGTACCACTTGACAGGAAGCCAAATAATGGCTTCCATCAAAGCTCAGCCCTCCCACCCACCTCCCAGTCCTGTCCCATGCAGGGGGGTACTGGACTGCTGGGGTCCAAGGGTCCAGGCCAAACCCAACCCACAGATTGTTGGTGAAACCAGCATTCATCCAAGGGCCTTTCCGCAACTTGGGCCATGTGCTCACTGCATAAGTATGCCTGTGCTTGTTCCCCTAGGACAAAGACTCCCTTTTCTTACAGCTGGAATGAGGGGTGGGGAGATTTCATGGTGTCCTGTACAGGTTGGATGTTAATCTGATGTGGTGCTCTTGGAGAAGCTTGCCTGAGTCAGGTGCTTTCTCATCCTGTGGTGTGTGCTTCCCCTTCAAGCTGCAGAAGTCCCTGAAGGTAAGTGCTAATGCAACCCCCATCTACTGGTGAGCAGAGGTCAGGTGATCTGCAGCCGTCCAAGCAGCTGCTAAGTGACCAACAGGCTGGATCTGCATCTCACTTGCAGAGGCCCTGCGTGGCTGCTGTGGCTGCCCTGAGACTCGTTCTGCCTCCTCTTCCCTCCACAGCTCTCCCAGCTTCTACCCACAGCTGTGCTCCAGGTGAGAAACACTTATGGATGCACCAGGGTGTAACTACTCAGACTTCTGCATGCAGAAGGGCCCCTGATCCATGCTGTTTCCATATCCAAGCCCAAACTTGTCTAGAGCTTCAGCAAATCCAAGCCCTCTGAATTCCCTGCAAGACCAAACTGAGCCCTACAACCGCCACTACACTGATTAGCTGCCAGCCCCTGCTCCCTCCTGGGCCCCTGTCTATAGTGTTCTGAAGTCCTACAAGAATGTTGAGTTCCTAAGCCAACTCTCACCCAAACAGGTAAACAACCAGGGGCCTCCAGGGGTAGAGAACCTAGCCAGACAGGTTCTGCTGCCTGTAGACTTGATGTCCTTCCCCCACAACATGCCATGCTTGCCAGGCTGGAAGGGGGTCTCCAGATACTTGGGAAATCTGGGCCTGTAGCTGGCATATGGAGAAGAGGCCTGGAAAAGCACTACTCCTGTCCATGAAGCCCCCAGATGGAACCAGGTAATTGGGAAATACATGGGTACCAAGCCTAATCCACATTCAGACCCGATGGGAACTGCAGCAGGGACTCGCCCTCTGTGCAACTCTGGGTGTACCACTTCAGAAGGACCATCTGATCCCATGTGTCATTGGAGATACTACATGTGGGCAGGTTCCAGTGGTTGCTTCAGCTGAACCTTCCCAACCAGGTCCACACAAAAACATTTCATATGGGGGCACACCTGGGTGGGCAAGCACACCCCTCAGAGAGTGAGAGCCACTGAGGAGGGCTGTCACAGAGGCCCCTTTTCCTGCTCTGAGAACAGGTTAAGGGAGTATGGGGGACCTCTGCCACCTCCTAGCTGCTTCCAGGAGCCACTTCTTTCAAGATGAGGCACTCTCCTGCTTGCCTGTTGCCATTTGGCTGCAAAAGGCCATTGCCAACATTCAATGAAGAAAAAGAAAGGGGCCTCACCTGTTTTCCCTGACACACCTGAGGCAGGTGGGTATGCCCAGGGTTCCTGCGGTAGAACCTGTACATCTGCCGACCCCCAGGCTATGCTGGCTTCATTTTATCTGTGTGATGAGGGTGGGGTGGGAATTACCAAGAGGTAATTACACAGGCCACCGACAAATTCTACAAGAGCTAGGTAGAAAAGCACTGTCTTGTCAGGCTGCCCAGCACCCAGCTCACACACACACATCTCTTGACAGCTTCCCCAAAGCAGGCTTTGAAGTCCAGGCTCCCCAGGAAGCCTGGGGTGGAGACTCTGCCAGGCTAAAGGACCTATCCCCAAAGGTGACACCCTCACCAGTCTCATCCTGACAATCTTGGATTATTTTTGCCCTGAAGTTTTGAAGTGGGAGACAGAGAGACAGCAGACAGTGTGTATTAACCACCTTTCCAGAGAGCATCAGCCCTCCAGACTGGGGCAGGTAAGACCTCCACTTGTGTGTTTTTCTCACTGATTGCCAGATGGGGGAAACAGCACTTGTGAGCATCTGCCTGTCTCCCCAGGTCCTGTTCAGAAACCCCATCTTTGCCTTTGGAGAGACTGCCCCGAGCACACAGGCCCAGCAACCACCATCTATGGCCCCCAGGACCTAATAACCTTCTACATAGGGTTCAGTGCATGTGAGCAGACACTGGACTTGATTCCTGCCCAACAGTCCCTGCCAGATACCCCATGCCCACCTCATTAAGAGAATGAAGACACACGTTCACACCCAGTCCATCATGGTGATAGAGTGGCTGGGGTCCTACTTTGCCACCCTTCAATGCTGGTTCATAATCAGCTGTCTGACCACGTTCCTACCCTGAGGTAGGACTTTGGGACATTGTCCACCAGGGTCACTGACCACTTTTAAAGTTCCAGAAACAGAGGGCCAGCTATTCCCCTGGAAGTTTGCTACATGGGATAAGCCAAGGCTTGCCTTCAGGAACAGGTTTCCCATCACATAGCTGCCCAAGTCCCAGGGCATCCATACGTTCATGTGAATACTACTTGCCACATCCACAGCCCATGCCAACCCCTCCTGGAGCCAGCCGAATGCTTGTTACTGGGCATGTGATAAGCCCAGACAGCTTCAGCCTTGCAGGACAACTAAGGGCATCTAGCAGCAGTAGCCAGAGAGCCTAAAGAAAGAAGTTAGAGGTGAAACCAGATGTTATGAGAGTACTTTAGTAGGCAAAATCGCATACTATAAAAATGCTTTAAAATACATCAGGAGAAGATGAGAAGACACAAATGAACAATTGCGTAGTGACACAGGGCTGTCAGAACACAAAAAAGAATCCACATAGTTTCCATCCTTTCCCCAAGAAAAGGAAAGCTCTAGGCCACCTCCTCCTCAGCACACTCCTCAAACTCCTCCTCCTCAGCCTTGGCATCCTGGTACTGCTAATTTTCAGACACCAGGTCATTCATGTTGCTCTCAGCCTCAGTGAACTCCATCTCATCCAAGCCCTCGCCCGTGTACCAGTGGAGGAAGACCTTGCACTTGAACATTGCTGTAATCTCTTCTGAGACATGCTTGAAGATTTCCTGGATAACAATGCTGTTGCCCATGAAGGTGGCCAACATTTTTAGCCCCTGGGGTGGGATGTGACAGATGGCTGTTTTTACGTTGTGGGGGAGCCAGTCAGCAAAGTAGCTGCTGTTTTATTTTGAATGTTGAACATTTGTCCATCCACCTCCCTCATGGGCATGCAACCCCTGAAAATGGCAGCCACCATTAGGTAGCAGCCATGACAGGGGCAGCCATCATATTCTTAGCATAAAACATCTGCTGAGTAAGCTCAGCCACAGTCAGGGCCTGGTAATGCTGGCTGCCCCGGCTGGTCAGTGGGGCAAAGCCAGGCATGAAGAAATGCAGCCTGGGAAATGGGACCATGTTCACAGACAGCTTCTGTAGGTCAGCATTCAGCTGACCTGGGAAGCCCAGGCACATGGTGACCCCACTCATGGTAGCAGATAACAGGTGGTTCATGTCACCATAGGTAGGTGTGGGCAGTTTTAGGGTTCTGGAATAGATGTCATATAGAGCTTCATTATCTATGCAAAAGGTCTTATCTGCATTTTCTATGAGTTTCTATGGTGGACTGACAGGGTGGCATTGTAGAGTTCCACCATGGTGTCTGACACCTTGGGCGAGGACAGGATGCTGAATGTGTTTATGATCCTGTCTGAATACTCCTCCCAGATCTTACTAACGAGAAGGGTACCCATCCCAGATGCAGTTCCCCTACCCAGGGAGTGGGTCAGCTGGAAACCCTGCAGGCATTCACAGCTCTCACACTGCTTTCAGACAATGTCCATCGCTGACTCCATCAGCTCCGCACCTTCTGTATAGTGCCCCTTGGCCTTGTTTCAAGCCCCACACTGACCTGTATGACAGTACAGTCAGTCACTTGAGTGCCAGGTGTATGGTCATCAGTGGTCACCACCACAATGCAAAATGGACCAAGTGTCACATGTGAGGTGAAAGCACCATTCATCCTTCAGGTGGAGCAAATGAAACCCCGTACCGCAGAGTTACAGGACAGCAGCCTCCCCTTTTAGAAATTAAGTCAGGACTCAAAACTCAGACATGCTAAGAGACCTCGCTGTAGGTGGCTCCTACCTATTTTCAGGGAAGAGAGTAGCCACGGCCCCAGCTCAGCTCCCTGCAGGGAGTTTATAACACTAGCTCCTCACCTTGAGGAGACGCCTGGGGCTTCCTCCCGAAGCCCATTTAGGAGAGGCAGATTGAGCCATTGGGAGAATAGGAGGATGTTCAGGGGCCCTGGCTGCACAATTCCCACAGCTATGACCTTCAGGAACTACTAGATGAGCTGCTCCGGCTAAGGAGCCGCACCGCAGTCCTCACTCGCAGCTCACCAAAGATGAGGTTGTCGGCCTGAAGATGAGCCCGAAGGGCCCCGAGCGCAGAGAGTCCATGGTGACCGGCTCCAGGTCCACGAGCACAGCGCAGGGCACGTACCAGCCACCTGAGTGGGACAGGAGGGTATTAGCGAGGGGGAGGGCCGCCGTTCCCAGGATGGCGATCGGAGAAGGTCTGGGTTCTCACCGCTGGCCTCGTTGTAGTACACGTTGATGCGCTACAGCTGCAGGTTGCTCTCCCCGTGGTAGGTGCCAGCGGAGTCAATGGGATGTTCATCAGAGATCACCCCCCAGAACTACAAGAGATTGGGTGGGGTCAGACAGACCAGGGCTGAGTCACGGAGGCCAGGGAGCTGGAGGCGCCCCAGCCCCTCTCCTAGCTCCTCTACCACCCCCACCCTCATCCGCAACCACATCCCTAGGCTGCCGTGTCCCTGGGGTCCACCCCTGCCGACTAGTCAGCCTCCCAGTTCCACTGCGTCCCCGGCAGGGAGCCCAGGGGCTGCAATTCAGGGGCACCGCCCAAGCCACTGCCACTGCCAACATCTTCCCTGGCCACCCAGTAGGCCGGAGCTGGGACCTCAGAGCCCCGGATGCCAACCTTGGCACCGATCTTCTTCCCGCACTGCCGGGTCTGCGTGAGCGCAATCTCCCTCATGGCCAAGGCGGGATTAGGGCGGCAGGAGAAATGCGAGAAGGAAGAGCAGATGTGCAGCGACCCAGCCCGCCCTCTGCCAACATTTAAATAGACCCTCGCCCGCCTCCCTCAACCTCGGATTGGGCTCCCAGAATAAGCAACAGCTTTACTTCCACACAGGTGTACCCACCTGTGAGTCCCTTGGAGCTGAACGTCTGCTGGGGAGCTCAGGTGGCCTTGCTGTGGTCCTTTCCACGTTGGGGAAAGCTGGTCAGCTGGAGAACTTCCTCCCTCGTCTTTACTAAGATTAAATCCCTAGCTGACATGAAACTGAATTTTCCTCCCATGTGGGAGGGGAAGCCTCTTATTTCAGTATTCACAGAGTGCCTTGCACCTATCCTAGACTGATGACATATTTTTGTACTTGATGAGTCTTTTCATCTATTGGGAGATCTGTGGTAGGAAAGGCCTTCCATATGTAAACACAACAAGACTTAATGGTAAGTTTTACTTTGGAGCAGTTCAAACCCTCAGTAAGTTATGGGTGTTAGAGATATTAGGCATTTGATTTAGCATGAGTCTTCTTTAGAGTAGGATTAGCCCTTTCACCTTTCCAGAGGACTGCGGTCTTTACGCAGAGTGAAAGTAATACTGGATTCCTAAAGCTGAGGATAGGTGTTGGGATACACTGAAAATGGACCATTGTCACTTTGCAGGCTTTTAGATTACTCAGACTGATAAGTTATTTCTTCTGGCAACGATCTAACCAGTGAAGGTATCAGTAAGAGTTAGCAAATATTTGAATCTCCTGCAGAAAGACATCTGAGTAAATTAGAGTTGCCAGTTCTCACCTGGATAGATTCATCAATATTGGACACGTTTAACTGGAGAAGGAGAAAATTGCTGGCCTTTGGGACATGTCAGGCGCAGAGCTCACAGGGGTGAGCCACCTGTTTTATTGTCTTGAAAAGATTTACCCCTATAAACAAATGAGATATTAACAGAAACAAAGAATCTCTTCTAGGATGAAAATAATCATAAAGTGCTGAATTATATTCCTATGATTGGTACTTGGCATTAGTAATTTATTACCATCGTTCAGCGGGCCAGAGGGGTCCTGGACTGAACTGCAATCCCTGGCCCAATTTTGTACTTCTTCAGAGTATTCTGACCCTATGTTCTGTGAATGCTAATCAGCACACCCATAGCTTAATTGGCCTTTTCAGTCCAGGGGCCTTGACTGCAGCATCTACCAGGGCATTTCCTTTTACATGGTCCGTCTCTGTTTTGATGACCTCTGCAATTAATTATAGTCAGTTTTGGCAGCAAAACAGCATTCTAAGAAGCTAAAAATCTGAATGATGTTCTATGGAAAAGCCCTTGGGAGCCAGGGGTAGTTACCCATTCCAAATTGCAGCGTAAGAATGAAGCACTAAAAAATCATAGTTGGAATCAGTGTAAGTGTTAACGTTTAAATGCTTTACCAACTGCAGGGGCCTAGTAAGTTCAATTAACTCAGCTTTCTGAGCTGAGGTAGAGGCCAGCAATGCTTGTGCCTTGATTCTCTTGTGCTAATAAGTATATCTAGCTCTTCTGTTTTCCCTGATGCAAAAAAGAACTTGCGTCTGTTAACCACTCTTCCTTGGGATGGTCAAGGGGCAAGGGGCTCATCTCTTGTAAGTCTGGCCTCCTAGAATAAATTTGTTTTATAACCTGTGACATGATTTTGCTGTGTCCCCAGTCAAATCTTATCTTGAATTGTAGCTCCCATAATTCCCATATATCATGGCAGTGACCCAGGGGGAGGTAATTGAATTGGGGGATGAGTCTTTCCCATGCTGTTCTCGTGACAGTGAATAAGCCTCATGAGATCTAATGGTTTGTTTATTTATTTATTTATTTATTTTATTTTTTTTATTTTTGAGACATAGTCTTTCTCTGCTGCCCAGGCTAGAACGCAATAGCATGATCTCAGCTCCCTGCAACTTCTGACTTCCAAGTTCCAGCTATTCTCCTGTCTCAGCCTCCTGAGTAGCTGAGATTACAGGTGCCCACCACCATGCCTGGCTAATTTTTGTAGTTTTAGTACAGATGGGATTTCACCATGTTTGCCAGGCTGGTCTCAAACTCCTGACCTCAGGTGATCCACCACCTTGGCCTCCCAAAATGATGGGATTACAGCTGGTGGCTTTATAAAAGGGAGTTTCCCTACACAATCTCTTTTGCCTGCTGCCATGTAAGAGATGTGACTTTGCTCCTCATTTGCCTTCTGCCGTGAGTGTGAGGCCTCCACAATCATGTAGAACTGTGAGTCAATTAAACCTCTTTTCTTTATAAATTACCCAGCCTCAGATATGTGTTTATTAGTAGCATGAGAATAGACTGATACAACCTGTATGCCAGAAAGGCTGGGAGCACCTGTGGACTCTGGCAGATAAGTAGCTGTGTTTATGGTTTGACAGGCTTTAAGAGTTATGTCTGGAGTGTCTAGCAATTAGGCCTGATACCTTCATAAATATTCTCCTATTATCCACTGGTGCCATTTAGCTTCTAGGAAGACCTTCCCTTGATGTGGGGTCAAAAACCTGTAGGTGCTGTCCTAATGTTAGTTTATTAGTTTTACCTACTAGAAAAGTTGTAGCAGCAATAGCTCTAAGACATTAAGACCACCCTGAGGCCACCTGGTCTATCTGCTTAGAAAATTAGGTTACTGGCCTTGGAATATTCCCCAGTTTTGTGACAAGATTACCGAAGGCCTATGCCTTGCTTTTTGGCCACATAAAGCACAAATGGTTGATCCAACCTGGGGACTCCCACAACTGCAGCAGAGCCCAATTTCTCCTTAAAAGTATTGAAGTTTTGCTTGTAGCTCTAATTACATTCTAGGAGCTCTAAATCTTTCTCTTTAGTGTATCATATAAGGGTTGGCTACATGTCCAAATCTGGGTACCCATAAGTAGCAGTACCCAGCCATCTCCTAAAACAGCCCAACAGTCATTTCTTGGACTGGGACCCTCACATGACTAAAATAACTTTTTATCTTCTAGGGATGTTGATCAGTTCCAAAGGTTAAGACAGATTCCAAATATTTAAGTCTTTCAGTCAAAATCTGAGCCCTGTATGGTGATATCTTATATTTGCAAATTCCCAGGAAATTTACCAATTTAACAGTTTTATTATTTGAGTCTTCTTTAGTTGGACTAGCAATGAGCAAGTCACCTGCATACTGAATAATTGTGTCCTTTGCAATCGTAGATTTCTTAAGTCCTTAGCTAGAGCATTTTCTAATAAGTGGGGGCTATCCCAGAACCCTTCAGAGATGCCTGTCCAGGTTAATTTTGAGGCTGAATGCATATACAGATCAGTCCATTCTAAGGCAAACATATTGTGAAACTGGATGCACTGAAATGCAGAAAAATTCATCTTTCAGGTTTAAGAATGTAAACCACTTTGCATCCCCTGGGACTTGGGTAAGTATTGGGGACAATGAGGTGTATGGAGACAACTGCGTTTATTAATGCTGTAAGGTTTCTGACAAATCTGTATTTTCCATCAGGCTTTTCATCTGGTAACATGCAAGTATTGTAAGGAGACTCTCATGGCCTTAATAACTCATATGACAATAATATGGCGATAAGGGTTTGAATTTCCCCTCATGCTTCTCGCCTTAAAATGTATTGTCTCTTCTGAGGGTGAGGAGCACTAGGCTGAAGTTGGATTTGAATGTGGGAGGTGTTTAGTGCATTTCCCAGAGCTTGTGTGGCCCAAACCTTAGGATTTACTTGAGACAACAGCTCAGGTGGTAAATGTGACAGCTCATTCTTAACTTCTTTTTCCCCTGAGGGGTCAGGAACAAAAGTAACACTTTCTCTGCTTTATGATCTGTGAAGGTGACCATGACATAGTCTCCTGATTCAATAAACCTCTCCCCAGTAAGAGGTCAGGCATTCAGACAGTACTAAAAAGGCAGGTGAGAAACACAGAATCCCTGGAGGACAACTTAGAAGATAAGAAAAGCAGTGTTTTTGGGCTTGTCCATCGTGAGAAGACAGGAGCCAATTGTATTTACTCAGGACGGAGTCATCTGTTCCCATACTTAATAAGAAGTTAATAATCCTACCTTCCACTTCAAGAGTCGGCTGAGGCTCTTCCATCTCTCGATAGGTAATAGTCCAATGAGAGCAGATGCAGGAAGTATCAGGCCCTACCACTTTTGGATCTGCTGGGTGCTGATGATGGCTCCCTTGGAAGCACAGTGTATTTCCTTCGGCAGTGGCTGACCTTCTTACAGAAGTCACATTGATTTATATCCAAGGCATAGTGGGCCAGAGGCACAGACTGGGACTTTTACCTTCTCACTTCCTCTGTGACGGCCAGGGGTTAAGGGGGCTGCCTCTGAAGGGGTGGAGAGCACAAGGCTGTAGCTAGAAGCTGGCCTCTTGGGAGGTTTGCTTTATTTTGTTTCCTCTGCCCTATTCCTGTGATGGAAAACTGCAAAAGCCAAGTCTAACAGCTGACCCATGGGAGTCTGGGTCCCTAAGCACTCCCTAAGGCTGCTTTCAGCGGCTTCCTGCAGATATCAGAAGCAGACTGGGCTATAAAATAAACTCCTAGCAATGTCGCAATGCCTGTCCCTTCTTGGAGTCGGGCAGTGTTAGTGTATTTCCTCAAGGTCTAAGTTATCCACCCTTGTAATAAAGCTAGGTATTCATCTTCTCCCTGAGCAATTTTCCAGATTTATAAAAATTAAAAAGTTACATCATGCATTTTTTTATTCCTTCAAGGAGTCAAATGATCATAATTTTTTCTCTGTATATCCCACTTTCTTCCTAATTGATTTCCCTTTTCTAGATCCTAATTCTCTTTTGGTTCCTGCTCAGGCACTGTTGTGCCTCCTACTTGATAGTTGCCATGTCTCTGGTTGCAGGCTGCCGCCCTATTAGCATGTGCTCTAGTCACTCCCATAATACGCTGCTTTTCTATCATGTGTCAGGTAAACATAAATGTATGCAAATCTTGCCTGGTCAGATCATACTTCAAGGTTAGCCTCTTAAATTTGTCTATGAATTTTCCTGGAACCTCTGAAAGCTGTTTCAGTTTTTCCTTGCATGTGGCTGATTCAGACATAGAAAAGGGTACATATAGCTATATAGTGTCCCTATTATCATTTGCCACTTCCCAGAGAGGGCAAAGATTCAACTTTGCCAGCTGATAAGAGACCCCAGGGCATGTTGTTCTGGTGAAGCTCGGGTGTTTTCAGGTATCTATGTAAGATAGGACTCGAAGGGCAGGGCAAAGATGATGTCTGGACACGAGATTACCCTGGAAAACTAGAAGGAATTAATAACATGTTGCACACCTCACCAGAACTGGAAGGAGCCTGACTGCGTTCTTATGGGGTGCTTGGACTGGCAGTGCAGAGTTCAGCCTCAGCTAAGAAAAGCCTGATATTAAGAGGCACTTGCATTGAAAAGGTAATCAATTATGTGCCGTCCCTATTTTGTCTTTTCTTCCATCAAACATATACAAGCTGATTTTAATTTTTTAATCCTGACCAAGCATCAGAGATGCCTGTGTATAATGTATTTCCTCCCCTTCACTTTCTCTTCTATAAAACAAATTAAGCTGCAAAAGAATGAGTCAGACCAAACAGGGGAAATGGGAAGGCTGTAACTTGTATATTGAAATGTATTAGTCCGTTTTCACACTGCTATGACAAAACTGACACACTTTCAGGGAAAAAATGACATGCTGGGTTTAGAAAGTAGGGTCCAGCTGCCCTATACCAGCTCTTCAAAGATGATCTTATGCTTAAGAAATAAGAGAAAACTCTTAAGCAAACGTCTCATGTTCTCCATATTGATGCTAATTGTTTGCAGAGGGTTGTCATAAAAGAGGTTGTCACTAAACAGGCATATCTGATCTTATCATGTAAGACTGTTAAATGCCACATTTCAACTTCTAGTCATAATGATGGAGAGGTTACTGCTGATCTTTTCTG
The DNA here is from genome assembly GCF_000001405.40 of Homo sapiens. Lineage (NCBI taxonomy): Eukaryota > Metazoa > Chordata > Mammalia > Primates > Hominidae > Homo > Homo sapiens. The sequence goes on from NC_000024.10 coordinate 17,525,019, forward strand.
ATAATTAAGGTAAAAAATACTAGGTTCCAAGACACCTCTTTTCTTCAGTGTCACTTGGACCAGTGGCAAATTAAATAAGCAATCAGCTAAAAGTCAGAGGATTATTGAGGAAAGTAAAAGCTAAACTGTTTTGGTCCTCTTTCATGGGGCAGCCTACAGACTACTACAAAACAGAGGCAGTGAGCCGAAAGGTGACAAGATGCAGAGCACTCAGGTGAGGGACAGAGAGCACCAGGTGGACAGTCCAAAAAGAGAAAGTGGCAAACATCTTGTTTAGCCAAGTCCATTCCTCTCAACATACCCCAGAGCCTCTAACCTTGTGAGCTTGGCGTTTAATCTGAGTATGACACCCCCAGGTCTCTAACTTTTTGGGCTAAGTCTCTCCCCCTAACATTATGCACTAGGGCCTCTCACTTTAGTAGTAGTGGATAATCATTCTTGCCTGCCAGAATGGCTTCACGACTCTAAAAGATGGCCTGCTTGCCAGGTGATTGATTCTGTATGGATTGTTTTCCTTGGAGTGGGGGTCTTGTCTTGGTGTCCCTTCAAGGTGTTGCTGAAAGATGTTGCTGGAAAAGAGGGTCCTGATACTGACCACAAAGTAGGATTCTTAGATCTTGTGTAGGAAAAAATTGAGGTGAATCAGAGAGCACAGTGAAAGAAGCAAGATTATTATAAGTGACTCCATTGCAGAGTTGGGCATCGTCAGAAAACAAAAGCAGGAATGCATTGTCTTTTATGAGTATCTCTACTTATAAGTAAGTATAAAGAGAAACAGTTATTAATAAACTTGGAAGGTGCAGATGTATTCACTAAAGTCAGGAGCTATTGGTTTTAACAATGATCATTACCCCATTGACCTAAGCTAGCTCATTAATATTATCTTTAAGGAAAAAATGCTGCACACCTAGGATATTTATACATTTTTCAGGCTTGGTGGAAACTGTCTTGTATGGCCATAAATACTCTGCAACTGTAATTTGTGGCCAGCTTAAAAATGTGGCTATTTTCAGACCATAAATATTAACCTTCTAGATGCTTTGTGAGTACCTAGGTACTCATATTAAGATAGAGTATTCCAGTTATGTTTATTAAATTAGAAGCTTGGTAACCATGACTTCCTCTAACAAAGCAAGCCTACTGCTCAAGGATAAAATTTATTTCTCAGGAATTTTGTGCATTTTGTTTGATGGAATTTGATATATTTACCAAAATGGCAGAAAAGAGTGAAATTAGTCCTCAAAGATTTCTCAGGATTAGATATAAAGTAAACAAAATGATTATAGTTAATATGCAAGTTGATACAATTGATATTCAAAAGAAATTTTGTTAGAAACATGAGATTTTTATTTATATTTATTTAATTATTGTTATTATTTTGAGACAGAGTCTTTCTCTGTTGCCCAGGCTGGAGTGCAGTGCACCGTCTCGGCTCACTGAAACCTCCGCCTCTGAGGTTCAAGTGATTCTCCTGCCTCAGCCTCTCAAGTAGCTACAATTACAGACATGCATCACCACACCCAGTTAATTTTTGTATCTTTAGTAGAGATGGGGTTTGTCTCTGTTGGCCGGGCTGGTCTCAAACACCTGACAGCAAATGATCTGTCCATGTTGGCCTCCCAAATTACTGGGATTACAGGCATGAGCCACCGCTTCCAGTCACAATGAGGTTTTTAAGTAATTCTAACTGATTTCCTGCTGTTGAGCAGGGAGCTGAGCAAATTCAACAGATCGTGAGCCTCAAGTAGGAGAAGACTGAGGCCAAACTCTGGAACACATGTGATTAATTACGTATAATTGAAACCAAATCAAATTTAATAAGGCTTTTAGTTTCAAGATGTTTCCATCATTTTGAAATGTGGTGTTATTCAGTGGAAAAGAAAAATAATGTTTATCTCCAGAGTAAAGAACAGGGTTCCCTGCAGGGATTGATTAACTGAGAGCTATGGCTCAGGATTAAAAATTCTTTTTCCCCTTATAAATTAAAAATTAATTTTTAAGCCTCCAGTCACCAAATGGACCCCTCTTCTTGGATAAGGACCTTCCAAAGTTAACCTGAAAAGCAAGTTCAAGCCATGGGTCACGCATACCTCATTATACTCTCCTCCCCTTGGTTTTAATTTTAATTTTGATTTTTAATTTATTTTTGTGGGTACACAGTTGGTGTATATATTTATAGGGGTACATGACATACTTTGATACAGGCATGCAGTGAGTAATACATAATAAAAAATGGGCTATCTATCCCCTTGAGCAATTATAGCTTGTGTTATAAAGAATCCAGTTATACTCTTTTAGTTTTTATAAAATGTATAGTTAAATTATTATTTACTGTAATCACCCAGTTGTGCTATCAAATACTGCCTTATTCATTCTTTCTAACAATTTTTTGTACCCATTTAGCATCCCCACTATCCTTCTCTTCCCCCACTGCCCTTCCCAGCCTCAGGTAACCCCCCTTATACTCTCTATCTCTATGACATCAATTGTTTCAAATTTTAGCAGTCACAAATAAGTGAGAACATGTGACATTTGTTTTTCCTGTGCCTGACTTATTTCACTTAACATAAAGACTTTCAGTTTCGTTTACGTTATTGCAAATGACAGACTCTCATTCTTTCTTATAGCTGAATAGTATTCCATTGTGTATATGTACCACATTTTCTCTAGCCAGTCATCGTTGATTGACGTTTAGGTGTCTTCCAAATCTTGGCTATTACCAGCATTTGTTTTTGACTGACTTCTGGATAAAAGCCACCTTACTGGAGTGAAATGATATCTCATTTTTGGTTTGATTTGCATTTCTATAATAATCAGTAATGTGGAGAATCTTTTCATTTGCCTGTTTGCCATTTGTATGTCTTCTTTTCATAAATGTCTATTTAAATTTTTTGTCCACTCTTTAATTAGGTTACTACATATTTTTCTATAGAATTTTTTTAACTCAATATAATGTAGTGTATTAGTCTGTTTCTGCACTGCTATTAAAAAAAAAACAGAGACTGGATTATTTATTAATCTATTTATTCATTGAGATTAAGTCTTGCTCCATCACCCAGGCTGGAGTGAAGTGGTGCGATCTCGGCTCACTGCAACCTCCCCTCTGGGGTCCAAGCAATTATCTGCCTCAGCCTCCTGAGGAGCTGGGATTACAGGCACCAGCCACCATGCCCAGCTATTTTCTTTATTTTTAGTAGAGACTGTGTTTCACCATCTTGGCCAGGCTGGTCTTGAACTCCTGACCCTGTGATCCACCGACCTCGGCCTCCCAAAGTGCTGGGATTATAGGCGTGAGCTACTGTGCCTGGTGAGATTGGGTAATTTTTAAGGAAATAGGTTTAATTGACTCACATGGCTGGGGAGGCCTCAGGAGACTTACAATCATGGCAGACAGGGAAGCAGGCACCTTTACATGACAGCAGGTGAGACAGCCTGTATGCGAAGCAAAAGGGGAAGAGCCCCTCATAAAACCGTCAGATCTCATGAGAACTCATTATCAGAAGAAGAGCATGGAGGAAACCACTTCCATGATCCAATCACCTTCTCACCTTCTACCAGGTCACTCCCTCAACACCTGGAGATTAATTCAATATGAGATTTGGGTGGGGACACAAAGCCTAACCGTATCATGTGGTTATAAATTGCTTTTCACATGGGTAATTTACAAATGTTTCCTCCTATTCTGTGGGTTTTCTCTTCACTTCGTTTATTGTTTCCTTCACTTTAAAAAAGCTTTCTGACTTGCTGTAATTCCATTTGTCCATGTTTGCTTTTGTGGTCTGTGCATATGGGGCACTACTTAAGAAATTTTTGCCCAAACCAATGCTTTAAAGAGTTTCCCCATTTTTTTGTGTGTGAAACTTTGATAGTTTGAGGTGTTAAGTTTAAATCTTTAATTATTTTAATTTGATTTTTTTATGTGGCAAGAAATATGGTTCTAGTTTCATTCTTCTGCCTATGGCTTGCCAGTTTTCCCAGCCCTACTTATTACAGAAACTGTCTTATTTTTTGTTGTATGTTCTTAGCACTTCTGTTGAAAATAAGTTTAGTTTAGCTGCATGAGTTTGTTTCTAAGTTCTCTATTTCATTCCTTGGGTCTTTATGTTCTATTTTTATTCTAGCATCATGCTGTTTTAATTACTATAGCTTGATGGTATAATTTAAAACCAGGTAATGGGATTCCTCCATTTTTGTTTTATATACTCAGCATAGCTTTGACTATCATGGTGTTTTGTGGTTCCATATACATTGCAGAAGTTTTTTCTATTTCTGTGAGGAATGTCATTGTTATTTAGATAGAGATGGCATGAAATGTATAGATTCCTTTGGATTGTATGGACATTTTTAAAAATACTGATTCTTCCAACCTGTGAACAAATAAATATCTTTCCATTTTTTGTGTCCTCTTTCATTTCTTTTATCAGTATTCTACAATTTTAATTGTTGAGAACTTTTATTTCTTTGGTAAATTCGCACACATTTTGTTTTATTTATGGCTGTTGCAAATAGGATTACTCTTCTGAATTCTTTTTCAGTTTGTTGATGGTTGGCATATAGAAATCCTACTGATTTGTATATGTTGATTTTGTATTCTGCAAATTTACTGAAGTTATCACTTCTAACAGTTTTTTGGTGGATATATTAGGCCATTCTCACATTGCTATAAAAATAGTTGGTGACTGGTTAATTTATAAAGAAAATAGGTTTAATTGGCTCATGTTTCTAGAGGCTGTACAGAAAGCATAGCCCTGGCCCCTGCTTCTGGGGATGCCTCTGACAACTGACAAGGTGAAGAAAAAATCCGGTGCTTGCACATCACATGGTAAGTGCAAAGGCAAAGGGAAAGTGCTACGCACTTGTAGATGACCAGCTCTCATGAAAACTTACTGTTGTGGGAATGGCACCAAAGCAAATGATGCCAAACTCTTCATGGAAATCCTGCCCTCATGATTCCATCACCTCCCAACTAGGCCCACTTCCAACGTTGAGGTTTACATTTCAATATAAGATTTTGGTGGGAACACACACCCAAACTATATCATTTTGCCCCTGGCCATTTCAAATCTCATATCCTTCTCATATTTCAGAATACAATCATGACTTCCCAATAATCCCCAAAGTCTTAACTCATTTCAGACTTAACTCAAAAGTCAAAAGTCTCATCTAAGACAAAGCTAGTTCCTTCCTCCTATAAGCCTATAAAATAAAAACAAGTTAGGTAATTCGAAGACATAAATTGGGTATAGACATTGGGTAAATATTCCTATTCTAAAAGGAAGAAATCAGTTAAAAGAAAGGGGCTGCAGGACCCATGCATGTCTGAAACCCAGAATGGGAGTTATTGAATTGTAAGACTCCAAAATAATTATTTTTGACTCTGTGTCCCATTTCCAGGACACACTAATGCTTTGGGAAGTTTCAACCTTGTGTCTTTGCATGGTTTAGCCCCCATGGCTGCTCTCACGGGCTGTTACTGTGTGCCTCTAGCTTTTCCAGGTGCAAGGTGCAAGCTGTACAGGATCTACCATTCTGGAGTCTGGTGGACAGTGATCCTCTCCTCACAGATCTACTAGGTCATGCCCCATTAGGGAGCCCACATGGGGACTGTAACCCCACATTTCTTCTCTGCATTGATTTAGTAGAGGTTCTCCATGAGGGCTCCCCTCTGCAACATGCTTCTGCCTGCACACCTTGGCTTTTTCATACATCCTTTTTGAAATAAAAGTGGAAGCTCCAAATTCTCAACTGTTGCATTTTGTACACCCACAGGCCTAACACCACATGAAAGCTAGCAAGGCTTATGGATTGCACCTTCTGAAGCAGTGAGTATAGTTGTAACTGGGCCAATTTGAGCTACACCTGGAGCATGAGCAGTGGCCAGGATTCAGGGAGCCATGTTCCAAGGCTACTCAAGGCAGCAGGTGCTGGGTCTGATCTCAGAAACTATTGTCTTCTTTTAGGCCCCAGGGTCTGTGATGGGGGGCTGGCTTTTAGAATTCTAAAATGCCTTCAATTCCTCTTTCCCATTGTCTTGGCTATCAACAATTGCTTTTTTTTTTTGGGTTGTACAAATATCTCTAACAAGTGGTTGCTCCATAGCCTGCTTGAGTTCCTCTCTTATAAAAGCTATTTATTTTTCTGACACTTAACTAGACTACAAACTTCTCAAGCTTTTACACTATGCTTCCATCAAAAGTATAAGTTACAAATTTTTGTTTTGTTTTGTTTTTTTGCTCCAACATGTGAACACAGGTTGATAGAAGCAGCCAGGACACATCTTGAATGCTTTGCTGCTTAGACATTTTTCCAACAGAAACCCTAAATCATCACTTTCAAATTCAAACTTCTGTATATCCCTAGGGCATGACAGACATTCAGACAACCATTTTGCTAAGATGACATGCATAACTTTTGCTTCAGACCTAATAAGTTTCTAATTTTCATCTGAGAACTCCTCAGCTCAGCCTTCACTGTCCAGATCACTATCAGCATTATGGTCACAGCCATACAACCAGGCTCTAAGAAGATCTCAACTTTCCCTAATTATTCTGGCTTCTTCTGTGTCCTACAGACTCCTCCAACTTTTGCCTGTTTATCCAATAACAAAGTTAATTCCACATTTTCAAGTATTCTTATAACAATTTTCCACAATTTGGTGCCAATTTTCTCTATTTATCTATTTTTGCATCACTATAAATACCTGAGACTGGAAAATTTATTTTTAAAAAAGGAGGTTTAAGCGGCTTGTGTCTCTACAGGCTATAGAGAAGATATAGCACTAGCATACACTTCTGGGAAGGCCTCTGGAACTTTACAGTCATGGCAGAAGTTTAAGCAGAATCTTGCATATCACAGGGCAAAAGGCAGGAGCAAAAAACAGAGAGGTGAGTTGTTACACACTTTTAAATAACCAGATCTTATGGGAACTCACTCACTATCATGAGGATAGTACCAAATGGGATGGTGCTAGGCCATTTGTGAGTAATCCACCCAGATGGTTAAATCACCTTTCATCAGGCCCACCTCCAACATCGACAATTACATTTAAATATGAGATTTGGGAGAGGATACATATTAAAACTCTATCAGATGAGTCTTTATATTTTTTCAAATATAAAATTATATCATCAGCAAAAAAGATAATTTGACTTATTTTCCAATTGGGATGGCTTTTATTACTTTCTCTTGTCTGATTGCTCCAGATAGGACTTTCAGAATTATGTTGAATAACCATGGTAAAAATGGATATTCTTGTCATCTTCGAGATTTTAGAGGAAAGGCTTTTAGTTTTTTCCCCACCAAGTATGATACTAGCTGTGGGTCTGTCACATATAACTTTTATTATGTTGAGGTATCATTCCATACCCAGTTTTCAAAGGGCTTTTAATTATTAAGGAATGTTAAATTTTATCAAATGATTTTTAGCATAGTTGAAGTGATTATATGGGTTTTGTCCCTCATTCTGTTTTTTTGTTTTTGTTTTTGTTTTTTTTTTACGCCGTCTCCTTCTTTCACCCAAGCTGGAGTGCAATGGCATGATCTTGGCTCACGGCAACCTCCACTTTCCAGGTTCAAGTGATTCTCCTGCCTCAGCCTCCTGAGTAGCTGAAATTACGGGTGCCTACCATGGCGCCTGGCTAATTTTTGCATTTTTTGTAGATATGGGGTTTTGCCATCTTGGCCAGTCTGGTTTTGAACTCCTGACCTCAGGTGATTCACCCACCTCAGCTTCCCAAAGTGCTGGGATTACAGGCATGAGCCACTGCACCTGGTCGCTTCATTGTGTTTATATGATATATCACATTGATTAATTTGCATGTTGCACTATCTTTGCATGTCTGGGATAAATCCCACTTGCCCATGATGGATTATCTATTATGTAATTATTATTATGTATATTATCTATTATGTAAATATATTATGTAATTATACATAAATATAATTATTTATGTATTGTTTAATTCAGGTTTCCAGGTTTTTTGCAAATGTTTGCATCATTATTCTCATATATTGGCCCGTAGTTTGCTCTTTTAATGTGTCTTTGTCTGGTTTTGATATCAGTTTAATACTAGCCTCAAAGAATGAGTTTGAAAATGTTCTTTCCTTCTCTATTTTATGCCTGGTCCTGCAGACTTTTTTATTATGGCTTTAATTTTGTTATTTATTATTGGTCTGTTCACGTTTTTTATTTTTTCCTAGTTCAATCTTGGTAAGTTGTTTGTGTCCAAGAATTGATTTCCTCTAGGTTTTCTAATTTGTTGGCATACAATTGCTCACATTAGCCACTAATGATCCTTTGATTTTCTGAAGCGTTACTTGTAATGTCTCTTTATCAACTCTGATTTTATTAATTTGGTATCTTCTCAGTTCTTCAGTTAGCCTCTGTAAGTATTTGTCAATTGTTTTACTTTTCAAAAAAGTCAACATTTTGTTTCATTGATTTTTTGCATTGTTTTCTTCATTTTAACTTTATTTCCACTCTAATCTTTATTATTTCTTTGCTTCTAATTTTGAGTTTGGTTTGGCCTTTTTATTCTATTTAATTAAGATATATTGTTAGGTTATTTTAAGGTTTTCTAATTTTTATGTATGCACTTATAGTTTTAAATTTTCCTTTTTATTAGTACCTCTTTTACTATATTCTATAGGTTTTGCCATGCTATGTTTCCATTATCATTTGTTTCAAGAAATTTTTCTACTTTCTTTTTAACTTTTTTATTGACCTACTGATTATTCAGTGGCATATTGTTTAATTTTCAAGTGTTTGTATAGTTTCTGAAATTCTTTTTTTTTTTTTTATCGATTTCTAGTTTTATTCCATTGTGGTCAGAGAAAATCCTTGATATTACTTCAATTTTTTGAATGTTTTTAGATACGTTACCTAAGTTATGGTCTACCCTTGAGATCAAACCATGTACTGAGGAGAAGAATGTGTATTCTGTAGCTGTTGGATGAAATTTTCTGTAAATATCTATTAGGTTAATTTGTACTATAGTGCAGATTAAGTCTGATGTTTCTTTGTTGATTTTCTGTCTGGAAGGTCTATCCAATGACTAAAGTTGGGTGTTGAAGTGTCCAGCCATTATTGTATTGTGGTCTCTTTCTTTACATCTCTTATAATATTTGCTTCATTTATATAGGTGCTTTAGTGTTGGGTGCATATATATTTCCAGTTATTACATCTTCTTGATTAATTGACCCCTTTATTATTATATAATGACCTTCTTAATCTCCTCTTACAGTCTTTTGTTGAAATCTATTTTTGTCTGGTAAAAGTATAGCTATTTCTGCTTTTTTTGTTTCTATTGGCATGGAATAACTTTTACTATGCTTTTATTTTCAGTCTAAATGCATCTTTATAGGTAAAGTATTTTTTTTTAGGTCACAGATTATTGTCTTGTGCCTCTATCCATTAATCCATTATTTGTCTTTTGATTGGAGTATTTGGTTCATTTACATTCAAACTTAGTATTGATAAGCACTTACTCCTGCCATTTTGTTATTTGTTTTCTGATTGATTTTTGTCCTCTCATCCTTCTTTTCTTTCTTCCAGTCTTCCTTTTAGTGAAGGTGATTTCTCCTGTAATATAATATAATTTCTTCCTTTTTACTTTTTGTACAACTGTGATATGCTTTTTAATTTGAAATTATGATTAGGCTTGAAAATAACATCTTATAACACATCGTTTTAGACTGTGAACAATTTAACCCTGATTGCATAAACAAAGAAACAAGCAGAGCAACTAACAAAAACTTTACACTTTGATTTCATTGCCATTCTTTTAAACTTTTTGTGGTTTCTCTTCATTCCCGATTTTACTGTCTATATCTTGGAAATATCTTGTAGTTATTTTTGTAATTGGTTTATTGCTTACTGTTTCTATTTGAGATTTTTGCACAACATAATTACCATGTTATAATATTCTGTGTTTTTCCGTGTGCTATTACTAGTGAGTTTTGTACCTTCAGATGATTTCTTATTGCTCATTCACTTTTTTTTTTTCAGGTTAAGAACTCCCTTTAGCATTTCTTGCAGGACATGTCTGGTGTTAATGAAATCCCTCGGTTTTTGTTTCTCCAGAAAAGTTCTTATTTCTCCATCAAGTTTAAAGGATGTTTTTGCCAGATACATTATTCTAAAGTAAAAGTCTTTTTTTCTCTTCAGGTTTTTAAAAATGGCATGCCATTCTCTCAGCCTGTAAATTTTCCCCTGAAAGGTCTGCTGTCAGATCTACTGGAGTTCCACTGAATGTTATTTGTCTCTCTTCTCTCACTGCTTTTCGATTCATTTCTTTATCCTTAACCTTTGGGAGTTTAGTTAAGTGCCTTGAGGTGGTCTTCTTTGGGCTATATCTGCTTGATGTTCTGTAACTTTCTTTTACTCAAATGTTGATATCGAATGCTGGGAAATTGTTTAATATTATTTAACACTATTTCTTTAAATAAATGTTTAACTCATCTCTTTTCAATCTCCTCTTTAAGGCCAATAACTCTTAGATTTGCTATTTTGAGGCTAATTTTTAGGTTTTGGCAGCATGCTTTATTTTTTATTCTTTTTTGTCTCCTCTGACTTTATATTTTCAAATAGTCTGACTTCAAGTTCACTAAATCTATCTTCTTCTTGATCAATTGTTTTAAGTAATTCTTCAGTATGACAACTGCATTTTCATTTCTTTTTTTTTTTTTTTTGCTTTATTCTTTTTATTTCAATCTCATTGTTAAATTTATCTGATAGAATTTGGAATTTTTCGCTGTGTCCTATTGCATTTCTTTGAATTACCTCAACCAGCTATTTTGGATTTCCTTTATGAAAGGTCACATATCTCTGTTTCTCCAGGATTTGTCCCTGGCACCTTATTTAGCTTGTTTGGTGAGGCCGTGTTTTCCTGGATGGTCTTGATACTTGTAGATGTTCATCTATATCTGGGCATTGAAGAGTTTCCTACTGTAGTCTTGAAAGTCTGGGCTTGTTTGTGCCCATTATACTTGGGAATGCTTTCCAGGTATTCAAAGAGACTTGGGTCCCAACCGAATAACACAGTAGTTTATGTAAACACATACAGGTACTGCCTTGGTTGCCTTGGATTCACATCAGGAAAAATTCTCTTGATTTATCAAGTAGAGTCCCTTGTTCTCTTCCCTTACTTTCTCTCAAACCAGCATAGTCTCTCTCTCTGTGCTTAGGCATGTGGAGCTGGTGTTGCAGCAACATGAGAAACCCTGTGGCCACCAGCACAAAGACTGTGCTGGTTCACATCTCAGGTAGGCACAGAACTTGAGTCTCACCCAAGGCCCATTCTAACCACTACTTAGCTACCATATAAGTTTACTCAAAGCCCTAGGACTCTATGATTAATAGATGGCAAAGCCAGCCAGATTTGTGTCTCTGCCTACAGCGTGGCAAGTTCCCTGTAGCCATGAGGGGGTCCCTAGATGCTAGGGAGCCAGAGATTAAAGTATAGAATCTTCAAAATTTACCTGCTCTTCTATTTTACTGTAGCTAACCTGGCATTTAGGGCATAAAACAAAGTATTTTCTACCCTTCTTTCCTCTGTCTGCAGGCAGAGGAGTCTCTTCTATGACTGCCAACACCACCGGCCCATGGGGTAGTTCTGCCAAATCATCATCAATTTCTCACTTAAAGCCCAAGGACTCTTTAGTTAGCTTGTGATAAATTCTGCAATGCCTGGGACTCGACCTTTGGCCCAGGGCAAGTACAGAAATGCTGACCAAGACCTTAGGTCTGGACTCAGGGACTCTACGAATCTGCTTGGTGCTCTAACCCACTGTGGCTGAGCTGGTATATGAGGTGCAACACAGCGTTCCCTTTACTTTCCCCCCTGCTTGTCTCAAATGGAAGAAGTCTTTCACCATAGCTACCACAGTTGGAAATGTGCTGGGTCACACCTGAAGTTAGCACTTCTCAGAGCCCTATACCCATGGTGTATCACTGGGTATTACCTGGGTATCACTGTTTTTTATTCTGGGTACAGAGGTTCTTTAGTCAGCAGGTGATGAATTCTGCCAGGTCTTTACTGACATGGCAGCACTGACTTTAATGTTAAGTCCTTCAGTCATTGTGCTCTTCCTCTCCCAAATTCACAAGTTTCTCTGTGCTGTGTGGCTGCTGCTGGGTGGGGGTAGGGGGAGTGGTATTGTGACCACTCCCTTAGCTGCTCTGACTGGTGTCTCAGTAGTCCACATTCTCCCCAGGCTCCACATTGCACTCGCTCTGAGCCAAGCTCAGCAGTATGACTTGCCTAATAATTGAAGTCCTTGTGGCCTAGACTGCCCCTTAAGTTCTCTTAGGGTCCAATAGCTCTTCGACTCATGTGGCAAGGCTTGTAAAGACTCAAGCTCCCAACATTGAGATGGGAGATTTTCATCTTGCTAGGGCAAATCAAAATGTTCTATTGGCAGATGTCAGCTGAGTACAATCTGGGTCTGCTTTTTACTGTGACAGGGTAGTACTGAGTTTATTTCAAAGCCTCACAATCTGTGCTCTCCCTTTCCCAAACATACAATCTCTGCACCACGTGGCCACTACTGGTGGTTGAAAAAGAGGTGGCATCAGTGTTTCTAGACTGTCATTTTTTTGTCTTCTCCAAAGTCTCTTTCAGTGATATGAAGTTAATACCAGGTACTGTGATTGCTTGCCTCATTTTTGGTCCCTTTGATAGTGCTTCTTGAATATAATAAGTTGTGAAAATTTGGTGTTTGGGTATGGGGGACAAGTGACGTAGACTTCTATTCTGTCTTCTTGGTCTCTGCCTTAAATTTTTTAGATTCAGGAAGTACTTTTGCAGGTTTGTTACATGGATATATTGTGTAATGCTGAGCTATGTGGGATATTACTGATCCCATTACCAAGGTAATGAGCATAGTACTCATAGTTTCTCACCCCCTGCCCTCCTCCTTCCCTCCTTCATCTAGTAGTTCTCAGTGTCAATTGCTGACATCTTTATATTCATGTTTAGATCCCACTTACAGGCAAGAACATGTGGTACTTGGTTTTCCATTCCTGTATTAATTTTCTTAGGATAATGGCCTACAGATGCATCCATGTTGCTGCACAGGACTTGATTGTATTCTTTTTAATGTGTGCATAGTATTTTATGGTGTTGGATATTTCTATCCAATTTTTGATTCACACGTAAGTTAATTTCATGCCTTCCCTAATGTGAATAGCAATATGATGACATACAAGTGCATTTGGGGTTTCTTTTTAAAAATTTTTTAATTTTCTTTTGGATATATGCTCAATAATGGAATTTGTGGTTTAATGGTACTTCTGTTTTAAATTCTCTGAAAAATCTCCAAACTGCTTTTCACAGTGGGAAAACTAATTTACACCACAGTACATAAGCATTTTATTTTCTCTGAAGTCTAACCAGAATTTATAATTTTTTACTTTTTCTTAGTAGCCATACTGAATAATATGAGAAGTTATCTTACATTGATTTGCATTTCTCTGATTATTAGTGATGTTGAACATTAAGAAAACCATGCCATTAAAACATTGGCAAGGGACATAAGCAGACACTTCTCAAAAGAAGACATATGAGTGGGATTCTTATTCTATCGCAATAAGCTGTCTTTCTTTTGAAAAATACAAAATCAGACCATTTGAAAATTCCCTTTAATTGTAGTGATTGACAGTATGCTTCCCCTTCTCTATCTCATTTTCTTATTCGTGAATTTTTTATGATCATTATGAATCCACTCAGCAGAGTAACCTCCGTTCTTAATCTGTGTGAATTGTGCTGATGAGCTAGTCAGCTCTCTTAAAATCACCAACAAGGGTTTTAAATTTCCTAGTTAGTAATATATTTTTGGCATGCCACAGGATACTCTTAGTACGATGTCTTCTGATCCACGCATTATGGATTGTGGTGATTAGTTTTTTAGATTTCTATAAGCTTTGAAATTAAGAGGTATATATCTAAAATAAATTGGACTTCATACTCTTTCCACGTTTATTGGGTTTGTTAATTATTCCATAGAAAACAGTTGAAAGACTTTTGTAGAATTCAATTCTGTTTTACCATATTTAGGGTTAAAAGAAGGGAATTATATTGATGTAACTGAGAGACTGAATTAACCTGTCATCACATGTGATTTTTCTGGAGTTTTTTAATGTTAGTGACATCATTTTCAATATGTCAATGCCTAGCTTGGGTTTCTAGGGGAGACATGAGTAGCTAGTACTATCCGTCTAAAATATAATGACAAGTGGAGTTGAATCTCCCAGTTCTTGAATCTGTGCTGGTCACAATGACTTGCTTTACCAATAGGATGCAGCAGAAGTCAAATTCTAGGACCTCCAAGCCTAGGTCATAAGAAGCTTTGTAGTATTTCTCTGTGTGTCTTGGGACCAACTACCATGTTCTGAGGACTCCAGGTAACATGGAGAGGCCAGATAGGCACCACACACAACAGCCAATAGGCACTGTCAGCCATGTGAGTAACCCATCTAGGCTCTTCAGCCTAGTTGAGTTTTCAGGTAACTTCAGTAGCAGCAACCAATAGCAGCTGCAAGACAAACTCCAAAACAGAACTGTTGTAGCTCCCATCAACCCACAAAACCTTGAGAAATAATGTTATTTAAAATTACTAAATAAAAATAACAATAAAAATATTAAACAATAAATAATTCCTTAAGTTTTGGAATGGCTTGCTATTCAGCAACAGAGAGCTAGAATAAGTTCTAAATATTTCACAATACTGAATGAGTATAAGTTTAGTCGTGTAATATACTTCTATATTTTAAAGCCATTGACATTTCTGGACAGAGTGTGAAAGTGAGCACTGATCAAATGGTTCCCAAGAGAAGTTGCCTATTCTATCTCAAAATCATCATTTACCAAAGGGAGCTGTATTTTGCTTTTGGAAAATACACTTTTAAAAGTTCATTTGAAAAGAAAACTAACAATTGTTTAGAAAGGCACATGCTACAGTCCCACCAACAGTGTAAAAGTGTTCCTATTTCTCCACATCCTCTCCAGCACCTGTTGTTTCCTGACTTTTTAATGATTGCCATTCTAACTGGTGTGAGATGGTATCTCACTGTGGTTTTGATTTGCATTTCTCTGATGGCCAGTGATGATGAACATTTTTTCATGTGTTTTTTGCCTGCATAAATGTCTTTTTTTGAGAAGTGTCTGTTCATGTCCTTCGCCCACTTTTTGATGGGGTGGTTTGTTTTTTTCTTGTAAATTTGTTTGAGTTCATTGTAGATTCTGGATATTAGCCCTTTGTCAGATGAGTAGGTTGTGAAAATTTTCTCCCATTTTGTAGGTTGCCTGTTCACTCTGATGGTAGTTGCTTTTGCTGCGCAGAAGCTCTTTAGTTTAATTAGATCCGATTTGTCAATTTTGGCTTTTGTTGCCATTGCTTTTTGTGTTTTAGACATGAAGTCCTTGCCCATGCCTATGTCCTGAATGGTAATGCCTAGATTTTCTTCTAGGGTTTTTATGGTTTTAGGTCTAACGTTTAAGTCTTTAATCCATCTTGAATTGATTTTTCTATAAGGTGTAAGGAAGGGATCCAATTTCAGCTTTCTACATATGGCTAGCCAGTTTTCCCAGCACCATTTATTAAATAGGGAATCCTTTCCCCATTGCTTGTTTTTCTCAGGTTTGTCAAAGATCAGATAGTTGTAGCTATGCAGCATTATTTCTGAGGGCTCTGTTCTGTTCCATTGTTCTATATCTCTGTTTTGGTACCGGTACCATGTTGTTTTGCTTACTGTAGCCTTGTAGTATAGTTTGAAGTCAGGTAGTGTGATGCCTCCAGCTTTGTTCTTTTGGCTTAGGATTGACTTGGTGATGCGGGCTCTTTTTTGGTTCCATATGAACTTTAAAGTAGTTTTTTCCAATTCTGTGAAGAAAGTCATTGGTAGCTTGATGGGGATGGCATTGAATCTGTAAATTACCTTGGGCTTTCAACCATTGTGGAAGTCAGTGTGGCGATTCCTCAGGGATCTAGAACTAGAAATAACATTTGACCCAGCCATCCCACTACTGGGTATATACCCAAAGGACTATAAATCATGCTGCTATAAAGACACATGCACACGTATGTTTATTGCGGCATTATTCACAACAGCAAAGACTTGGAGCCAACCCAAATGTCCAACAATGATAGACTGGATTAAGAAAATGTGGCACATATACACCACGGAATACTATGCAGCCATAAAAAATGATGGGTTCATGTCCTTTGTAGGGACATGGATGAAACTGGAAATCATCATTCTCAGTAAACTATCACAAGAACAAAAAACCAAACACTGCATATTCTCACTCATAGGTGAGAATTGAACAATGAGATCACATGGACACAGGAAGGGGAATATCACACTCTGGGGACTGTGGTGGGGTGGGGGGGTGGGGAGGGATAGCATTGGGAGATATACCTAATGCTAGATGACGAGTTAGTGGGTGCAGCGCACCAGCATGGCACATGTATACATGTGTAACTAACCTGCACAATGTGCACATGTACCCTAAAACTTAAAGTATAATAAAATAAATAAATAAATAAATAAATTAAAAAAAAAGAAAGGCACATGCTATTTTGAAAAAACATTTGAGAGAATCAGAAAAGTGTAAACTTTAAGCCTCTAATCATATTTGTATGCTATTTAACCCATAAATATGAAGTCTGATGGCAAATATGTTTATGTTACACTGACTTTTGCATAAATAAGTTAAACAAACAGTTTTCTTTTTAAGTGATAGGGCTTATAATAGGTATAATGTTAAGATGGCTGCAGTGAATGGGCTCATCACCATAATAATATTTTCTCTTTAATACTTTTATGGAATATTAAGTGAGAACCAGAGAGTCTAAAACTGGGTTACATAGCAGTAATAAAATCAGAGTGACACTTAATTTGCAGCAGCAAGATTGGAATTCTTGCTGTTGAGGTTGGTGGTAGCAAACTCAATTATGGGTGGTTTCTGCTTCATGCTTAGGTGGTGTGTTGAAAGATTTCCTCTTTAGAATTTTCAAACACTTCCTGAGTAGAGCTGTTTAAAATAAAAACAAAACCCTCTGATTTTGAATTTAGCCAATTTATTTTTAAAATTTGTACATATGTTTCTAATTTTTAAACTGTGGCTTTCATGTAGACAGAAATTATATCTTATACCTCTTTTTCTTCGGCAGTGGTGTGACTGGCACCTAGTTGAATTGCCAAGTTTCTTGAATAAGTAAAGTAAAATTATACCAGAAGTAAACTCTTACATGTATCAACTTTACTCAGAAAATATATTGCTAAGTAAGACGTATGAATCAATTCACTCACTTATTTAACAAACATTTATTAAGTGACTACATTATGCTATGAGCTAGGAATATGGCAATAAACAAATCTCACCTTGCCTCAAACTTCAGTGGATCCAGAAGTCTCTAGAAGTTTAATTCTTTCTCAATCAGCAATTCCTCTTCACTGAAGACTTGACAAGAAGGTTTGAGAAGGCAAGAGTGTGTGAACTCAGCAGATGTTTGTGATGCACCTACTGTGTGCCAGAAGCTGTAGTGTCAAAGAATCTACCTGTCTCCTAGGAAAGGTGAACACTAAAAACATTATTTTAAGCAACAAAAAAAATTCCAAGTATGCCAAGTGATGGCGAGAGAAAGCACTGGGTCCCAAGAGTATAATGGGCACTGAGCCTAGTGTGGGGTCCAGGCATCCCTGGCATTGTGCCCTCCTAGGTCATGGTTGTCCCTCCTTGTTGCTCCTGCTGTCCTCTTCAGTTACATGTTATGTGCTGCTTGATGCTCTGCATTGATGTCCACAGGGCTCAGATTTCCCTAGTGGAGTGCTTGGGCCATTCTTGTCATATGGCTCTGAAGACTTTGTTCACAGCGTGTACTTGCCAGATGGGGAAGCCAGAGATCTGGGGTCCTCTGTTGAGGCCACTCTCACCCCAATTATCTTCCCTGACATACCTAACAGATGAAGCTCAGGTGAGCGATGAATGTCAGGCCACAATGTGGACCATGTACAATTCTTCAAGTTCCAGCTTTAACTCTCTTTCTTATTTCTCTCTTATGACAGTATATTTAGATGGAAGTAAATGAAAATAATGTCATTAGGGGATAAGATTAAAATATATCCCACTTGCAAAAAAAGAAGTAGATTATTTGTGAACTGCAGTACTTTATTTTTAGTGAGAAATCACCTTAAAACTTGGAAACTGGATACAAGATAATTATTTCATTCTGCAAATGTTTAGTAGAAAACTATATGCCAGGACTGTGCTAGGCACTAGGGATACATGGTTGAATATTTAGTATAAGATGCCTTGCAGTTTCATATAAATGGCTAATGCAGCATATACAGTGTGGTAAAAATAGACTTCTGAGATGCACAGAAGACAGGCATTAAAGGGTATTTAAATTGTGGATAAATGTGTTTGGATGTTTCACTCAGGGCTGTTGAAGTTTTTTAAGATCAGTGGTCTCAGAGTCTTGGTGTTTTCAGGCTCTGCTAAGTACTTTGTTTCTAGCTGATTATTGGCCACCATTACTGATCATCAACTGGCTCTGTCTGATCCAGCTACTCCACCACTGGGTACATACACAAAGGAAAAGAAATAAAATTATTAGAAAGATACCTGTACTTGCATGTTTCCTGCAACACTATTCACAGTAGCACAGATACAAATCAACCTAAATACCCATCAACAGATTATTGGAGAAAGAAAATGTAGAAAATATACACAATGAAATAATGTTCAGGAATAAAAAAGAATAAAATCATAACTTCTGGAGACACATGAATGGAACTGGAGGCCATTATTGTAAGTGAAACCAGCCAGACACAGAGTAAACATTGTATTTCTCACGCATAAGTGGATGCTTAAAGATGTCTAGGTATTGATGTAGATAGTGGAATGATAATGGAGACTCAGCAGGGTGAGGGGATGGAAGGGGTGAATAGTGGGAAATTACTTAATGGTTACAATGTCCATTATTCCGGTAATGGATACCCTAAAAGCCCTGACTTCACCACTATGTAATCCATGCTTAGAGCAAAATTACAACTTGTAACCCATAAATTTATACCCCAAAAGTATTAGACCTCTCTCTCTTCTCTTCTGTCATAAGTCTCAGAGCTCAGTGATCCCCTTGGATCTCCTCAGCCTGCTAAGTTTTGACTTTCCTACCTAACGTGATTTTGGGCAGACATAGGAGAGTGTTTCAGGAAGATGCTCTCAGACACACTGCTTCTGAAGCAACATCAGAGGCTCTCCTGGTGGCCTTTATCTATTCACTGCTTTTAGCAAGGAATAAATCATCTGTGTCTAAAATTTAAAAAACTGTGTTTCCCACCTACCATACAGACCTGACAGAAGAGATTTTAGAATTTTAAGGAAACAGCTTTTTCCTGAACCAAACGGACACAGTAGTGCAAAGGCCAATGTCACATAAGTACCTTTTCCCCATCTGTAACATAACTCTCAGATGCTATTCCCACAGCTGGAATCAGTACAATGTTGTGACTGAGGTACTGGAAAAGCCTATGAGCTCATTATCATTTGAACACATGAATAACATAAAATTTAGGCAGAATTTTATCTGAAAGGAATATTTACACAAGTTTTAGTTAACAGATTTATATTGTGGTTATTTCAAACAATAAAAATCAGCTTCTTATGTTGCAAGCTAGAAATATGTACAATAACACATGGTCTTGATTATCTCACCTGATGAATTGAAGATTAAAGCAAAATAGGGAACTTTGTGAAAGTTTCTGTTTAACTTTGCCTTATAATGACTTCAAACTGTTGTGCATATATAGAGAACTCCTGACTGAAGAGACATTTTTGGACTATTGTGCTATGTTTATTATTGTAACTTTTTAAGATCTGGAGGAACACACATTTAGTCTCAGTTGGCCCAGTAAATGTTTAGGAATCAGCTTATGTGTTATGTGCTGAGTACTGAAGCAACAGTAGAGACAAGGGCACTGCCCTCACAGAGTCTGGGGGAGAAAACCTGATGGAGTGTGGCATGGAACACTCTGGGAGCATCCCAGGATGCCAAAAGTGCACACAGATGGAACACATGCCTTAGAATGGGGGAGGGTCAGGCAAGGAGAATTGTCAGGAAAAAACAAGGAAAGATCTGCAGCAATAGAAACACACTTGAGAAATTCATGGGGAATGAAAAGAGAATGGGTGAGCAGCAGCAGAGTGTCAAGAAGGAAACCAAGAAGGAGCAGCCAAAATGTTGATGGAGAATGAGGAGAAAGAAGGTGACACTGAAGCCAAGGAGAGGAAAGTGTTTCAACATTTCTGGAAAACAAAATCACATGATCTGTCTTAATGTTGCTGTTTTATGAGTCATATAGCCACATTCCAGGTTCTGAGATGTCCAGCAATAGAGATGTTTCTTTTAGTTTGCTTAACCCAGCATTTGCCAGAATAATCTGGGCTCAGTGTGAGTGTGTGCAAGTGTGTGTGTGTATGAGTGTGCATGCACCTGTGGGTTCCACTAATATCTCACTGAGGCTAGTGTTCTATACAACACAATTTTTTAAACACTGGTTTTATCCATCCTATGTTCAGCTGCAGCAATACTTACAAAGATCAACTTTGATCATGTGTCTTAGTTACTAAAGAAAATATAACAAACTAATGAATAAAGCCCACCCTGCAGTGGCTCCTTACTACCTGTACAGTATAGCCCAACTGGCTTGGCCTGGGTGCCCTGTACTGACCTGGCTGTACTGCTGTCTGCCTGCTCTTTTGTATCCCCTTTCCTCCTGGAGAAAGTAGGGATGCTCTGAGCTTTGGCCAGCATTGAACCTGTGTCCTTCTTCTAAAGTGGACCATGTTTTCTTGAGTCCACTTTAATCTCTTTTAAGGGCATAGATCAAATAATTTATATTATTTCCTCTCCTTTTCTCCCCTACCAATCTCCATACAAAGAGCTGAACTTTCCTTAAAGCTTTTGGTCAGGTTTCACTCTGTATGCAGTTTTCCTGCCACTTCTGCAATGTACACACTGTACTGGTACATAAATTATGCTATACCATGCCAGGTTTTTCATTTATGTATCACTTTATATCATCTTTTTTTCTTAGAGCTTACTTCACTTATTTATTCAATCTTTCACAATATAATTGTATGTCATATAATGTTATATTTATTTTCATTGGTATTTGTATACCTTTTCTGTAAAATAGAGCCTTTCTAAATAGATCTTCATTAATGTTGAAAGAACAAAGTTTTAAGTCTTGGTCTCAGCCAAAATGAGGTCCCCGAATATCCAGGAGGGCATGAAACACTTGCATTGTTGCACAAGATATTATTACAGAGAAAGAGAAACATGTGTAATGGAAAATTGCTAACTTTGCCTCAGGGAGATCAGGCTGATTCACTGAGAAAGTTTAAATTAGTTTAGAAAGCACAGTCCTGAGTTTTCTAGGAGAAGGAGAAAAGTTAGTATAGGGCATAAGAAGTAATGCCCAATTCAAAAAGTTAGAAAGATCTCATATTAACAACCTAACATCATAACTGAAAGAATTAGAATAGCAAGAGGAAATCAACCACAAAGCTTGCAGAGGATAAGAAATAACTAAAATCACAGCTGAATTGGAAAAAAAATTGAGACATAAAAAACTGTTCAAATGGTCACTTAATCAACGTTTTCTGAAAAAAATTAATAGGATAGATAGGCACTAGCTAGATGAATAAAGAAGAAAAGAGAGAAGATTCAAATAAACGTAATTATAAATGATGAAGGTAATGTTACCACTGACCCCACAGAAATAAAAATAACAATCAACAACTACTACGAACACCTCTACACACTCAAACAAAAAACCCTAGAAGAGATGAATAAATTCCTGGACACATACACCTTCTAAAGACTGAACCAGGAAGAAATTCAGTCTCTGAACAGACAAATAATGAGCTCCAAAAATTGAATCAGTAGTAAACAGCCTACCAACCAAGGAAAAAAATAAAGCCCAGGACCTGATAGATTAACTGTCAAATTTTAACATATGTACAAATTAGAGCTAGTACCATTCCTACTAAAACTATTTCAAGAAATAGTGAAGGAGGGACTTCTTCCCAACTTCTTCTATAAGGCCAGCATCATCCTGATACCAAAGCCTGGCAGTGACACAACAAAAAAGGAAAGCTTCAGGCCAGTATCCTTGATGAATGTCCATTCAATAATCTACAACAAAATCCTTGCAAAGTGAATCCAGCAACATATCAAAAGGGTAATTCACCACAGTGAATTAGGCTTCTTCCCTGGAATGGAAGGTTGTTCTATAATGGGCAAATCAATAAAATGTGATTCATAACATAAATAAAACTAAAGACAATAACCATATGATGGTCTGAATAGATACAGAAAAGGCTTTCAGTAAAATTCAACAATGTTTCACATTAAAAACTCTCAATAAGTGAGGTATTGAAGGAACATACCTCAAAATAATAAAGCCACCTATGACAAACTCACAGCCAACATTATGCTAAATGGGCGAAATCTGGAAGCATTCTCCCTGAAACCCACACAAGCACACAAGACAAGGATGTGCTCTCTCACCACTCCTATTCAACATAGTGTTAGAAGTCCTTGCTGGAGCAATCAGAGAAGAGAAAGAAATAAAGGTTATTAAAAAAAGAAATAAAGGGTATGTAAATAGAAAGAGAAGTCCAACTACCTCTGTTTGCAGACAACATAATTCTCTATCTAAAACCTATAGTTGTGACCCAAAATGCTCCGTAAGCTGATAAACAACTTCCACGTGGTTTCAGTGTACAAAATCAATGTACAAAATTTGCTAGCATTCCTATACACGAAGAAGAGCCAAACTGAGAGACAAACCAGAAAGGCAATTGTATTCACGATTTTCACAAAAAGAATAAAATACCTAGAAATACAGCTAACCAGGGAGGTGAAAGATCTCTGCAATGAAAATTACAAAACACTGCTCAAAGAAGTCACACGAGACACAAAGAAATGGAAAATTATTCCATGTTAATGGAGAGAAAGAACTGATATCATTTAAATCACCATACTGCCCAAAGCTCTTCCTATGAAACTACCAATGACAAGCTTCATGGAACTAGAAAAAGCTATTTAAAAATGTATATAGAACCAAGAAAGAACTTAAATAGCCAAGGCAATCCTAAGCAAAAGAACAAAGCTTGAGGCATCACATTACGGGACTTCAAACGATACTACAGCACTACAGTAACCAAAACAGCAGGGCACCCGTACAAAAACAGAGGCACACACCAATGGAACAGCGTAGAGAGCCCAGAAATAAGACCGCACACCTACAACTATCTAATGTTTGACAAAGCTGGCAAAAACAAGCAATGGGGAAAAGTCTCCCTATACAATAAGTGTTGCTGGGATAGCTGGCTAGCCATACGTAGAAGACTGAAGCTGGACCTCTTCCTTACACTCTACACAAAAATCAACTCAAGATGGATTAAAGACTTAAATGCAAAACCCAAAACTATAAGAGCCCTGGAAGACAACCTAGGCAATACCATCCTGGACATAAAAACAGGCAAAGATTTCATGATAAAGACACCAAAAACAATTACAACAAATGCAAATATTGACAAGTGGGGTCTAATTAAACTTAAAAGCCTCTGCTCAGCAAAAGAAATTATCGATAGAGTGAAGAGACAACCTACAGAATAAGAAAACATATTTACAAACTATGTATCTGACAAAGGTCTAATATTCAACATAGAGAACTTAAATAAATTTACAAGAGAAAAACAAACAACCCTATTAAAGAGTTGCCAAATAATTGTCTACTCGTGTCCTTAGCCTACTTTTTTATGGGATTTTTTTTTTCTTTCTAATTTGTTTGAGCTTGTTGTAGATCCTGGATATTAGTCTTTTGTCAGATATACAGATTGTGAAGATTTTCTCCCAGTCTGTAGATTGTCTGCTTACTCTGCTGACTGTTCCTTTAGTCGTGAAAAAGCTCTTTAGTTTAATTAAATCCCACCTATTTATCTTTGTTTTTCTTGCATTTGCTTTTGGGTTCTTGGTCATGAAATCCTTGCCTAAGCCAATGTCTAGAATGTTTTTTGATGTCATCTTCTAGAATTTTTTAAGTTTCAGGTCTTAGATTTAAGTCGTTGATCCATCTCGTGTTGATTTTTGTAGAAGGTGAGACATGAAGATCCAGTTTCATTCTCCTACATGTGGCTTGCCAATTATCCCAGCACCATTTGTTAAGTAGGGCGTTCTTTCCCCACTCTGTTTCTGTTTACTTTGTGAAAGATCAGATGGCTGTAAATATTTGGGTTAATTTCTGGGTTGTCTATTATGTTTCATTTGTCTATGTGCTTACTTTTATACCAGAACCATGCTGTTTTGGTGACTATGGTCTTATGCTATAGTTTGAAATCAGGTAATGTGATGTCTTCTAATTTGTTCTTTTTGCTTAGCATTGCTTTGGCTATGCGGGCTCTTTTTTGAATTCTAGAATTGTTTTTTGTAGTTCTGTGAAGAATGATGGTGGTATTTTGATGGCAATTGCATTGAATTTGTAGATTGCTTTTGGCAATATGGTCATACAAAATTCTTAGAAGATATACAAATGGCCAACAAATATATGAAAAAATGCTCAACATCACTAATAATCAGGGAAATGCAAATTACAACCATTATGCGATACCACCTTACTCCCACAAGAATGGTCATAATCAAAAAATAAAAACATAATAGATGTTGGTGTGAGTGTGGTGAAAAGGGAACACTTCTACACTGCTGGTGGGAATGTAAGGTAGTACAATCACTATGGAAAACTGTGTGGAGATTCCTTAAAGAACTGAAAGGAGAAGAACCATTTGACCCCACAATCCCACTACTGGCTATGTACCCAGAGGAAAAAAAGAAGTTATTATACAAAAAAGATGCTTGCACATGCATATTTATAGCAGCACAATTTGCAATTGCAAAAATGTACAACCAATCCAATTGCCCGTCAGTCAATGAGTGGATAAAGAAACTGGGGTATAGATGTAGGATGGAGCACTACTCAGCCATAAAAAGAAATTAATCAATGGCAATTTCAGCAACCTGGATGGGATTGAAGACTATTAACTCAAGTGAAGTAATGGAATGGAAAACCAAACATCTTACATTCTCACTTATAAGAGGGAGCTAAGCTATAAGGAGGCAAAGGCATAAGAATAACACAATGGACTTTAAGGACTCACGGGGAAAGGGGTAAAAGGGGTGAGGGACAAAGGGATACAAATTTGGTTCAGTATATACTGATGAGGTGATGGATGTACCAAAATTTTACAAATCACCAATAAATAACTTACTAATGTAACCAAATACCACCTGTTGTCCCAAAACCTATGGAAATAAAAAACAATTTAAAAAGTGGGCAAAAGACATGAATACTTTTCAAAAGAATACATACATGTGACCAACAACCATAGAATACAAAGCTCAATATCACCGATCACTAGAGAAATTCAAATTAAACGCACAGTGAGACACCATCTCACACCAGCCATAATGGCCATTATTAAGAAGTCAAAAAATAACAGACACTGGCAAGGTTGTGGAGAAAAACAATACATACACTGTTGGTTGGAATGTGTATTGGTCCCACCGTTGTGGAGAGCAGTATGGTAATTCCTCGAAAGAGCTAAAAGCAGAACCATCACTTGACCCAGTAATCTCATCACTGGGAATATACCCAGAGTTATATAAATTGTTCTATCATAAAGTCACAAGCAAGTACATGTTTATTGCAGCACTATTCAGAAAAGTAAAGATATGGAATCAACCTAAATGCCCATCAATGACAGATTGAATAAAGATAATGTGGGACAAGATAATGGAGCAAAAGTTAAATATTAAATTTGAATTCAACTGAACATGGACACAAACAATGGTCACTGAGACATGGAACAAGTTGTGTGAGCCCCTTGAGGCATTCATTCAGTGCTCTTTCAGAGAAATAGTTATTGAAAAACAACAGACATTTCAAAAACAATTGCACCACCACGCCGGGCTAATTTTTGTATTTTTAGTAGAGATGGGGTTTTACCAGTTTGGCCAGGCTGGTCTTGAACACCTGACCTCAAGTGATGCACCAGCCTTGGCCTCCAAAGGTGCTGGGACTACAGGCTTGTGAAGGTATGCTTTTGATGACCATTTTGTATTCCTTGAGCCCAGTCAAGAAGGGCCCACATGACTGGGCCTCATGTTAAACAACTTTTAAGAAGAAGAGCTAGTTTCCAAGACCACGCCGAAGCTTCATGGGACCTCTCTTCATCTGTACATGGACTAGTGGCCAACTCTGGAGGCCAGGTAGTTGCTTCCCCATCTGGTGATGAATCCTCCATTATCTGGTGAATATATATATGTGTGTGCGTGTGTGTGTGTGTGTGTGTGTGTGTGTGTGTGTAGTACACACATACATATGTATATGTATATATTATATATAATATGTCTTTTCCCTTCTCCCCTTCCCATCACAATTTGTTTATTATATCATTGGCTTATTAGATGATTTGTTTATTATATCTGTGTTGCCATATACTTGGGATAAAGTCTGTTTACCCTTAAAAGTATTGTGTGTTTCTTTTCTTCTCTCCTTACACATTTTCCACACAGAACACACATATGTACCATGGAATACTATGCAGCTACTTGTTCTCACTTATAAGTGGGAGCTAAATAATGAGAACTTAGGAACACAAAGAAGGAAACAACACACACTGGGTTCTACTTGATGGAGGAGGGTGGGAGGAGGGAGAGGAACAGAAAAGATAACAATGGAGTACTGGGCTTAATACCTGGGTTATGAAATAACCTGTATAACAAGCCCCTGTGATATGAGTTTATCTATGTAACAAACCTTCACACGTACCCCTGAACATACAATTGAAAAAAATTAAATCCTTCATGAAAGCTATAAGATCTGTTCCTGTGTGTTTGTATGTCTATATCTGTTACATGTATGTGACACTTTGTAAATAAAGCTAGTTCTTACATCATTAGTAAAATAGAAATGGCTTTACAATTATCAGTTAAATATAATTAGGTACTTGCTTTATTTAACTGTGAGCTTGTGTCTTTTGTTGAGAGTTTCTGGATTCAGGGGGTCTCGATAGGTGTCCATCATGAAGTCTGGAGACATGTTCTCTGTGTCTTGACCAGCAGTTACAAGCCGGAATCAAGCCCAATTAGTCTGTTCTTTCTATGCTTTTCCTATTTTGCTTCCTGGCTATTTTAGGAGGGATTGGATCCTCCAGGTATAGCCTTCACGGCTCTGTCTTTAGTCCTAATGGACTCAGGCAGAGTCTGATCTTCATAGTTTTCCTGGGTGCCATGGGGCTACTTGGGACCTAGAATTACCAGGGGAAGACATTAGTGATGCTACCTGTGTCATAGTTCCAAAATTCTGTTCCGTAATTTAAAACCTTAAAGTCATGTTAAATTAAGTAATAGATAATTATAAAATGTCTTGAGTCATTTGTAAGCTAAAATAATGAAATAGTCACCACTAAAAATTAGGTCTATATGCCATGATATACTACTTGTATATGGTATAGAAAACCTAAATATCTTTGGTTCTGTTAATAAACAATAATTTGAAGAACTATATTTCTTTACAAGTATAAAATGGTTTCTATCTAAAAATACTGATATAAGACAGTTGAAAATCACTTTTTAGGGTTTTCACTGAAAATTGGGGTTACTAAGACTTAATTACTAGATATGAGAGAAACAATTCTGTAATCAGACTGTATGAAAAAGCAAGATATGATTCTTTATTGTTATTATTATTATTATTTTAGACCGAGTCCTGTTCTGTTGCCCAGGCTGGCATGCAGTGGCATGATCTCAGCTCACTGCAAACTCTGCCTCCTGGGTTCAAGCGATTCACCTGCCTCAGCCTCCCAAGTAGCTAGGATTACAGGTGCTCACCACCACACTGGGCTAATTTTTGTATTTTTAGTACAGACAGGGTTTCACCATGTTGGCCAGGCTGGTCTCAATCCCTAGACCTCAACTGATGCACCTGTCTTGGCCTCCCAAAGTGCTGGGATTACAGACTTGTGAAGATAAACTTTTGATTAGAAAACTTATAAAGGCAAAAAATGTGTTTTAATTTTTTTAAGTTACTTAAGGTTTCAAATTGAAGAAGTAAAAAATAGATACAACTAGATAAATAGAGAAAGTTGGGGGAAAATCTAAAGCATAGGCTCACAAAAATCTGGGATTCAAAGATGACACATTTGATAAATTTATTTATAAAATTTTATTAAATGAACTTCAGAGGCCTGGTGTGGTGGGTCACTCCTGTAAATAATAAAATTTTCTTGTCAACTGTGTCTATGAAAATTTAAAATCATTTCTACAGTAAATTGCTTAATTGTGAGGCATTTCAAATTCTGAAAACTTTACAAGCTTGCAAAATTATAGAATACTGTATCTTTAAGGAGTTTCATGAAAGGATGGAAAAGGTCCTGAGAAGTATTCTTGAATACAGATTTTTGACAACGTTAGAATCATATCATTTGAACAGGGTAAGAATTCCCAGAACTTTAATGAAGACTGATTGGTTTATAAAACTACTACAGCAAACAGAGTAAAAATCAATTGAATACCAAGAAAATAGTTTGTCAGATTTTCATGCCAAATCAGCCAGTACTTAAATTGTCTAGATAAAGTATTTGAATGAACTCTATATTCCAAGTCAAATTATCTATGATAATCCCTGATTAGTCACTGTTATGCACCTAAGTTGAAGAAACAGTCCAATGTTAAACGTACAGAACCAGGACATCTTCTACGTCCTTCCTGGTTCTGAAAGCTTTTCTTATTGAAAGTTCTTCATTCTGATTCTTGGCTGCAAAGGTAACACAAGATGGCAGAAAGAAGGCTCCACTGATCTTCCCTCCTGCAAGGACACCAGATGCACAACTATTAACGTCTACATAGAAAATACATTCATAAGAACCAAAAATCAGTTGAGTACTCAAAGTACCTGGTTTTAACTTCATATCACTGAAAGAGGCACCATTTCCTCACCACCAGCAGTGATGGCGTGGTGCAGAGATCAACTCTGGGTTCTGCAGGAGGGAGAACACAGAAATTTTAAGACATTGAACTCTGTGCTGCCCTGTTAGACCAGAAAGGAAAACCAAACCAAATGCAGCTAAAGCCCATCCACAGAGGGATTATTTAAACCAGCCCTGGCCAGAGGGGAATGAGATTTCGGTGGTTGGAACTTGAGCATTTGGAAATCTGGGTACTGAGGGCTCCAGAGCTCCATGTATCTAAGAAAACTTGAAAGGCAGCCTAGGCCATCAGGACTGCAACTCTTAGGTGAGGCCTAGGGCTGAACTGGACCCAGGAACAGTCAACTAAGGTGGGAGGTCATGCAACATACTGAGACACCAGCTGGGGCAGCCAAAGGGGTTCTGGAATTATCACTCTCCTAATACCAGGCTGCACAGCTTATAGCTCCAAAAGGGACCCCATCCTTCTGCTTGAGGAGAGGAGGAAAAAGAGTAGGGAGGACTTTGTCTTCCATCCTGGATACCAGCTCAACCACAGCAAGATAGTGCACTGGTCAGAGTCCTGAGTCCTCCTTTCCAGGCTCTGGCTCCTAGACATTCCAAGACACACCCCGGGCCAGAAGGAAACCTGCTGCCTTGAAGGAAAGAACCCAGTGCTGGCAGCATTTATCACCTGCAAACTTAACAACCTTTGGGCCCTGAATAACCAGCAGCCATACCCAGATACTACATCAAGAGGCTTGTGTGAGCCTCATAGACTTACTAGATTTAGGTGAGATTCAGCACATTACAAGCTGTGGTATCTAAGGGGCAAAACTCCTTTTGCTTGGGAAAGGCAGAGGGAAAAGTAAAGGGGACTTTTTCATGCCACTTAAGTACCGGCAAGGCCAGAGGTGGGTAGAGCACCAAGAAAGGTTTTGGGATCCCTGATTCTAGGACTTGATTCTTGGTTGGCATATATGAACCTGCCCAGGGCCAGTGGGGAGACCAGTGGCCTGAAAACGGCAAGTCCCAGTCCAGGCAATATTCATCACAAGCGGAAAAGAGGATTTGGGCCTTAAAGGAACAAAGGTGGTAACATGGCAGTACTCCTTGTGGCCTGGGGTGCTTGGGGCTACTCTGCCTTTGGAAAAGGAAAGGAGGTAATAGGAAGGGCTGTGTCTTGTGGTTTGAATGCCAGCTCAGCTGGAATGCAATAGAATGTCCGGTGGACTTCTGAAATTTTTGACTTTACTCCCTGACTTCCGAATGGCACTTCTGGACCCAGCCAGGGACTGAGGAAACTCGCTGCCCTGAAGGAAAGAGCACAGATATGGCTGGCTTTGCCACCTGCTAATTGCAGAGACCAAAGGCCTTGAGTGAACATAGACAGTTGTCAGAAAGTGCGTGCAGCAGGACTTGAGCAAGACCCGGTGCTATGCCAGCTTCAGGTCTGACCCAGGGCAGCCAGTGGTGGCGGCCAGGGGTGCTCGTGTCATTCTCCTCCCAACTTTAGGTGGCTTAGAATAGAGAGAAAGACTCTGTATCTTTGAGGGAAAATAAGGTTAGAGAACAAGAGTCTCTGGCTACTAATCCAGAAAATTTTCCTGGATATTGTCCAAGACTGTCAAGGTGGTACATCAATGAGACTGCAAAAATTACAGCACTATTGGGTATACGGTGCCCCCTAAAGCAGATATGGCTTAGATCACAACACCTGCCTTTTCAAATATGTGGAAATCCTTCCCAAGAAAGATAGCTACGAATAACCCCACACAGTGAAGTCTACAATTAATGCTCATCTTTTTTTTAAAAAAAATCTTTTTTTCACATCTTATGTGGTGCTGCATGCCAAAGTTTTAATGTCCAGACACTGAAGAACATCTGCTAGCATTGTCACCATCCAGGAAAACATGACCTCACAAAGTGAATGAAGTAAGGCATCAGCGACAAATCCTGGAGAAAAAGAGATATGTAATCTTTCAGACAGAAAATTCAAAATAGCTGTATTTTTAAAAACTCACAGAAATCTAAGATAACAAAGTAAAGAAATTCCAAATTTTATCAGCTAAACTCAACAAAGAGATTGAAATAGTTACAACAAATTAAGCAAAAATTCAGGAGCTGGAAAATGCAACTGGCATGCTGAAGAATGCATTAAAGCCATTTAACAGCAGAATGGATCCAGCAGAAGAAATGGTGAACTTGAAGACAGGCTATGTGAAAATATATATTTAGAAGAGACAAAAGAAAAAGAATAAAAACAACAAATAATGCCTACAAGATCTGGAAAATAGCCTCACAAAGATAGGCCTAAGAGTTATTGGTTTTAAAGAAGACGTATAGAAAGAGACAGGGATAGGAAAATTTATTCAAAGGGATAATAATAGAAAACTTCCAAACCTAGAGAAAGATATCCAAATCCAATCACAGAAATATTATAGAACATTAAACAGATTAAATTCTAAAAAGACTACTTCAAAACATTCCATAGCCAGTTTTCAAAAAGTCAAAGAAAAAGAAAAGTTCTAAAAAAGAAAGACAAAAGAAAGAAATAATATACAGGAGAGCTCCAACACATCAGGCAGCAGACTTTACAGAGGAAACCCTGCCGGCCAGGAGAAAGAAGCAATAAATATTTAAAGCACTAAAGAAAATAGCTTTACCTTAGAATAGCATATACAGCGAAAATGTCCTTCAAATAATAAGAAGAAATACTGACTTTTCCAGACAAACAAAAGTTGAAGGATTTCATCAATACCATGACTGTCCTACAAGGAATGCTGAAGGGAGTACTTCAATCAGGAAGAAAAGGACATTAATGAGCAAGAAATAATCAACTGAAGGTAAAAAAAAAAAAAAAAAAAAAAAAAAAAAAAAATCCTCATTGATAATGGTAACTATACAAAATAAAACAATATTATAACACTATAGCTGTGGTGTGTAAACTACTCATTCTAAGTAGGAAGACTGAATAATAAACCAAACAAAAGTAATAACTACAAGAACGTTTCAGCCGGGTGCAGTGGCTCACGCCTGTAATTCCAGAACTTTGGGAGGCCAAGGCGGGGGAATCACGAGGTCAGGAGATCGAGATCGTCCTGGCTAACAAGATGAAACCCCTTTTCTACTAAAAATACAAAAAATTAGCCGGGCCTGGTGCTGGGCGCCTGTAGTCCCAGCTACTCGGGAGACTGAGGCAGGAGAATGGTGTGAACCAGGTAGGCGGAGCTTGCAGTGAGCCGAGATCGAGCCATTGCACTCCAGCCTGGGCAAGAGAGCAAGACTCCGTCTCAAAAAAAACAAAAAACAAAAAACAGAAAACAAAAAACAAAAACAAAATAAAAAGGAACGTTTCAAAACATAGTACAAAAAAATATAAATAGAAAAAACAAAAAGGCAAAAAGTGAAGGGATGAGCACACCCGTCCTGAGGGGCCTGTTGTGATGGAAGCTCGGGAGCCGGGTGAAGGCCTGGAGCGTGAGCAGAAGGGGGCCGCCCGGACAGCCCAAAGACTGGGCATGGGACGGAGACCTCTGGCTCCCCCGAGCAGGAGCAGCACGGCGCCTTGGCCGTCCTGCGGGAGGCCAGGCCACCGGCGACGGCAGGAGGCTCTAGGAGGCCAGAGGAAGGCACAGAGGGGTGGCCAGCAGTGCTCAGAAAAATAGAAGAGGAGAGCAGCCCTGCCACTGGCGAGCGCTTGGGGATCCTGGATCCAAGCCCAGCAGCCCCGGGGTGGCAATGACGCCTGGAGTCGAGCGGGGCGTGGCTGTGCCGGGCTCTTGAGGCATCCAGGCCCCTCTGCCAGCGCCTACAGCCATATCACCCTGTCCAGTCTCGTCTGACCTCGGAAGCTAAGTAGGGTGGGTCCTGGTTAGTACCTGGATGGGAGGACGCCCAGGAATGTTGGGTGCTGTAGGCTTTTGTCCTCCCCCTCCCTCCCTCTTTCCCCCTTTTGTCGCCATGCTTCACAAACTTCCCCTAACTCTGCTCCCACTTTTCCTCTCACCTGCGGCCCCAAAGCAACCCGGGACCTCCTCGTGGGGTTCCACCGCTGCAGCACCGCCAGGCAACAGCATCCCACATCCTCCTTCTTGCTGCAGCCCCACCAGGTGCCCGGCTCCAGCCGTGGCAGGACGGTATATGTTCCCTGAGGTGACCCGTGTCTTCACGCTCCCGGGACGCCCAGGCAATTCAATTTACTCATCTGGCACCATGCAATAGTTCAAGCCGGTGGGGGAAGTGGCGGCCAGGGACAGAGGTCCCACAGACACCATCCAAAACCTCTGCTCCTGGACCTATGGGCTGCTTTCCCCAGGGGAAGGACATTGCCTTCGCCAGTCACGAGGCAATCCGTCTCTGTGCACCCGGATTCCCATTGGCACCGTCTTCGTGTCAACTCCAGTCCTGAGGACACGAGAGAGACCCAGGCCTCGGCCCGGTCGGCACGCTCTGCGCCAGGGCTCCCACCAGAGGGAAGGACGCACTCTCCAAATCTCGGTGCCCACTGCACCAAGAAGATAGGGAGTAGCCAACAAAAGGACCCTATGAAACGCACCCCAAAAGCAAGCAACCAATCCAAGCAAAAATACGTCTCAGGGTTCTGTTGGTCCTCTTGCATGGGCGGCCTGCCCACCTGTTCCCGCCAGGCTCAAGCACCCTCCACCCTACCCCTGCTGGAAGGAGCCCTGTCTACGAGAGCAGAGAGCTCCCTCTCCCAGGCTTTAATGCTCTGGCTCTCTAGTTCTGTCACCCTCTCTCTATTTCTCTCCTGCTCCCTCCATCTCATGCTCTTTCTGTCACCTTCTCTCTCTTTCTTTCTCCCTCTCATTCCTGTCTCTCTCTCTCTCTCTAGCTCTCTCTCCCTCAGTTTCTATCTCTCCATCCCTCTTTCCCTTGATCTCCTTCAAGCTGTCTATCTGTATCTTTGTGTATCTGTGTGTGTCTCTGTGTGCCCGCGAGCGTGCATCCATGTGTGTCTGTGGGGGTGGGGGTGGGTTTCTTCTTGGTGCTGGTGAGGTGTGTCTGGCTGTCCATCAGCCTCTCTCTCCCGCAATCAGTCGGCTAGCTCCAGTGGCAGCGCGGGGCAAAGCAGCTCCCCCCACTCACTTGGCCATGGGCCATGTCCTTGTCCGGACAAGCGACCCTGTTAGGGACGTTGTAAGAGAAAGGGCCCATGGGGCTAGGCCACCTGTTCACCCTTGAGCAGCCCTGGCAGCACTGGGTGGGTGAGGAGAGAGGGGGCCTTGCAGGAGGGGCGGCGAGGGAACCAAAACAATCCCTCCGTGGCAAGGAGGACAGAAGGGTATCCCTGACTCCTGGGAGCACAAGCTCAGCAAGCCCGATGTGGTGGAAGCTTGGGAGTTCATGAGCCTGGGGAAGCCCTGAAGCGTCGGAGGAATGGAGACCAACCAGAGAGCCCGAAGTCTGTGCAGCGGATGGACACCTCTGGCGTCCTCACTCAGCAGCAGGGCGGCGCCGAGATGGTCCAGTGCATGGCCTTGTCTGCTATGGCTGGAGCCCCTTGGAAGCCGGCAGAAGGTGCAGCGCGGTGGCCCACAGTGCTCCGGCGTGGAGGGGGAGAGCAGCCGAGCAGCAGGCGAGGAGTGGCTTAGAGTTGTCCCGATCCAAGCCGCGTGGCTTTGGAGTGGCGGTAATGCCTGGAGTCTGGCGGGCATGGTGGGCCAGGCTCTTGTGTCAGCCAGGTATCACTGCGGGTGTCTAAGGCCTTACCGCCCTGAGACACCTGATCTCTGGCCTGTGACGCTAAGCAGGGTGGGGCCTGGTTCAGTACTTGGAAGAGAGACCGCCTGGGAATACAAGGTGCTGTAGGCTTTTGGCTTCCCGCTCCCTCTTTCTCCCTTTTGTGCCCTACTTCCCAACCACTCCCTGACTCTGCTACCCATTTTCCACCTGCCTGCGTCCCCACCGCACACCAGGACCTCCTCGTACACCGCCGGGCAGCAGCATCCCACCTCTTCTGCCTTGCTGCAGCTCCACAAGGTCCCCAGCTCTAGGCAGGGCGGGGCAGGCCAGCACCAGACCCCAAAGGCGCAGGCCCAGGTTCCCTGCCATGCTGGTTGTCTTCCTGCTCCAGGAAGGCCTAGGTAATTTAATTCACTCATCTGGCGCCGCCGCAAACGCCCGAGGCTGGGGAAGGGGTGGGCAGGGGCAGAGGGTCCCACAGACGCCAGCCAAGACCTCCTCCAGAACGCACGGGCTGCTTTTTCCAGGGAAGAACATTGCCTTTGCCAGCTACCAGGGAAACATCCTTGTGAACCCGGATTCCCATGGCCACCAACTTCGTGTAAACTCCTGTTGTGAGGACACGAGAGACACCCAGGCCTCAGGCAAGGATTCCCTGGCTTGCACCCAGGGTGCCTGTCTCACCCACGGGGGCACCCTAAAGTGTCAAGAAGGCAGCGGGGGATGGGAGCTGGCTTTAAAGGGGACGTTGAGGCAGTCCGTGGAAAAACTTCTCAGGGAAGACAGTGCATTCCGGGCAGCCCCTGCGGCGGGCTGGGGGGCCCTGGAGTCCCTGTCTTGCACAAAGGTTGTGTGTCTCGCCCTCAGGGGGCACCCCATAGCAACAACAATTCCCCTGGGGAAAAGTACCCCGCTTGAAAGACACGCCCCCTGGGTGCAAGCCAGGGACTCCACGACCACCCCGAGTCCGGCACAGACACTGCCGGGAAGGCACTGTTCTCCATGGGATTGTTTTCCCTCCCGACTGCCTCAACGTCTCCTTTCAAGCCTGGCCTCCTGTTCCCTTCCCCCGCAGGTATTCATGCTGCCTTGGGGTGGCCCCCGTGGGCGAGACTCTTACCCTGGGTGCAAGCCAGGGACTCCATGAAACCCTCGGCCCGGCGCAGGGGCCGCCAGGAAGGCACTGTCGTCCGTGGGAGAATCCCAGCCTCGAGGTTGTTTTCCCCGGGCTGCCTCAATGTCCCCCTTGAAGCCTGAAGTGCTGTCCCCTTCCCCCAGGGGACTACTTGCCGCTTTGGGGTGCACTTAGTGGGAGAGACACGCACCCTGGGAGGAAGCCAGGGACTGCCGGGAAGGAATTGCCATCATGGGAGGAAACCGGCTGGCCGCATTTTTCGCCGTGCTGCCTCAGCGTCCTCTTTAAAGCCTGGCGTCTTGTTCCCTTCCCTGGGAGGCCTTCTTACCACTTTGGGGTGCCCCTGTGGGAACGACACGCACCATGGGTGCAAGCCAGGGACTACACGATCCCTCCGGGCCCAGCGCAGGGGTTGCCGGGAAGGCTCTGTCGTGCGTGGGAAGACACCATCCCTCCTCTTTTTTTCCCGTACTGCTTCAACTATGCCTTTCAACCCTGATGTCCTGTGCCCTTCCCCCGGTGGCCTTCTTGCCTCTTTGTGGTGCGCCCCGTGGGTGAGACATGCAAGCTGGGTGCAAGCCAGGGACTCCACGCAGCTCCTG
This sequence comes from Homo sapiens, assembly GCF_000001405.40. NCBI lineage: Eukaryota > Metazoa > Chordata > Mammalia > Primates > Hominidae > Homo > Homo sapiens. The sequence continues at coordinate 17,561,498 of NC_000024.10, forward strand.
GGCCCACCGCAGAGGCTGCCGGGAAGGCAATGTCGTCCATGAGCGGACCCCAGTATCCCCGCTTTTTTCCCCGGGGCTGCCTGAACGTCCCCCTTCAAGCCTGACGTGCTGTACCCTTCCCCGGGGAACATTCTTTTCGCTTTGGGGTGCCCCCCATGGGGGAGACACTCACCCTGGGTGCAAACCAGGGAATCAACAACCATCCCCATGCAGGGCAAAGGGGCTGCCAGAAAGGCACTGTCATCCGTGGGAAGTTTTTACCCCGGACTGCCTCAACGTCCCCTTTCAAGCCCGGCGTCCCGTTTCCTTCCCCCGGAGGCCTTCTTGAGGCTTTGAGGTGTCCCCCGTGAGTGCGACATGCACCCTGGGTGCAGCCAGGGACTCCACGACGACCCCGGGCCTGGTGCAGGGACTGCCGGAAAGGCACTGTCGTCTGTGGGACGTCCGCGGCCCGCTGCTTTTTTCCCCGTGCTACCTCAACGTTCCGTTTCAGGCCTGGCGCCCTCTTCCCTTCCAACAGAGGCCTTCTTGGTGCTTTGGGGTGCTTCCCGTGGAAGCGACACGCAACCTGGGTGCAAGCCAGCGACTCCAGAACCCCACTGGGCAGGGCGAGAGGCTGCCGCGAAGGCACTGTCGTTCGAAGGACCCTGGCTTACTGCTTATTTCCCTGGATTGCCTCAAAGTCCCCTTTTAAGCCTAACATCCTGTCCCCTTCCCCCGGGGACCTTCTTGCCTCTTTGGGGTGCCTCCTGAGGGCGAGATGCACACTCTTGAGTACAAGCCAGGGACTCTACGACACCGCCAGGACCGGCGCAGGGCTGTCGGGAAGGCACTGTTATCCCTGGGATCACCTCAGCCTCGCCGCTTTTTTCTCTGGGCTACCTAAAGGTCCCCGTTCAAGGCTGATTTCCTGTTGCCTTCCACTGGGGGACTTTTACTGCTTTGGGGTGCTCACTGTGGGCGCGACACGCACCCCAGGTGTAGGCCAGGGACTCCACGACCACCCCGGGCCCGGTGCAGGGGCTGCTGGGCAGACACGGTTGTCCTTGGGTGGACACTGGACCGCCGCTTTTTTCCGGGACTGCCTCAACTAAACTTTTCAACCCTGGCGTCTGGTACCCTTCCCCCGGGGCCTCCTTGATGCTTTGTGGTGCCACCCCTGGGCGAGACACACACCCGGGATGCAAGCCAGGGACGCCAAGACCTCCCCGGCCCAGCGAATGGGCAGCCAGGAAGGCACTGTCGTCCGTGGGAGAACCAGCGTCACGGTTTTTTACCCTAGGCTACCTCAACGTCCCCCTTCAAGTCTGACGTGCTGTCCCCTTCCCCTGGGGGCCTGTTTGAAGCTTTGGGGTGCCTCCCGTGGGCGAGACACGCATCCTGGGTGCAAGACAGGGACTCCACGCTCCCCCAGGGCCCTACGCATGGGCTGCCAGGAAGGCACTGTCATCCATGGGAGGAACCCGGCTAGCCTCTTTTCTCTCCGTGCTGCCTCAGCGTCCCCATTAAAGCCTGTCTTCCTGTTCCGTTCCCCCGGAGGCCTACTTGCGACTTTGGGGTGCAACCCCTTTGCCGGACACGGAGGGGTTGTTGAGTCCCAGTCTTACACCCAGGGGCCCATGGGGGGCACCCCAAAGCAGCGAGTAGCTTCTCAGGGGAAGGAGACAGCACGTCAGGTTCGAAGGTGGACGTTGAGGCAGCCTGGGGAATAAAGAGGGGATGCTGGGGTTCTGCCATGGATAACACGGTCTTCCAGGCAGCCTCTGCGGTGGGTCTGGGAATATCGTGGAGTCCCTGGCTTGCACGCAAGGTGCCTGTCTCGCCCACAGGGGGCACCACAAAGCGGCAAGAAGGCCACCGTGGGAAGGATATGGGACGCCAGGGTTGAAAGGGATAGCCGAGTCAGTCCGGGGAAAAACGCCGCGGACTAGGGTCGTCTGAGGGCAGACAGTGCCTTGCCGGCAGCCCCTATGTTGGGCCGGGGTGGTCTTGGAGTCCCTGGCTTGTACCGAGGGTGCTGGTCGCGCCCATGGGGGCACCCCATGTCTAAGCGCGACACGCACGCTGGGTGCAAGTGAGGGACTCCACGATTCCCCGGGGCCAGGCGCAGGGGCTGCCAGGAACGCAATGTCATCCATGGGATGACCCCGGCCAGCCGCTTTTCCTCCAGGGCAGCCTCAATGTCTCATTTAAAGCCTAGCTGCCTGTTCCCTTTCCCGGGGGGCCTTCTTTCCGCTTTGGGGTGCCCCCCATGGGGAAGAAGCGTATCCTGTGTGCAAGACAAGGACTCCACGACTCCCCCGGGCCCAGCGTAGGGGCTGCCGGGAAGGCACGACTGCCGGGAAGGCACTATCGTCCGTGGGAGGACCCCGGCCACCCGCGTTTTTCTCCGTGCCGCCTCAACGTTCCATTTCAAGCCTGGCGTCATGTTTCCTTCCCCTAAAGTCCTTCTTGCCTCTGGGGTGCCTCCCGTGGAAGAGAAGCGCACTCTAGGTGCAAGCCAGGGACTCAACAACACACACGGGTTCAGCGCAGGGGCTGCTGGGAAGACACTGTCGTCTGTGGGACTACCCTAGCCTCGCCGCTGTTTTCCCCAGGCTGCGTGAACGTATCCTTCAAGCCTGACATGCTGTCCCCTTCTCCCGCGGGCCTTTTTGCCGCTTTAGGGTGCTCCGCGTGGGCGCGACACGCAGCCTGGGTGCGAGCTAGGGACTCCACGTCCCCCACCCCCATGTTTCGGCGCAGCGGAGACCGGGAAGGCACTGTCAACCGTGCGGTGACTCTGACCCGCCGCTTTTTTCCCCGTGCTGCCTCATCGTCCGGTTTCAAGCCTGGCGTCCTGTTCCATTCTTTCAGAGGTTTTCTTGCCGCTTTGGGGTGCCTCCCCCGTGGGCACGACACATACCCTGGGTGCAAGCCAGGGACTACACGACTTCTCCGGGCGTGATGCAGAGGCTGCCATGAAGGCACAGTCCTCCGTGGAAAGTTTTTCCCGGTACTGCCTCAACGTCCCCTTTCGTTTCACTGGAGGCCTTCTTGCCACTTTGGGGCGCCCAGCGTGGGCGCAACACGCACATTAGCTGCAAGCCAGGGACTCCACGACCACCCCAAGCCCGGCGCAGGGTCTGCCGGGAAGGGACTGTCATCGGTGGGAGGACTGCGGCCCACCGCTTTTTTCCCCGTGCTGCCTCAATGTCCCCTTTCAAGCCTGGCATCATGTTCCCTTCCCCCACAAGCATTCTTGCCACTTTGGGGTTCCCCCGTGGGTGCGACACTCACCCTGGGTGCAAGCTAGGAACTCCATGACCGTCCCGGGCCAGGCACACGGGCTGGGGAAACGCACGGTTGTCTGTGGGAGTAAACCGGCCTGCTGCTTTTTCCCTCGTGCTTCCTCAACGTCCCCTTTCAAGCCTGGCGTCCTGTTTCGTTTTCCCGCAGGCCTACTTGCCGCTTTGGCGTGTCCCCACTAGATGCGACACGCACCCTGGGTGCAAGCCAGGGACTTCACGACTTCCCCTGGCGCGGTGTTGGGGGGGCTACTGAAAAGGCACTGTAGTGCGCGGGAAGTTTTTCCCCAGCGTGCCTCAACGTCGCCTTACAGGCCTGGCATCCTGTTTCCTTCCCCGTGGGCCTTCTGGCCGCTTTGGGGTGTCCCTCTTCGGCCAGACACCCATCCTGGGTGCAAGCCTGGGACTCCGCGACCACCCGGTCCCGGCGCAGGGGCTGATGTTAAGTAAGGCACTGTCGTTCATGGTAGGACCCCAGCCTCGCCGCTTCTTTCCTCGGACTAACTCAACGTCCCCCTTCAAGCTTGATGTGCTGTCCCTTTCCCCCCGCCCCGGGGGCCTTCTTGTCGCTTTGGGGAGCCCCAGTGGGCGAGACACGCACCCTGGGTGCAAGCCAGGGACTCCACCATTTTCCCGGGCCAGGTGCACGCGCTGCCGGGAAGGCACTGTTGTTCATGGGAAGACCCCAGCCTCTACGCTGCACCCAGGGAAGTCGTGGAGTCCCTGGCTTGCATCCAGGCTGAGTGTCGCGCCCACGGGGGGCACCCCAAAGCGGCAAAGAAGGCCTCCGGGGGAAGGAAGTTGGATGCCAGGCTTGTAAGGAGAGATCAACGGGGAAAAAAGCGGCGAAGCCAGGGACTCAATGACACAAGCAGGCCTGGAACAGGGGCTTCCGGGAAGGCCCTGCCGTCTGTGGGACAACCCCAGCCTCGCTGCTTTTATCCCCAGGCTGCCTCAACTTTCCCGTTCAGGCCTGATGTGCTGTCCCCTTCCCCGAGGTCCTTCTTGCAGCTTTGTGGTGCTACCCATGGGTGAGACACGCACCCTGGGTGCAAGCCAGGGACTCCACGACCCTCCTCCCGACACATACACCGTCCCGATGCAGGGGCTGCGAGAAAGGCACTGTCATCCATGGGACGCCCACGGCTCGCCGCTTTTTTCCTCATGCTGTCTGAACTTCCTCTTTCAAGCTTGGCATCCTGTTTCTTTCCACCTATGGCCTACTTGCCGCTTGGAGGCACCCCCCCACCCCCCCAACTGTGGACGAGTCACGCACCCTGGATGCAAGCCAGGGACTCTACGACTTCCCTGGTTCTGGCACAGAGGCTGCTGGGAAGGCTCTGTCCTCCGTGGGAAGTTTTTTCCTGGACTGCCTCAACGTCCCCTTTCAAGCCTTGCGTCCTGTTCCCTTCCCCTGGGGACCTTCTTGACGCTTTGGGGTGCCCCCCATGGGCAAGACACGTCCGCTGGGTGGCAGCAAGGTACTCCACGACCACCGGGCACTTGACTCGGGGGCTGCAGGAAAGGCACTATCGTCCGTGGGAGGACTCCAGCCTTACCACTTTTTTCCTCGGGCTGCCTCAATGTCCTCCTTCACGAAGACTGACATGCTCTCCCCTTCCTTCCGGGGCTTTCTTGACGTTTTGGGTTATCCCCGTGGGCGAGAAACGCACCCTGAGTGCACACCAGGTATCCACGGTCCCTCGGTTCCGGCGCAGAGGCTGCTGGGAAGACACTGTCGTCCGTGGGAGGATCCCTGCCCACCGCTTTTTCCCTGTGCTGCCTCAGAAGTCTTCTTTCAAGCCTGGCATCTTGTTCCCTTCCTTTAGGGGCTTTCGTGTTGCTTTGAGATGCCCCCTTGGGCGTGACCCGCAGCTGGGTGCAAGGCAGAAGCTCCACCACTCGCCTGGCCCGGAGCAGGGTCTGCCAGGAAGGCACTGTTGCCATGGGAAGTTTTTCCTTGTACTGTCTCAACGTCCCCTTTCAAGCCTGGAGCTCTGTTCCCGTCCCCCGGGGGTCTTCTTGCCGCTTTGAAGTGCCCCCCATAGGCCTGACACGGACCCTGGGTGCAAGACAGGGACTCCACGACCACCCCGGCCCCAACACAGGGGCTGCCAGGAAGGCACTGCCATCTGTTGAACGACCCCGGCCCGCCTTTTTTTTTTTTTTTCCGTGTTGCCTCAATGTCCCCTATTAAGATTGGCGTCCTGTTCCCTTCCCCCAGAGGCCTTCTTGCCACTTTGGGGTGTCCCCATGAGCACGGCATGCCCCCTGGGTGCAAGTCAAGGACTCCACGACTTCCCAAATCCCGGCCCAGGGTCGGCTGGACAGGCACTGTTTTCCGTGGGAAGTTTTTTCCCGGACTGCCTCATCTTCCCCTTTAAAGGCTGTCCCTCCTGTTCCTTTCCCTCGGGGGTTTTCTTGACGCTTTCTGGTGCCCCTCGTGGGGGTGACACGCACCCTGGGTGTAAGCCAGGGACTGCACGACCCCCGCGGTTTCTGTTCTTATTTATGGTAAAAGTAGGGAACTCTGCTTATGCACATCAACGGAATCATTATTATACGCAGACGATTTGGACGTCGAAGGAGAGAAACCTTGGTGAGGGGTAGGGGATAAAACAGGAGGGGGAAGGGAAGGAGGCACAGTAGTTCACTCTGGAGTGTTTTCTAGCCTGGGGTGAGTGGGGCGACACGGAGGGCAACTCAGGAAACAAGCTGATTCCAGAAAAGACACCGGGCATGATGGCGAGCGTCTGCAGTCCCAGCTACCCGGTGGAGGTGGGCGGGGGAGGCAGAAGAATCGCTTGAACCTCATTGGCTCACCTTTCGAATTACCAGCGAAGGCTTTCTCACCAAGTTTTTGTCACACTCTTTCCCCACCAGTTACCCCTTCCTGAAGATTCGCTCATGGACCCCTGGGGAAGATAGTGGTCTGCCTTATGACCAAAAGACTGGAAAATTTTGAGTGCTTTCTATCAGGGCCGTTGCCTGGCATGCATGCACTCACCCCCAAAGTCCCGCTGTTTATCCACCTTTCTCTCTGGGGCAAAAGGCCTCTCCGAGGCCGACACAACACGATAGTACACAGAATCTTACCGCACTCGCTCCTGCGTCGTGGGCGCACTTGGCAGAGTGAAACAAGGAACTTGGCGCTCAACAGAGGAGGCAGCATCTCTTATCGAGTGGGAGGGACCTGCCTCACTCATCCGCCTCGCCCCGCTCAACGACCTCTTCAGGATGCACTTGCAAACACCGTGGTGGCGGTTATACGAGAGGCCACTTGGGGTTGGCACAACCCGCCACCATTTTGTCTCGGGCAGTCTGGAGCACTCCTGGATCACCACAAAGGCCCTGGTCGTGTCAACCCTCTCGCATCCCAGAAAGGGCAGCATGATGTTTGGTAGGGACATGCCCCATGGCCCCGGAGAGGTGCAGTGTCCACCCGCAAGGCAACAACCACAGGAAGCCAGAGCAAAGGTGCCCGCTGTGTCAGAGGACCCCACCAATCTTCTTGAAGTCACGAGGCTCAAGGCGTGAGGGCAGCGAGGTCACCGCAAATTCCCTGCCCCATGCCTCCCAACACACTACCCGTGAGTGGGGAAGAGAGACAAGGGGCCCGACAAGCAGAAGAAGAAGAACTCTTCCATTAACTGTGTATTTCCATCCTTTGCTTCTCGTGGCTTACTCCCAGCCTGGGAGAGCGTAAAGTCACCACATCCATCGTGAAAAGCCCAATAATGGGCGGTGGTTGAGCTGGGGTCAGTCTTGAAGAAACTGATGAGCATAACAGCCCAGCCAGGCTCACTCCGGGATAGGGACAGCAGACAATTTAAGGTGGAATGCCTGACATTCACAGCGAAGAGCCAACAGAGTGGGGTTGTTCTGACCACCCTGTGCCCGCAGCCGGGAGCACACTGGTCACGGGAGCCCGAGCTGCCTTCCCTGCCAGGGTCAAAGGCCCAGAAACCTGGGGCACCACGGACAGTTATGACACTAGGATGCGTGAGAGCAGGCACACAGGTCCCAGCAATCAGCTAAAACTGGAACAGGGCCGGTTAGCTGGGTTACCAGTATACCAGAGCTTCACACGCATCTAGAGGCCCAATGTAATTGCCAGGCAGCGTGTCAGCAACAACCTGGTGGCCCAAAATGTCGACTCAGAGTGAAAGATATACCTTGCCTGGTGGAGGGGTGTCGAGTCAGTGACCACACCACCTGAGCAGAAACGCGTGACCTGGACATCTTTCCCAAAAAAAGGCCACCATGGCAGCCAGACACGGAACACCCAGGGCCCTCTGGTTGACCCCAGGACACACACAGGAGCAGCACTGGGCCAGGGACAAACTCCTGGTTACCCGTACAATGCAGGGGCTGGCCCATTTTTCCAGAGCTAGACTGGGAGTTATTTTTGGCTGGCCCCTAGCATGACTGGATCACATGAGGGACCAAAGCCTGGCCAGGTGCCACCTCTTGGACCACATGCATGCTCAGGGACCGCTCTCCAACTCTGCATGGGGACTTCAAAAAAAAGATCAGGGCAGAGGGACTAGGGCTTGGCAGGTGCATCAGACCTGCACTGGCCTGCCACTGGGCCGGGAAGGGCATCCCCAGCCACCAGCGCCATGCCCAATACGTCCTTGTGGATCTCGGGCCAAGCCTCAGGAGTTGTGGCATGCTGTTCGACCAGCCAGGGCAGCCCCACACTGCCCTGGGGCACGGAAGCACCGCGACAGCCTCCCCCAGCAAAGCCCTGGACTGCCAGCTCTGACTCACAAGTGACGCGCCAGAGTCCCAGATGGCAGGGCAGCCCATGACTGGGAAACCCAAACCATGAGTCGAAGTCTTTTTGAGGCCGAAAACGCAGCCCCTCCTCCCCAACTTCACAGAAACCGTTCTCCAAACGTGTCTCTGCATAGACTGCGACTGAGTCAAAAGACAACCCGTGGCGCATGAGAGTTTGAAGATGCATCTCGGACTGAGAAAGAAGAAATGGGACTTGGTTGCAGGTCGGTTAGGACACAGTAAGATACAGAATGAGGAGAGTCTTCTAGAATCCAGACAAAGACGGAGGAAGGGAGGGAGAGAGGGAATGGAGAAAAGAGACAGACGGAGGAAAGCAAGGAGGGAGGGAAGGGAGCAGCGAGGGAGGGCGGAAAGAAGGAAATGAGAACCAGAGAGAGAGAGGATTTTTAAAATCTAGACAAAGAAATATAAAGAAAGAGAGAGGCCGGGCGCGGTGGCTCACGCCTGTAATCCCAGCACTTTGGGAGGCAGGGGCGGGTGGATCACAAGGTGAGGAGATTGAGACCATCCTGGCTAACAAGGTGAAACCCCGTCTCTACTAAAAATACAAAAAAATTAGCCGGACGCCATGGCAGGCGCCTGTAGTCCCAGCTACCCTGGAGGCTGAAGCAGGAGAATGGCGTGAACCCGGGAGGTGGAGCTTGCAGTGAGTAGAGATCCCACCACGCATGCCACTGCACTCCAGCCTGGGCGACAGAGACTCCGTCAAAAAAAAAAAAAAAAAAAAAAAAAAAAAAGAGAAAGAGACATAGCAAGGGAAGAAAAATGAAAGAGATGAAGAAGGAGGAAATAAATGAAGGAAAGCCAGGCGGAAAAAACAGAGAGAGGAAAGAAAAAAGAAAGAAGAAAATGTAAAAGAACAAAAGACAGAGAAGAAGAATGAAAGAAAAAGAAAGAAAGAAAGAAAGAAAGAAAGAAAGAAAGAAAGAAAGAAAGGAAAGAAAGAAAGAAAGAAAACTGGAGAAATAAACTTTAAGAAAGAAATGAAAGGAGAAAGATAGATGAAAAAAACTAAAAAAATAGTAAAACTATTTTTCTAAAAAACTCTAAAAAACTCTAAAAAAATAGCCGAGGGCGGTGGGGGGCGGGGTGGGTGGGGGATCGGTGGCTATGATGCACTTTCCACTTTACCAATATGCTGGCTGGGGAAAGACAAATATTAAACATAACTTAACGGTAAAAACTGACTATGGCGGCTTAGCCAAGGTACTTGAGTTTCCCTAAGGAGGGAGGGAGAGAGGAAGAGGAAAGCTGCCGGCATGAAGGAGAGAAACCGAGGTGAGGGGGAGGGGACAAAACAGGACGGGGAAGGGAAGGAGGCACAGTAGTTCACTCTGGAATGTTTTCTAGCCTGGGGTGGGTGGGGGGACACGGAGGGCAACTCAGGAAACAAGCTGATTCTGGAAAAGACACCGAATTCATAGTGTTGCCATCCCTGCTTTGAAAGGTGTGAAGTGCATGCTGCTTCCTCCACACTCATTCAGTTAATCCTGAGAAATGTCTTTTAGTCCCAAACGCCTGACATCTACCTGCTTTCACAACATCTGGGGAGAATCAGAAAAGTCCCCACTAAAGAAAAGGCCTAGGGTGGAACTGCCGTCTGTAAAACCCAGGCAGAAGAGTCCACGCGGGTCAAACACACAAAGAATAGGAAGCAACTGATGAAGAAGATCAACAATCTGGCCCAGCCAGAATCTCCAGAGGTTTTCTAGGCAACGATGGAGGGGATGAACGGATGGAGGTAGGGCGGGCCTCTGAGGGTTGGGGTAGGACTGAGGGGAGCAGAGAGAAGACACACTCACCCCTTACCATGGGCGGGCGGCCACGGCATCCTGTGAGCCTCCTAGACTTCAAAAACGGTGACAGCTAGATGACACGAGACGACAACGGATGGAAGTGTCAGCCCGGCGCCCTTTCAGGAGCTCCCAACAACTAATCCACCACAGCCCTTGCGGGGGAAGAAGCACCATGGCTCGGGAAAACATGGAGAAACACATGTGCCTATGCACGTGCACACGCACACCATATCCCACAATATAGACACGTTTATACCGTGATAATGAGAGAGCCCATTTCTAGTGCAAAAGAAGCAGTCTGGGCTTGGCGGCCCAAGCCAGTAACCCCAGCACTTTGGGAGGCCAAGGCGGGAAGAACACCTGAGGTCAAGAGTTCCAAACCAGTCTGGTCAACATGGCAAAACCCCGTCTTTAAGAAAAACGCAAAAATTAGATGAGCATGGTGGTGGGCACCTGTAATCCCAGCTCCTCAGGAGGCTGAGGCAAGATACTCACTTGAACTCAGGAGGTGGAGGTTGCAGTGAGCTGAGATCTCACAACTGCACTCCAGCCTGGGCAACAGAGGAAGACTCCATCGCAAAAAAAAAAAAAATAATAATAAATAATAAATAAATAAATAAATAAATTGATTCCACCTTTAAATGTATGCACTGTTAAGATTACGCAGATAGCTTAGAAGGTATATAAGCTTTATACACATTTGTAATTTTGAGTCAATCTGGTGATATTATCAGGCCGTCTCCCTGTAAGTGGTCACAGAAATAAAAACTCCCTTTTTTTAGTTCATCTGTATGTCATTATCAGGTCGGGAGAATAAGCAGCCCCACCCTCAGTTTGGTCTGGGAACAATTACACTCCAGCCTGGGTGACAGAGGGAGATTTTGTCTCAGAAAAGAAACAAGAAAACCATTTTTTAAAAAATCGAAGATAATTAGCGGGGCATTGTGCTGTGCTGTGGCTCATTCCCATGCCTGTAGGCCCAGCTACTCTGGAGGCTGAGGCAGAGGAATATTGCTTTGAGCCTAGCAGTTCAAGGTCACAGTAAGCTATGGTCCTACCACTGCATTCCAGCCTCGGCGACACAGGAAGGCCCCGTTTCTAAAAAATACATGAATAAATGAATAGATGAATGTAAAAAAATGCAAGGAGGTGGCAGAGCACGGGAAGGCTTGACTCATTCCTAAACACTAGAGCAGAAAAACAGGACCATCCATGTGAGACATAAGCTATTCCAAATCACAGTGGAATAAGCAAGTGGAAGAGCAAGGCCCTGCCATTATCTGCAGATAACCATTCTTTCTATCCAGCTAGCCTCTGGCTATTAGTAGAAACCAAATGCCCAACCATGGGGCCACGAAGTTACCATGTGAGCTGAGCCGCTCATCACACACTGGGCGTAAGTGGGTGTGCACAGCAGCACTCCAGCATGACACAGAAATGCTGTGGACCTGATTGGGTCCGAACAGATCCTGAAGCACAAGTAAGTTCCATGAGAAAGTGGCCCAAATGCCCATGATGCCTAGTCAAGAAATGAGCCGAGTTAAGAAATTACACATAGCCGGGCGCAGTGGCTCATGCCTGTAATCTTATCACTTTGTGTTGGGGAAACCAGCCCTACACCAGCCAGCAGGTACCACGAGTCCAGCAGAGACAAAGGAGTTGTAAAGAGAAAAAAATAAATGTTTAAAAGGCGGGTCCAGGGGACCGGAGCATCTGAGGCTTGTTCACAGCCCAGAGCTCTCGAGCTCTGCTGAATTTGTTGGTTTACAAGCTCTTTGTTCTTAGGGCAGATGGGAGGGGTAGAAAGGGATAAGGTAGAGGATTAATCAGTGTCACTCAATAAGATGTGTAGCAGCAGTTTTTTGTGAATTTCCTTGAGCAAAGGCGTGTGTCTAAACTACTCAAGATCTTTAACTTATCAGGACTGAAATGGGTGTGAGTGGGTTTCAGGAGGAGCCAACACGTTTGGTTATACTCCACTGCTTCAAAGGAGGTATCTCCCTTGCCAACCTGTGGAATGCCTCTGAGCTGTTATGCTTTCAGGGCATAAAGACATGAAGGCAATAAGGAGATATTTCTCCTCAGAGGCCACCCATGGCTCCACATGGATGTCTCATACAGGGGAGACCAACCCATCTGGCACCCCAGAAACTCTCACACTTTGAGAGGCTGAGATGGGTGGATCACTTGAGGTCAGGAGTTTGAGACCAGCCTGGTGACCACAGCAAAACCCTGTCTCTACTAAAAATACAAAAATTAGTCAGGTGCAGTGATGCCAGCCAATAGTCCCTGCTACTCGGGAGGCTAAGGCAGGAAAATCGCTTGAACCTGGGAGGTAGAGTTTGCAGTGAGCCACAAGTGCACCACTGTGCTCCAGCCTGGGTGACACAGTGAGACTTTGTCTCAAAACCAACAAAAACTTAATTTAATTTAATTAAAAAAAGAAAGTACACGTAAAATTATACATAGCTGGGTGCAGTGGCTCACACCTGTAATCTCAGCAATTAGGGAGCCTGAGACAGGTGGATCAGTTTGTAGCATCATTGCTGCCTTGAAAGGACAGAGAAGTATGTTTATGTCACTGTTGGTTTTATTTTTTTTTCCTTTTTTACCGGAAACACTTACTTTTTATATTATTATTATTATTATCATTATTATTATTTTGGATAGGGAGTTTCGCTCTTGTTGCCCAGGCTGGAGAGTAACGGTGCAATGTTAGCTCACTGAAACCTCTGTCTCCCGGGTTCAAGTAATTCCCTTTCCTTGGCCTCCCGAGTAGCTGGGATTACAGGCAAGTGCCACTATGCCCAGCTAACTTGGTATTTTTAGTAGAGACAGGGTTTCTCCATGTTGGTCAGGCTAATCTCGAACGTCCAACGTCAGGAATGTCCGGTGATTCGCCTGCATCAGACTCCATAAATGCTAGGATTACAGGCATCAGCCACTGCATCTGGCCTCTTTTTTTTTTTTTTTTAAGATGGAGTCTCACTCTGTTGCCCAGGCTGGAATGTAGTGGTGCTATCTCAGCTCACTGCAAGCTTCATCTCACAGTTTCAATCAATTCTCCTGCCTCAGCCTCCCAAGTAGCTGGGATTACAGGCGCACACCACCATGCCTGGCTAATTTTTTGTATTTTTAGTAGAGATACGTTTTCACCACATCGGCCAGGCTGGACTTGAACTCCTGATCTCTTGATCCACCTGCCTCTGCCTCCCAAAGTGCTGGGATTACAGGCATGAGCCACAGTGCCCGGCATGTATATTCATTTTTTTAACTGATCAAAGAACAATCAGAACCACTCATCAGGGTGGCAATTCCCTTGGCAACAAGGGAGGGAGAAACTTGGAGGTGGGGGTGGGGGCAGTGGAGAAGACACAGCTGCCTTGGGCTGTGCCCAGGTGCCATGAGCTTTCTTCCTCCTTGAGGCCTCGGTTTTCAGAGTAACAATGGCTGCTAGGTGATGCCCATTAGGTGAATAGGGTGGCATATGCCAATGAGAGTGTCAGCCCGCAATGAATTGGCATCACCCGGAGTGGGGAAAGGAGGGGAAGGATGGAAGTCCCCACAGTACACTGGGTCACAGCACCCTCGCAGGCAGTCCCCATAACTAATCAACCAGGGCCCCTGGGGGGGGGACACAGCCTAAGTCCCCACCCATCAGATCATCTGGAACTTCCATCCAAATACCGACTGGAAATTCTCTCAGTCAAGCTCCAAACCTAAAAGAATCACTGCCACACCCACCAGGACTAACACAACTTTTAAAAGAATCATTTCTGTGTTTTAGGTGCATCCGTGTATTTCTGTACAACAAAATTATTTATTTTAAATGTTACTAGTTTTTTGCTTCTTACGTGTACAGTCTCATGATAGATAGACAAGGGGACTCTTCAGTCCAGAGTCCATGAGGCCAGAAGCTGACATCCTCAGTTCTTATTCAGAATGAATTTAAACAAGCCAGCCAAGCGCCCTGCCATGAAACTCCTGGAAAGACAAGCGATTAAGAAAAGAAAAGAAAAACAAAGTAAAAAACAAACAAACAAACAAAAAACAATGCCGTCAGGAGCAGTAGCTCATGCCTTTAATCCCCGCACTTTGGGAGCCTGAGAGCGGGTGGATTCCTTGATTCCAGGCAATCAAGACCAGCCTTGGCAACATGGTGAAACCTCATCTCTTCAAAAATACAAAAATTAGCTGGCTTCATAATTTGGACTCAAAATTAATAAATAAATAGTTTGAAATTTAAAATGTAAAAATATCTTAATTGCTGTATTCTGTTATTTTTGCATCCTATCGTGAGAAGGACATAATATAGGTATTATCTGTCTCTCTGTTTGCAACAGGGTCTCGCTCTGTCTGTAGCCCAGGATGGAGTGCAGTGACATCATCATGGCTCACTGCAGCCTCAACCACCCCAGGGTCAGGTGATTCTCCCACTTCAGCCTCCTGAGTAGCTAAGACCCCAGGCATGCACCTCAGGTTTTGGCTGTGTTGTCCAAGGCTTGTCTCGAGCTCCCAGGCTCAAGAGATCCTGCCGCCTTGGCCTCCCAAAGTGTTGGGGTTTCAGGCTTGAGTCGCCGCACCCAGCCTGACTTAATACATCTGGTCTCACTACGTCCTGACTACATGCCCTTGAAGAACTCAAGAGAGTTAGCAAGAGACTTTCAGCATTCTCTCCATAAACCAGTGAGGTGGATGGCGGCTGAGTGTCCTGGGCTCCTGTGGTTTTAGGTGGCCATGCGTAGAGGATAGATTTCAAATGTTTCCAGAGAGGTGGGAGCCACAGTCATTCGGGGCATCCAAGCTTGGGATACAGTTTCTGACAGCATCTTAAGGGCCAGGAAGGGCCAGGATCTGCCAAGGCTGGTGTTCCACGGTGGGGACAATGGAACCCAAGGTAGAGGGAGCCATCCATCCACACTGAGCTCCAGCCCTAGACCCCACCATGCAGATTAAGTCAGAAGGAACAGTCCTTCCTCCTACACGCCACATCCCTCCACTCAACTTGGGAGCAGATCTGTTTTCCAAACATGAGGTGACTCTCTGTTTGAAATGAATCACAAGGGGCCCAGCTTTCTTGAGTCGGCAGGATAAAGAAGTCATTCTGTGACATAGAATGAGATATGCCTCGAATCTAGACTCTCCAGTTAAAACCAATGATGGTGGCCAGGTGCAGTGCCTCATGACTGTCATCCCAGCACTTCGGGAGGTCAAGGCTGGCAGATCACGAAGTCAGGATTGTGAGATCAGCCTGGCCAATATGGTGAAATCCTGTATTTACTAAAAAAACAAAGGTTAGCTGGATAGGGTAGCACGCACCTGTAATTTCTGCTACTCGGGGGGCTGAGGCAGGAGAATCGCTGGAAGCAAGGAGGTGGAGATTGCAGCCAGCCGAGACCATGCCACCGCCTTGGCGACAGAAGGAGACACCATTTACCTAGAGGGATAAAAGAACAACAGGGTCCGCACCAGGATGGAAGTTCCCTAGGCAGTGAGGGAGAGAGGGAGGGGCCTCCAGAAGGGAAGGAGAGAAAGCAGTTGCCCCAGGCTCTGTGAAGTGGCCAGGCGGCCCTCAGTGCCACCTTTAAATAACAGTGGCCACTTTCAATAACAGTGGCCTTTCAATAACAGTGGTCACTAGGTGATGACCTACTTTTAAAAAAAGCAAAACAAAACATTTATTTTGAAAAATTGCAATTTAGGCTGGGCGCGGTGACTCACACCTGTTATCCCAGCACTTTGGGAGACTGAGGCAGGCAGATCCCTGAAGGTCAGCCTGGGCAACATGGTGAAACCCTGTCTCTACTAAAAAAACAAAAGTTAGGTGAGCAGGGTGGCATACACCTGTAATCCCAGCTACTCAGGAGGCTGTGGCAGGAGAATTGCTGGAACCAGGGAGGTGGAGATTGCAGCCAGCCAAAAAAACCCCACAGCCTGGGCTACAGAACAAGACTCTATTTAAAATAAATTAGTAAATAAATAAGTGAACGAATATATGTAAAAAGAAAAATGCAAGGAAATGGCGGAACTCGGGAAGGCTCCCCTCATTCCTAAAGACCAGAGCAGAAAAACAGGACCATCAAGTTCAGACACAGGCCATTTTGAATCTGTTGTCACCATGCTCAATTGGTGCCAAAGAAGGGTAGGCTTCTGTGCCACCCATCTGTCATCACCACCCTTGTCAAATATAATTGCAGGGTCACGACTGCACAGAGATCTCTCAACCCACTGAATGCATCCGTATTTTTATGAGCCCCGTTGGGAGAATAAACAGGATATTTAGAAAAGTACTCATCGTGCGTTATTTGGTCTCCCATGTCTCTTGTGAAACCAAACAAATTTATGGGCCATTTTTTTTTCTTTCCAGCACTTGACCATCCATACAGTACCTAAATAAAAGAAGAATGAATGCATTTTATGAAACAAGGAGAAAAACAACGAAGCGAAAGTCTCAGAGGCTTGTGATACACAGGGGTATACAGAATGAGGAGACTTCCAGAATCCAAACAAAGACAGACGGAGGGATGGGAGGAAACGAATTGAGAAAAGAGACACACAAAAAGATGAAGAAAAATAAATGCAAAGAAAAAGAGACAGAGATGTAAAGGGAAGAAAGATAAAGAAAATAGAAAGACAGAGAAACAGAAAAAGAGAATAAGAAATGACAGAAAGAAGGGAGGAAGAAAAAGAGAGAGAAGAAAGAGAAAGAAAAGAAAGAAAATGAAAGAAAGAAAGAGGAAGAAAAAAGAAAAATAAAGGAAATAAAAAAGAGAGAAGTGCATCAAGGTTTACACCTGTAATCCCAACACTTTGGGAGTTTGACATGGAAGAATTGTTTGAACCCACCATTTTGAGACCAGCCCTGACAATACAGTGAGACCATGCCTCTACTTAAATAAAATAAAATAAAATAAAATAAAATAAAATAAAATAAAATAAAATAAAATAAAATATAATAATGTTAGCCGGGCATGATGGCAGGCGCCTGTACTTTCAGCTCCTTTGGAGCCTGAGGTGGGAGCATCCCTTGGGCTCGGGAGGTGGAGGCTGCGTTGGGCCTTGGTCAGGTAATGCACTGCAGCGTGTTGTCCAGGCTGGTCTTGAACTCCTGAACTCTAGCCAACTGCCTGCCTCAGCCTCCGAAATTGCACCTGCCATATTCAACGGCCCTGGGGGTATCAGTGACAGACTTTAGTAAGCATGGTTGTTATGCCATATTGCCCAGGTTGGTCTTGAACTTGAACCCGGGAATTTGAGGCTACGGTGAGCCAAGGTCATGCCACTGTACTGCAGTCTGGGTGATAAAGCAAGACCCCATCTCTAAATATCTAATTAATAAAAACAATAACAATAATATAAACAATAATACAAATAAATAACAAACAACAGCAATAATAATAAACAAACTAGTGAGAGTGAAAAATATAAAAATAAAAAAGGTAATTTAGATCACAATTAATTGCAGTAATTTCAAGGAGTTATTTCTTTAACCTGTCTCTCTTACTTTCTGAAACAGGGTCTTTCTCTGTCACTCAGGCTGGAGGGCAATGGCGTGATCATGGCTCACTGCAGCTTCGACATCCCAGAATCAAGCTATTCCTGCAATCTCAGCCACTTGGAAGGCTGAGATGGCAAGAACACCTGCGGGAGCCCAGGAAGGTTGAGGCTGTGATGAGCCGAGAATGCAATCTCACACTCCAACTTTTCAAAAAAAAGAAAAGAAGAATTAGAAGGAGAAGAAGTAAACATAAAACAACAGCAACTTCAGTGTGTAGAAAGGG
Source organism: Homo sapiens (assembly GCF_000001405.40). Lineage (NCBI taxonomy): Eukaryota > Metazoa > Chordata > Mammalia > Primates > Hominidae > Homo > Homo sapiens. Next base: position 17,579,165 of record NC_000024.10, read on the forward strand.
GAGTAAGAAAAGTAAAAGGAAAAAGAAAAACAAAATGAAGAGCAGCTGAAAATACTGTGGAAACAGTTGGAGAGGAAGAAATGACGTGGTGAAAGAGCAGCCTCTAGTGGATGCAGGTGGTAGTGCTGCTGACCAGAGTTACCCGTTCTACCTTAACAATCCCAAGTTGACGGTCAAGTCCAGCGCTCGCCGATGACATCTTATGGACCCAGGGCTCGCGGAAGGACCCAGTTGGAACTTTATCACACCAAGCCGGCCCACCTTTGCTGCCATCTAACTCCGCCGACCTGCCCGCAGTTCCCCACTCTCCGCTGGTTGACCGGGGCAGCGGAGAGAGGAGGAAAGCACAAAGGCAGTGACTGGTTCATATCCCATCGCCGCGCGCCTGGGGTGGGGAGAGGGGCCGTGACCCCATCGGCCACCACTGGGCACGCGTGAACACTACTCGGACAGGAACCGCAGGGGCACACCCTCGGACAACCACTCCTGAGTCATTCTCACCAGGCTCGGTGAATCCAATCTCAGCCCCTGGAGGAGTTCCCAGCGGGGTGCGAGGAGGAGGTGGAATCGGAGAGGTGGAAGGAGGAGCAGGGGAGCCACCTCTACCTCAGCAACCCCTGGCGCGGCACCTTGGAAAGCCCGAGGGTGGGGACGTGAGCCTCCCAATGCACAGCGGGCGCCGATGAGCTCTCGCGAGAGACACCCACTGCGTGATCCGGGGCTCAGGGGTGGGTGGGCATGAGCGGGCCAGGGAAGAGGTTCTCGGGAACAGGAGAAAGGAAGGAAGGTATATGTCAAGGGCTGAATTACACAGGACACACCACATCACACACCACATCACCAGGTCCTCCGCACACGGGTGCAGAGAGCCTTGTGTGGAGGTCTGACTTTCAATAGATAGCAGCGAGGGAGCTGCTCTGCTCCATGGAAAACCCTGACCCAGAAGCAGGACGTCTGCGAATAGTTTAGCATCAGGTTCCCCACAAACACGTTATGTGATGGGTCAGGGGGTGACCGCCTTTCTGGCAGCAGCCCGTTTCCCAGGATGGGGGTTTCTCTGCACCGGATCCCGGTTTCCGGAGCACGGCAGGACATGCGCCCAGCGCGGGGCGGAGCGGCACACCGGAGGGGACTGCAGAAGACTGCCTACCCGAGGCCAACAAAGGTTCCGTGGCGCTGCCTTATCATTCCTCATGGGCGGGATTCTTAGAGTCCTTCAGTCCTAATCCCGCTTATAGTAGCTTTACCCCATTGGCTCCTCAGACAAGGACATACACCAAATGTCTGAACCTGTGATTTCTCTACTAATGAGCAGGATTACCATGGGAACAACACATGGGCAACAACACATGGGGAACACACGCAGTAAAACTAACCTGTCTCACATGGGTCTAACCATAATGCTTTCCAGGGCATGCGCACCGCTCTCAGGTGAATCCATTCCAGTCTGCCTTGTCCTTCGCAAAGAAAAGAGAGCTCTGCAGGGGCGGTGGCTCATGCCTGTAATCCCAGCAATTTGGGAGGTTGAGGAGGGCCGATCATCTGAGATCAGGAGTTCAAGATCAGCTTGGCCAACATAGTGAAACCCTGTCTCTATAAAAATACAAAAATTAGCCGGGCATGATGGCGGGTGCCTGTAATCCCAGCTACCCAGGAGGCTGAAGTGGGAGAATCGCTTGAACCCGGGGAGGCGGATGCCTCCCGCTTGAACCCGGCAGGCGCACATGCCACCATGCTGGGCTAATTTTTGTATTTTTAGTAGAAACAGGGTTTCACCATGTTGGCCAGGCTGGTTTTGAACTCCTGACCTCAAGCAATCTGCCTGCGTTAGCCTCCCAAAGTGTTGGGATTACAGGCGTGAGCCACCGCACCCAGCGTATGTGTATAGAGCTCCTCGAGAGGAAAGCCTCTATTATTACCATTGCAACAGTAGAAAAAGTAAAGCTTTTTTTTTTTCTTTTGAGTAAGAGTTTCACTCTTGTTGCCCAGAATGCAGTGCAATGGCCTGATCTCAGCTTACTGAAACCTCTGCCTCCCAGGTTCAAGCTATTCTCCGGCGTTGGCCTCTCAGGAAGGTGGGATTACAGGCATGTGCCACCACACCTGGCTAATTTTGTATTTTTAGGAGAGACAGAGTTTCACCATGTTGGTCAGGCTATTCTCGAACTCCTGACCTCAGGTGATACACCTGCCTCGGTCTCCCAAAATGCTGGGATCACAGGCATGAGCCACTGTGTCTAGCTTTTTTTTCTTTTCTTTTTTTTTGAAATAGTGTCTCCATCTATTTCCTAGGCTGGAACACAGGGACATAATCCTAGTTCACTGCAGCATCAAACTCCTAGAGCTCAAGCAATCCTCCAGTCTCAGCCTCCCAAGGGCTAGGATTATAGGTGCACGCCACTACACCTAGGTATTTTTTGTTTTTTGTTTTTTTTCTTTTTCTACACAAAAATGTCTCAACATGGATTTTTTTTTTTTCTTTTTTGGCAGAGATGCTGTCTCACTATGTTGCCCAGGGTGGTCTCAAACTCCCCGCCTCAAACCATCCTTCCACCTAAGCCTCTATAAGTGCTAGGATTACAGGCATGAGCCACTGAACCCAGCCCCAATAATTTTTATTTTATTTTATTTTATTTTATTTTATTTTTTTTTTGAGGCAGAGTCTTGCTCTGTCAACCAGGCTTGTGTGCAGTGGTGTACTCTCAGCTCACTGCAACCTCTGCCTCCCAGGTTCAAACAGTCCTCCTGCCTCAGCCTCTTGAGTAACTAGAATTACTCACGCATGCCACCACACCTGGCTAATTTTTTTTATTTTTAGTAGAGACGGGGTTTCACCATGTGGGCCAAGCTGGTCTCAAACTCCTGACCTCAAGTGATCCACCTGCCGTGGCCTCTCAAAGTGCTGGGATTATGGGTGTGAGCCACCACACGTGGCTCCCAAGAACTCTCTAAAGGCACCTAGTGTCACAAGAACAGATAGCTAAACTGTATCTGAAAAAGTGGCTCAAGTGGGGAAATTTTTGGCAGATTTGGGGAAACTTAGGGCAAATTTTAAACATGAGGCCTTTTGTCAGATCACCTACATTCTTTGGATTCAATGTGGGTTTGTCACAGATGCTTGGTGTGACAAATTGCATGGCTTCTACCACTTCATTTGATCAGCCTCCTATTGACTTTCAGCTAAGTGCTGCAGAATTGCTTCTCAGATTGTATCTTTCCGCAAGACAAAGCTATTTCACAGTCTCTAACTGTCCCATTTTGTGGCTGTTAATTTATACTTACATGTTTTTCAACTACTTATTCTGGTTTTCTGTTTATGAAAGCTTTAACCTGTGCTATTTTGAGGGAAATACTGATGCATATCTAAACTTTAAGAGTGTTTTTCACCCTGGCTGCAGACACTTGGTGAATAATTTTTCAGGTGATAGAAAAACCCATCATCATGAGAATGTAGCAACTTTTATTTTGCAGTAACTGTTAAAACTGTAGCTGTGGTGCTCAGTAAAATGGGACCTTTCCCTTGTAGGTGTTTGGGGAGGAGTGAAGTCCTGTCCTCCATTTTGTTAGTAACCTGCTTATGGGTGGGCCATTATCACCCAGAAAGGAAAGGGATACCATGGTATGCAGTTACACGGAGCTGCAGCAAGAGCAAAAAAAAGAAATTCCCTCATGTCTCCAATGCAGAGCTGGCATTTATACCTCTAACCCAGGCAGGGCCCACAAATCTCTGGCAGCTGTGAGCACCTGTTTTGTTTCTGCCTTCTTCCAGTTGGCAATTTTGGCTTTTGGGTTTTGGGTTTTTTTGTTTTTTTCTTTTTTGAGACAGAGTCTCACTCTGTTGCCCAGTCTGGAGTGTAGTGTAGTGATCTGGGCTCACTTCAAGCTCTGTCTCCCGGGTTCACGCCATTATCCTGCCTCAGCCTCCTAAGTAGCTGGGACTATAGGCACTCACCACCACGCCCAGCTAATTTTTTTTTTTTTTTTTTTTTTTGTATTTTTAGTAGAGACGGGATTTCACCATGTTAGCCAGGATGATCTCAATCTTCTGACCTCATGATCCACCTGCCTCAGCCTCCCAAAGTGTTGGGATTACAGGCGTGAGCCACTGCACCCAGCCTTTTTTTTTTTTTTTTTTAGACAGACTTTCACTTCGTCACCGGGCTGGAGTGCAGTGGTGTGATCTTGGCTCACTGCAGCCTCTGCCTCCTGGGTCCAAGTAATCCTCTTGTTTCAGCCTCCCAATTAGCTGGGATTAAGTTGCGCACCACCACAGACAGCTGATTTTTGTATTTTTAGTAGAGATGGGGTTTTGCCGTGCTGCCCAGGCTAATCTCGACTTCGTGATCTCAAGTGATCCGCCCACCTCAGCCCACCTCAAAGTGCTGTGACTACAGGTGTCAGTCACCTTGCCTGGTCTGTTGACAATATGGGGGGCATGTAAAATATCTGCAGCCCTTTAGCCAGTAAAACACAGAAGACTGTAGTATGTGGCTTCTCCATTCTCCCTCTTTCTCTGCTCTCCTAAATATTAAAGGGTTCTCCTTTTGCCAAGCCCAGTGGCAAAGCCTCAGGAAGGGTGGAGGTATCAGAAGCATCCAAAGGGATCCCATCAAGTAGCTCTAAGTCACTCTCATTCACCCCATTGGAAGTTCCTGCCATCCTGTATGCCCTGGAAGCTTCCTAATGCAGGCAGATAATATCCTTGGTGTGCTGTTAGTGTGGAGACTCCCTCATCTTTGCTCTTCTGCTTGAGAAAAAAAACTGACTGGTTACGGTGGCTCATGCCTGTAATCTCAACAATTTGGGAGGCCGAGGCAGGTGGATCACTTAAGGTCAGGAGTTCGAGACCAGCCTGACCAACATGGTGAAACCCCATCTCTACTAAAAATACAAAGGTTAGCCAGGCATGGTGGCAGATGCCTGTAATCCCAGCAACTCAAGAGGCTGAGGCAGAAGAATCACTCAAACCCGGGAGGCAGAGGTTGCCATGAGCCAAGATCACATCACTGCATTCCAGCCTGGGCAACAGAACAAGACTCTGCCTAAAAATATATAGAAATATAATATAACATACAAATATATTATATTTATATATATAAATTTTTAAATAAATGAATAGAATTCATCACCTAACTTCTAAAGCTACTTCTCTGGATGAAATTCTGGGCACTTAGGAGTCAGCAGTGGTATATTGAGTGTATGGCTCTTGCTCACAGGTGCTTCTTTTCTGTCCCATGGCAGGCAGCACAAAATGAAGGCTCCTGCAAAGCTAAGAGCTCCTTTTGCCCACGGATCAGGAGCAAAGTTTGCAGCTACACTGTCGGCTGTGTTTGGATGTTAGCAGTTAGTTTAGCTTTGCGTCTTCAGAACGATTGTTCTTAGCTACTTTAAAAAAAAAAAAAAGAAGAAAATGAAAGAAAAGAAAACTTAAAATGTTCTTCATTGATCATTCAGGAGCATACTGTTTAATTTCCATGTAATTGTACAATTTCAAAAGTTCGCCTTGTTGTTGACTTCTAGTTTTATTCCACTGTGGTCAGGAAAGATACTCAATATAATTTCAATAATTTTAAATTTGTTGAGACTTGTTTTGTGGCCTAACATATGGTAGAATAGACCAGAATAGGGAGAATATCTCTTGTGCTGATGAAGGAATGTGTTTTCTGCATCTGTTGGATGAAATGTTTTGTAAATATCTCTTTGTTAGCCTAAAATGTAGTTGCTTTTTTTGTTTTTCTTTGAGACAGAGTCTCTGCTGCCCAGGCTGGAGAGCAGTAGCATGATCTTGACTCAGTGCAACCTCCAGCTCCCACGTTCAAGCAATTCTCATGCCTCAGCCTCCCAAGTAGCTGGAATTACAGATGCCCGCCACCACACCCAGCTAATTTTTGTACTTTTAGTAGAGACAGTGTTTTACCATGTTGGCCACGCTGGTCTCAAAATACACAAAAAATATATATATTTTTTCCTTTCTTCCCCTCTTAATTGTTCATCCTTGTAATTTGGTGGATTTGTGTAGTGATAAAGTTTGATTCTTGTCTCTTTCTCCTTTGTGTATGTGTTCTACCGTTGAGTTTTATACTTTTTTTGTGTGTTTTCTTGATAGTAATTATCATTTCACTTGCAGATGTGGGACTCCCTTGAGAATTTCTTGTAAAGCTGGTCTAGTGGTGATGAATTCTGTCAGTTTTTGCTTGTCTGAGACATTTCAGGCCTTTAGCTTCAGGAACTGATTCTAGTTCCCTGTCCTGTGGCGACAAATAGAAACAGATCCCTGGTACCATTCTTAGGTACAAAGCCAGCTAGATATGAGCAGATAAGAAAATCAAATCCTTCTATTTTGCCAGGGATTAATTCATTCCCAGGATTGTAAATATTACATTTCACTTTTCATCTCACAGAACCGTGAGACTGGAAGTTGAGCTGGGCAGCCTGCCCAGCAAGACATTATGATGTATGCAACACAATGAACTACTAAAGAAGTGTCTTTAAAGGTATTTACAGCACATAGCTTTTTTTTCTTTTAATTTTGCTGCTCTTTATTTGCAGTAGCAGGTAAGGAATTAAGAAAGCAAAAATAAGTGCTTTGACTAGGTCTTTTGCCTTTGAAAGTAGCATTCGTAAAATCCCCTCTTCTTTTTTATTCGTATAAACTTCACCCAATTCAATCTGCCCCTCCCCCCAGCCCATCTGTGTTCACATGCTGTTCTTGCTGCTCTCAGTTTTTAAAAGCTTATTCCAAAATTACATGAAAGTAACCACATTTTGACAAAATCAGAATTCTGGTAGGAATGGCTTACCACAAGGCTGTTGAAAGACGCCCAGCAAAACTTTAGTACTTTTTATTTCAACCTCTCTCGGTTAAACCTACAATTTGGTAGTTGATATTATTACCTCCCTTTGGCAGGCCTGTGTCTCTGCCTTGGAGAAATAACAAAGTCCAAAGTAGTCTTCTCATTCAAAGATGTGGCAAATGAAGGCTGTTTTGATCTTTATGTATTAGCATTTGGGTTTTAATCTTTCTGGGGCTCCTGACAGACTATTCCTTTAAATTTATTATATAATTCTAAAATATTGGACACATTTGTTTCAAGCATCTGTCAATATCCTTACTATTTTCATTCCACTTCCCACTGCCCTCAATAGTCATTAGGTCCTACTGATTTTTATCTCCTAAGTATTTGTCAAATCTGTCTTCTCTGTATGTATTGTTCCTTATATAACTGCATCTCCATTGTCACTGTGCTGCTTTGGACTATCTTTTCTTGTCTAGATCAGTGCCTGAATTATATTATGAGCTTCGTAAAGTTGTATCAATGAATGAATGATTCATAATCTGGGCACTGCATTCTAACACTTAACTGAAAAAAAATCTTAGATCTATCTTCCATGTAAAAGCATATCTAAAATGCAAATCTTAATTTGATAATCTCCAGCTTAATAAAACTCTTAGATGGCTCCCAGACGTCCCCCAAACCATCTCTCATTTCACTGATCAAAAAAAATTTAAAATTTTAAAACTAAAAAAAAATTGAACACTTTATTGGTCAAAAAACAAAAACAAAAATGATCTCGGAGCGTACCTCACTCACACCCCACCCTGCTCTGTTCCCCTCTCCCACCCCCAGCCTACAGGGACCATCCAATAACCCCTTCTTTGCTACATAACCCTTACCCTCCTTCTTCAATACTCATACTTTCTCCTTAGAAACCTCCCCCCCACTTCCGGGCAACAGTAGATTCTTTCTTGCTTATGTTTTTTGTAATGACATCAGCCATTTAGAACTCATGATGTGCCTAGGCCCCACTATCTGCCTCTCCACAGATCTTGCTCAGACAATTCTTCAGGATTTAGTCACAGATCCAAAGTAAGGAGCTAGAAGGGAGCTTCAGGCTTGGTTTTTTTGGGTTGAAGCTAGAAAGCTAATCTATGTTGAATGCAAAACAAACCAAGTAATAGCCAACCTATACATCCTAGGAATATCGATTGCTTTTTATTTTTGCTCCCAGCCATTCTCTCCACAGGACTCTCTCCTTCTTTACATTTCTTTTAAACACAGTATATTAACACAACACTGTGTGAGAAATGGGATTCAGAAAACCAAGATACAGGTCTCCTTCCGCTATGCTATGAGTCAGCCATGAAAACTCTCTGGGCCTCACTGACTGAATTGTAATATCTGACTTTAATGAGGATTATATTCATTGAACTCTGAGGTCCTGTCCATTTCTTACACCCTGATGCAAAGACCGCAGAGAACTTCTAACCCAGATGTTTTTAACTAGGCTTCTTGTATGTCTGGGAAGATGATGAAAGAACTTCAAGGGGATCACGAGCTCCTTAAATTCTATCTAAAATCCAAGGCCAGGTGCCGTGCCTCACGCCTATAATCCCAGCACTTTGGGAGACCGAGATGGGTGGATTGCTTGAGCTCAGGAGTTCAAGACCAGCCTGGGAAATATGGTGAAACCCCTTATCTATTAAAATACAAAATAATCAGCCTAGTGTAGTGGTGCATGCCTGTAGTCCCAACTACTCAGGAGGTTGAGACACAAGAATTGCTTGAACCCTGGAGGTGGAGAACGTTGCAGTGAGCTGAGATCATGCCACTGCACTCCAGCCTGGGAGACAAACAGAAACTCTGTCCAAAAAATAAATAAATGAATGAATGAATGAATAAATAAATAAGTAAAATTAATTATATGTAAAATCCTATGTCAGATGGCTGCATCACCTTGGCCCACGGAGGGGGTTTTCTTTTCTTTTTTTCTCTTCCAAGGTAATGATAGTCTATAGCTCACTGCTGCCTTGGCCGCCTGGGCTCAAGCAGTCATCCCACCTCAGCCTCCTGAGTAGCTAGGATAAAAAGCACACTCCACCCTGCCCAGTGAATTAAAAAAAAAAAAAATGAAGCTGGGCACAGTGGTTCATGCCGTGAATCCCAGAATTTTGAGTGGCCAAGTCAAGAAGACTGATTGGGTCCAGGAGTTCAAGAAGCTGAGAAATATACAGACCCCATTTCTACTAGTAAAAAAATAAAAAATAAAAACATTAGTTGGGCCCAGTGGCATTCACCTGTAGTGCCAGCCACTTATGAGTCTGAGGCAGAGGATTACTTGAACTGAGCAGTTCAAGGCTGCATTGAGCTATGATTGTGGCTTTGGACTGAGCCTTGGTGACACCACAAGACTCTGTCAAAAAAAAAAAAAAAAAAAGAGGCTACAGGTAAGAAAGTACTTGGATAACACTAAAAAGTTAAACTCGTGACATTGGACCTTATGAAATGTGTGTTACCCAGAGCTGTTTATAGTATGATAGGTCCCTCCTAGATAGTATTCAAGGTTTAATACAGAAACAGAGCAAGACTCTGTTTCAGAAATAAAATAAAGTAAAATAGCTGGCCATCGTGGCTTGCACCTGCAGTACCAGCTGCTCAGGAGGTTGAGGCAGGAGGATGTCTTGAGCCCAGAGAGTTAGGGGCTACAGTGAGCTATGATCATGCCACTGTACTCCAGCCTACATGACAGAGGAAGACGCTGTCTCTAAAAAAAATGATAACAAAAGTAACTAAAAAAGAACTCTGGGCCCCACCTGAGAGATTCATATTCATTTGCTTTATCACAGGGTCATGGAACCTGTCCCAGTATCCTAAAAGCCGCCTCAGTGAGTTAACAAAAGTACTGGTATTGAAAGAGATGTCAACATGCTGTGACAAAGAGAAGTCTCCTCTGTGAGGCTGGGAAGTGGGGCCAAATGAGGTTTTTTTTTTTTTTTGAGGAGCTGATTTAGGACAACTAAAATGGTTGTCAGAGAGCACAAGAATCTAAGGAAGGCTTGAGACCATGAAACTGTGGTGGCCTCAGCTGGTGCTTCTGTGCGCTTTCTCCTCTCTCAGCATGGTGGAATCAGAAGCAGAGAAGGCAGATGGCGGGATGACTCAAAGTTCGGGTTTTATCAGAGAGGAGGAGTAGGAGGAGAGTGTGTAAGGCAGATCAAGGAGTGTTATTAAGGGGCTCAGGTCCTAGACCGTGGGCCTAGCAGGTAGGCCATGAGGGTCATGAGGGATGGGGAAGATGCATCGCAAAGGGCCCTGAGAACCAGGGGAATATGCAACACCAGGGGCCTGGCAGTTCCAGGAGAGTAGAAGGTCTAGCAAGAATGCCCATGCACCTGTGAAGGAGAGAAGCAAGGCTAGGAGGCTGCAGAGAGTGAATAATTTAGAGGTGAACTTTCTACTGGACAGCAAATCCCTCAATGCCATCCCAATGGAGAACTAAGATAAAAAATACTCTGCCGTGAAAATGCCTTACATGGTCATAATTATGAGTCGTAAAATTCCTTTTTCAGCTGAAAATGACCTGCAGCTTCATTTACCATTTTATGCTTTGGATGTCATGTTACATCTAGAAGCAATACCCTCTCCCATTGCAAGTCAAAGTAAAACTAGGAAATGTTCAGTGGAAAGGAAAAAAAAAAAAACACAGAAGACAAAAAAACAGCAATAAAATAAAGCTGCAAACCCAAAGCACTAGGAAAGGAAAGGGAAAAAAACCTTCAATATAGACAAGCTTTCATGTTGTGTGATCTGTGAAAATGTATAGAAATGCTTATCAGCTTAAGGAGATTTTGGGCTGAGACAATGGGGTTTTCTAGATATACAATCATGTCATCTGCAAACAGAGATAATTTGACTTCCTCTTTTCCGAATTAAATACCCTTTATTTCCTTCTCTTGCCTAATTGCCCTGGCCAGAACTTGCAACACTATGTTGAATAGGAGTGGTGAGAGAGGGAATCCCTGTCTTGTGCCAGTTTTCAAAGGGAATGCTTCCAGTTTTTGCCCATTCAGTAGGATATTGGCTGTGGGTTTGTCATAGATAGCTCTTATTAATTTGAGATCCATCCCATCAATACCAAATTTATTGAGAGATTTTAGCATGAAGCATTGTTGAATTTGGTCAAAGGCCTTTTCTGCATCTATTGAGATAATCACGTGGTTTTTGTCATTGGTTCTGTTTATATGCTGGATTACATTTATTGATTTGTGTATATTGAACCAGCCTTGCATCCCAGGGATGAAGCCCACTTGATCATGGGGGATAAGCTTTTTGATGGGCTGCTGGATTCAGTTTGCCAATATTTTAATGAAGATTTTTGCATCAATGTTCATCAAGGATATTGGTCTAAAATTCTCTTTTTTGGTTGTGTCTCTGCTCGGCTTTGGTATCAGGATGATGCTGGCCTCATAAAATGAGTTAGGGAGGATTCCTTCTTTTTCTATTGATTGGAATAGTTTCAGAAGGAAAGGTACCAATTCCTCCTTGTACCTCTAGTAGAATTTGGCTGTGAATCCATCTGGTCCTGGACTCTTTTTGGTTGGTAAGCTATTGATTATTGCCACAATTTCAGAGCCTGTTATTGGTCTATTCAGAGATTCAACTTCTTCCTGGTTTAGTCTCAGGATACAAAATCAATGTATACATCAATGTACAAAATCAATGTATAAAAATCACAAGCATTCTTATACACTAATAACAGACAAACAAAGAGCCAAATCATGAGTGAACTCCCATTCACAATTGCTTCAAAGAAAATAAAATACCTAGGAATCCAACTTCCAAGGGATGTGAAGGACCTCTTCAAGGAGAACTACAAACCACTGCTCAATGAAATAAAAGAGGATACAAACAAATGGAAGAACATTCCATGCTCATGGGAAGGAAGAATCAATATCCTGAAAATGGCCATACTGCCCAAGGTAATTTGTAGATTCAATGCCATCCCCATCAAGCTACCAGTGACTTTCTTCACAGAATTGGAAAAAATTACCTTAAAGTTCATATGGGACCAAAAAAGAGCCCGCATCACCAAGTCAATCCTAAGCCAGAAGAACAAAGCTCGATACATCACGCTACCTGACTTCAAACTCTACTACAAGGCTACAGTAACCAAAACAGCATGGTACTGGTACCAAAACAGAGATACAGATCAATGGAACAGAACAGAGCCCTCAGAAATAATGCCGTATATCTACAACTATCTGATCTTTGACAAACCTGAGAAAAATAAGCAATGGGGAAAGGATTCCCTATTTAATAAATGGTGCTGGGAAAATTGGCTAGCCATATGTAGAAAGCTGAAACTGCATCCCTTCTTTACACCTTATATGAAAATTAAATCAATATGGATTAAAGACTTAAACGTTAGACATAAAACCATAAAAACCCTAGAAGAAAACCTAGGCATTACTATTCAGGACATAGGCATGGGCAAGGACTTAATGTCTAAAACACCGAAAGCAATGGCAACAAAAGCCAAAATTGACAAATGGGATCTAATTAAACTAAAGAGCTTCTGCACAGCAAAAGAAACTACCATCAGCGTGAACAGGCAACCTACAAAATGGGAGAAAATTTTTGCAACCTACTCATCTGACAAAGGGCTAATACCCAGAATCTACAATGAACTCAAACAAATTTACAAGAAAAAAACAAACAACCCCATCAAAAACTGGGCGAAGGACATGAGCAGACACTTCTCAAAAGAAGACATTTATGCAGCCAAAAAACACATGAAAAAATGCTCACCATCACTGGACATCAGAGAAATGCAAATCAAAACCACAATGAGATACCATCTCACACCAGTTAGAATGGCAATCATGAAAAAGTCAGGAAACAACAGGTGCTGGAGAGGATGTGGAGAAATAGGAACAATTTTACACTGTTGGTGGGACTGTGAACTAGTTCAACCATTGTGGAAGTCAGTGTGGCGATTCCTCAGGGATCTAGAACTAGAAATACCATTTGACCCAGCCATCCCATTACTAGGTATATACCCAAAGGACCGTAAATCATGCTGCTATAAAGACACATGCACATGTGTGATTATTGTGGCACTATTCACAATAGCAAAGACTTGGAACCAACCCAAATGTCCAACAATGATAGACTGGATTAAGAAAATGTGGCACATATACACCATGGAATACTAGGCAGCCATAAAAAAATGATGAGTTCATGTCCTTTGTAGGGACATGGATGAAATTGGAAATCATCATTCTCAGTAAACTATCACAAGAACAAAAAACCAAACACTGCATATTCTCACTCATAGGTGGGAATTGAACAATGAGAACACAAGGACACAGGAAGGGGAACATCACACTCTGGGGACTGTGGTGGGGTGGGGGGGGGGGGGTGTGGGGAGGGATAGCATTAGGAGATATACCTAAAACTAAATGACGAGTTAATGGGTGCAGCACACCAGCATGGCACATGTATGCATATGTAACTAACCTGCACATTTTGCACATGTACCCTAAAACTTAAAGTATAATAATAAGAAGAAGAAAAAGAAAATGTATAGAATTGTTACCATACCAAAAAATTCCCAAAGTGCTTTACTTGCCAGCCACTGGAAGGAAGTAGAAATTCCCACTCAGGTTGTTACTTTTAATTGTCATTCCCTTTATGTTGTTTCCTAAAATACCAACAGGCATTCTAGAGATGATTTACCAAGATGGCTTAATGAGGTGTCAGATGAGTACCTGTACCCATGAGCCCCTTTACCTGAGGCCTCCTTATGCAAATTTGATGGACTCTTCTGAGCCCCACTAGATTAAAAAAACAGACATAATTGGAGCAGCTGGGCTGGAAGCACAGCTGGGCCATCCCCTTAAAGACCAGACTCTAGAACCACGTGCTCTTGCTTGCCCCAGGTTTCTCCCCACTGTTGATATTCATAGCTGCAGCCCACCTGGACCTGAGTCTTTTTCAGATGGTCTCCACATCAGTGCTTGTTAGCATTCATGTGCACACAGATCACCTGTGCAACTTGTGAAAATACAGATTCAGACTCAGTGGCTGGGGTGGAGACTCTGGATCAATGTGTCTAACAAGCCCCCGGGTGATGCATATGGTCGTCAGATGGTCCTAGTCCCACACTAGGAGGAGCTATTTAGAGCCTGTAAAATAGCTACTCCCCTATCCAGTGTTTGAGTCCCAGAATTCTGGATTCTGCCAGCACTCAGATGCTTCTGGGACATGATGCTTCCTGTTCATCTTGGGTCAACACGTCAGAAAGGATTTCCTATATTGAGCTGAGATCCGTCTACCTAGGACTCACATTCACATGGCCTACTTCTGGACCTTGGATTTTATGTAGCAGGCTTAAGGCCTTAGAAAGTGGCTGGAATGTCCCTCAAGTATTTTTTTCAGGCAAAACGTGCCAGGTCCTCTGGCTGTTATTTTTTAATTTTTTTTAGAGACTGGGTCTCATCATGTTTCCAGGCTGGTCTCAAATTCCTGGGCTTAAGTTATCCTCCTGCCTCACGCTCCCAAATTGCTGAGATTACAGGCATAAGCCACCATACCTGGTCTTGGCTAATCTTCTTATGCTATGGTTTGGTCATTCTGGTCATTTCTTTCTTTTCATTTTTATTAATTAATTTACTTATTTATTTATTTATTTTTTGAGATGGAGTTTCACTCTTGTTGCCCAGGCTGGAGTGCAATGGCATGATCTGGGCTCACTGCAACCTCCGCCTCCCAGATTCAAGCAATTCCCATGCCTCAGCCTCCCGAGTAGCCGGGATTACAGATGCCCAGAACCACCATTTTGTATTTTGGTAGAGACGGGGATTCACCATGTTGACCACGCTGGCCTCAAACTTCTGACTTCAGGCGATCCACCTGCCTCAGCCTCCAAAAGTGCTGTCATTACAGGCGTGAGTCACCACACCCAGCCATAGTCATTTCCTTCTGATCCTGCTCTGTGTGTCTTTAGGCCTCTCCTCTTGTGATATCTATGCTGCAAAAGTAGCTTGGAACTGTCACCACCTCTCACTTACAGACAGTCTTTATGTGACTCAGGTTGTACTTGCTGTCAGCCATCATCCTTAATGCCATTTTTACACATGCTGTGGATCAGCCACATTTCTTCCTAGTCAGTAAAAATTATAATAATTATACTTAACACTCATGAGAATTAGTATAGTAAGATGGTTAAGAACATAGGCTCTGGAATGAGACTGCCTAGTGGGAAGCACTGTGATTAGTACCATGTGTTATATATCACCATCATCATCATCATCATCATCATCATCTTCCATCACCATCACTATCACCACCATCATCATCACCATCACCATCACTATCACCACCATCAGCATCATCATCATCACCATCACCACCATCAAGATCATCACATCACCATCAACACCATCACCATCACCATCACCATCACTATCACTACCAGTATTACCATCACCATCATTACCATTGCTATAACCATCATACCAAAATCACCATCACCACCATCACCAACATCATCACCATAACCAATCATCACCATCATTTCCACCACCATCATTACCATAATGACGATCACCATCACCACCATCACCATCACCACCATCATCACTGTCACCACCATCATCATCACCATCACTGTAACCACCACATCATCATACCATCACCATCATCACTATCATCACCATCATCACCACCACCATCATCACCATCACCATAATCACCAGCACCATCACCATCACCCATCACCATCACCACCATCATCTTCATCACCACCTTCATACCATCACCATTATCACCACCACCACCACCACCATCATCATCACCATAAGTAAGCACTTTGCCTACATTAACTGATTTAATTCTCATAATAACGTCATAATGTTTTACAAGTGAGGAAGTGGGACTTCACAAGATTATGTTTTGTGCTGAGGGTAACATTGACAAGAATCTAAACCTTGGCAGGGTCCTTTGGTTGATTTTGTTTATGTTGTTGAGCAAAGTGCAAGATGGTATCTGTTCCTGCTATTCATAAATTTCATCTTTTAGTCAGCACTTTACCCTTATTTTACACTATCTTTTGGATTCCTGGTTCTGTCATCTCAAATGTTCCTGCTTCTAGCTTCATGCTCTCTGTCATATTGTAAGAAAAATATGTATCTTCACCTAGATCATACACAAGGTCAGAGGCCATGTGGCAACTCCTACAGATTCTGCTCACTGAGGCCAGATGGTGCACATCTCCTGAAGCTCCCTGAGCCTGCAGTCATGTAACCCACTCAGAGAAGCCTAGGGAGTGTTCAGGCATGATTTGTATTTGAACATTGCATTTGGTTCCTGGGAAACATATTTCCTCCCTGCTTTCAGGCCTCCATTCCAGAATATTTTCCAAGATGGACAGCTCCCTCCAAATTTATGTTTGCTGAAATCAATCCTCTGGGCAGGGCCAGATGTGAGGTACAAATAGAAAGCAGGGTCTGCAGAACACACATCCCAGAGGAGATAATGACCAGTTGATCTCTGTGAATAGTTAAATCTAGAAGACTATCTGTGGGCTTCAGGGCTCCCTGCCTCTGAATCCAGCAGTGCAAATGCAAGCCTCTATGGTCCCCCTAAACCATAGGTGGCTGAGTAGCCATGGGGTTGCCAGCATTTCTATAAAGGAAGAGCTCAGGGCAGCAATCTCATCAGAGGGGAGGCTGGGGCTGGCCTTGAATGTAAATTGTATGTATATTTGGGGCAATTTGCAAGGAGGGGGTGCCCTGTAAGAGATTACATGAGCTAAATTCCTCACATAAACCCATTTTGTGCCACTGCTGCTGTGCCAACTGACCAGAAAGCCTGGACTGATTTCTCCCCTCTCTCCTTTCCTTGTTGTGTTCTCTGACCCTGGGTGATTAATGTAACCTAGCTATGTTCAATTACCCATCCTTGTCACAATGTCAGGATGTCTGCCTCCTGTCCCTGGTGCTCTTCTTGGATTCCTGTGAGCCATGACAATGGGAGCCTCGCGAATTTGGAGGAGAGTAGTGGGCCCTGGGTCTGCCATCAGTCTGGGCTCCCTAATCACACGATTGTCACTGGAGCCTGCCTGAGCTCTGAAGTTCCAAAACAAGCTTGCAGGGAACATTCTTCCATCCCAATATATTTCCGTCATGAAATCGTCAAGCAAACCCTGAATGCTTTCTGTTGGTGCGGTCAGGGAGAAGTGCTGTCCCTCTAATACTAGAGCAGTCAGTGGCCATTTGCTGACTGAGACTAACAGCAGATCTAGAATGATTTGGAGAAGGCTGTCTTTGATCTCTTAGAACTGCATGTGGCCCTAGCAGTGTGCATGTTTTTGGGACAGTGGTTCCCCCACAAGCCATGAAAACTGAAGGGACAGGTGGGGGAGCTCCAGCCAGTAATGGGAAGTGTCTCAAACGTTAGCGAAGTTGTTGTGGGAAGTCAGGGACCCCAAATGGAGGGACCAGCTGAAGCCATGGCAGAAGAACACAGATTGTGAAGATTTCATGGACATTTATTAGTTCCCCAAATTAATACTTTTGTAATTTCTTATACCTGTCTTTACTGCAGTCTCTAAACATAAATTGTAAAGATTTCATGGACACTTATCACTTCCCCAATCAATACCCTTGTGATTTCCTATGCCTGTCATTATTTTAATCGCTTAATCCTGTCAGCTGAGGAGGATGTATATCACCTCAGGACCCTGTAATAATTGCATTAACTGCACAAATTGTACAGCATGTGTGTTTGAGCAATATGAAATTTGGGCACCTTGAAAAAAAGAACAGGATAAGAGCAATGTTCGGTGAGCCGGGTGGAACAGAGCCATATTTCTCTTCTTTCAAAGGCAAATGGGAGAAATAACACTGAATTCTTTTTCTCAGCAAGGAATATCCCTGAGAAAGAGAATGCGAACCTGGGGGTGGGTCTCTGAACTGGCCCCCCAGGCGTGGACATCTCTTATGGTCGAGACTGCAGGGAAAAAAATAGACCCCAGTCTCCCATAGTGCTCCCAGGCTCATTAGGAAGAGGAAATTCCTGCCTAATAAATTTTGGTCAGACCGGTTGATCTCAAAATCCTGTCTCCTGATAAGATGTTATCAATGACAATGGTGCCCGAATCTTCATTAGCTATTTTAATTTTGCCCCGGTCATGTGGTCCTGTGATCTCACCCTGCCTCCTACTTGCCTTGTGATATTCTATTACCTTGTAAAGTACTTGATTTCTGTGACCCACACCTATTCGCACACTCCCTCCCCTTTTGAAATTCCCTTATAAAAACTTGCTGGTTTTTGTGGCTTGTGGGATATCACAGAACCTACTGACATGTGATGTCTTCCCTGGATGCCCAGCTTTAAAATTTATTTTGTACTCTGTCCCTTTATTTCTCAAGCTGGATGAAACTTAAGGAAAATAGAAAAGAACCTACGTGAATATCAGGGCAGATTCCTCGATATGAAGTGATCTTGAATCTCTGATATACAGGGGCTGATATGGACACATTATTCTCAAGAAAACAATGGTTTAGGGCATGGTCTCAAGCTCTATCTAGGTTGAAATTTTGTCTGGCGTGTTGGCTCACATTTGTAATCCCAGTACTTTGGGAGGCCAAGGAAGGAGGATCGCTTAAGCTCAGAAGTTTGAGACCAGTCTGAGCAACATAGCAAGACACTATCTCTACAAAAAATTTAAAAATTAGTTGGGCATGGCGGCACTTACCTGTAGTCCCAAATACTGAGAAGGCTGAGGCAAAAGGATCACCTGATCCCAGGAGGTTGAGGTTGTGATGAGCTGTGATCATGCCACAGCACTCCAGCCTGGGTAACAGAGTAAGACCCTGCCTCAAAAAAAAAAAAAAAAAAAAAAAAAAAAATTACCAGCTCTATGATCTAGCACAATTTATTTGAGTTTTGCAGGCCTCAAAGATAATAATTGGACTTACCTTATTGGTTATGACAACTAAAAAAATAATACATGAAAAGTGCTTAAAACAGTTCCTGGCATTTAGTAAGAGCTTTGTAAGTATTAACTATTATTAGTACCATAATCATCTTTATTGCCACTATTTACTGGGTGTTTAATATGTACCAGACATGTTTAAGCACATACAGTACATTCATTATTAGCTTATTGAACGTCACTTTCTTTGACTGTTTGTTAGATTTTGCGGGGGGCGGGGGTTGTTGTTTTTTGAGATGGAGTCTCAATCTGTCACTCAGACAGGTATGCAGTGGTGTGATCTCAGCTCACTGCAGCACAGGTTCAAGCAGTTTTCCTTGTTCAGCCTCCCAAGTAGCTAGGACTACAGGTGTATGCCACCACACCTGGCTAATTTTTGTATTTTTAGTAGAGACAGGGTTTCACCATGTTGAACAGGCTGGTCTTTAACTCCTGACCTTAAATGATCAGCACACTTCAACCTCCCAAAGTGCTGGGATTACAGGCTTGAGACATTGTGCCTGGCTGAACTACACTTTGAAGTAGGGGTTAACCCCTTTGCTTCAGTTGAGGAAACTAAAAATGGGAGAGTTTAGTAACCTGCACAAAGTTAAACCTGCAAGTAATTGGAGTCAAAATCTGAATCAAGGGTTTTTTGTTAATTTTTTGTTTTGGAGACAGGACCTTGCCATGTTGCCCAGGCTGGAGTGCAGTGGTGCAATCACAACTCCCTTTAGCTTCAACCTCCTGGGCTCAAGTGATCCTCCTACCTCAGCCTCCTGAGTATCTGGGACAAGAAGCATGCACCAACACACCTGGCTAATTTTTTTTTAATAAAAAATAAAACAGGGTTTCATTATGTTGTCCTGGCTGGTCTCGAACTCCTGAGTTCAAGTGATCTGCCACCCACCTTGGCCTCCCAAAGTGCTGGGATTACCGGCATGAGCCACCATGTCTGGCATGGAATTGAGTTTTCCTAACTCCAGAGTTATGTTGTTATTGCCCTCTGCTATTGTCCATAGTAACAGCCATATTAATGAGTACTTCCCATTTGCTGAGTAGGGTGCTGAGCACTTTACATATCTCATTTCATTTAATGTTCACAATAATCCTATGAGGTAGATTCTCTTGTTAGTCCCATTTTACAGATGAGGTAACCAAGGTTCAGAGAAGCTAAGCAGCCTCCACAAATTTATACAGTGAAGAAAGCCAGCATTTAAATCCAGGCCTGCCTGACTCTAAAATCGGTTCTACTGAGTTTGGCTGGCAAACAGGTAAGCAGTATGCTCCCAGGAGGATGGTAACAGTGATTGGTGATCCATGACATCTGGGATCCACTGAAACTCGGGGCTAGAGTTTGCCTAATCAGCCCTATTTTCTGAGCTATCGTTAGGGACAATTTTCATTTTTTTCAGATGCTTCATTTCCTTGCAGCTTCTGAAAGCTGCTGATTTGCTCAGATTAAGACCAGCTTCTGTGCCTTTCACATCTCAGATTGTTGTGTACGTGCTCAAGTGTATGGATGAATCATAAACAGTCCAGGAGGCCCTGGGGTACTATGCAAAGTTTTTGCCACATTGCTGTGGGAGGAATCTGTCTTTCTTGACTGAACACTTAAGGTTACGTGACTGCAAGATTCCAAATGTGCATTTCAACATCAGGTTGTGATGGGGCAACTTGTTTTGTGATGAATAGCACTATAGTAGAACATATTCTATAGACAAGGGATTCTTGGGCAGGGATGCATGGTGGGGCTTCAGAGGCTCTGGGAACATTCTGTATATGTGTGTGCATTTTACTGGAGAGAGAGCTCCTAATTTTTATAATATTCTCAAAGGACTTCATGACTCAAAAAAATCATTAAAAAGCCATTGTTCTCTGGCCAGGTGCAGTGGCTCTGACTGTAATCCCAGCACTTTGGGAGGCCGAGAAGGGCCGTTCACGTGAGACCAGACTGGCCTAAATAGTGAAACCCCATCTGCACTAAAAATACAATTTGCTGCATGTGGCTGCACATGCCTGTAATCCCAGCTACTCATGGGGCTGAGGCAGGAGAATAGCTGGAACTCGGGAGGTGGAGGTTGCAGTGAGCAGAGTTCAGGGCTCCCATCTGCTTTTGCAGAATCAGAAACTGTGATCACTGCAAGGGTTGAGGGGAGGGTGCAGGGGACCGAAGCGGGAGAGCCTAAGGCTGGAGGGACAATAGCTCACCCTGGAATGTTTTCAAATTTGGTGGAGATGACTCAGGAAACAAGTTGACTCTGAAAATGTCAACCATCATTCAGTGTTATTGTGTCTTTGAAAGGTGGGCGTTTCCTGGTTTTTCCTCCACACTCATCAGTATACTTCTAGGAAGTGCCACTTAGTTTCATACAATTTACATGTACCTAGTTTTGCTGCATCTGGAGAGATTCAGGGCAGTTCCTGTTAATGAGAAGTCCCAGGGTGGAGCTACAATGCACTCTCCATTGTGAACCCTAATAACTTGAGACAGGTCTCAGTGAATTTAGAAAGTATATTTGGCCAAGTTTGGGGACACATGCCTGTGACACAGTTTCAGGAGGTTCTGAGGACGTGTGCCTAAGGTCATCAGAACAGTTTGGTTTTATACATTCTAGGAACACAGGAGACATCAATCAATGTGTGCAAGATTAACATTGGTTTGGTCTGCAAAGGCAGGACAATTTGAAGCAAAAGCAGGAATTCTCAAAGTGAGGAGGGGACTTCTGGGTCATACGTAGTTGAGAAACAAATGGTTTCAATGACAAAATACTTATGATTGACTGCAGAACTGGAGGCAAAATCTTCATATTTATATTAGTTCTCCTTGTTCATACTATATCTTTTGGAGGGATTTCAAAAGGCTCAGATGCGCATTGCACATGTGGAAGATTTGTATCAGAGCCGAGCAAACTCAAGATTAAGAAACCTCAATCTTTTAGAAGTAGGTTACATGCAAACCTGTCCAACATTTGTCTCAGAGAGAAAACTGTCTTTTTTATATTGGATGAGTAATTTATCTGCCATTCACCTGAAAAGAAAAATTACTACCGTTTTCCCAGGCTATTTCTGTACAAAAATCTTTGAAAAATAACCTGGAAAAGGAGAGATATGTGACATAAAAATAGCAAAACAACAAACTCTAAAAGACTACTGGAGAATTATATCTCAGCAGCATGAATCCTTTCCATTAAATATTACACTAAGCAATCTTCTGATGTAAAAGATCCATTGAAGATTTTCAACATGAAGACTAACTTTGGTTGTTTTGTGTTGTGAGAATGTTAAAGATTGTAAGAGACAGGAATAAATACCATTACCAAAGACTTTAGGGACATTAGAGAAAGGAAAGTTGTTGGATATTTTTCTTTTTCCTTTCCTTTTTTTTTTTTTTTTTGAGATGGAGTTTCTCTGTCTCCTAGGCTGGAGTGCAATGGCACGATCTCAGCTCACTGCAACTTCAACTTCCACAGTTCAGCTGATTCTCCTGTATCATAGCTGGGACTACAGGCTCCTGCCACCCTGCCCAGCTAATTTTTGTTTTTTTTTTTCAGTAAAGACAGAGTTTCACCATGTTGGCGAGCCTTGTCTGAAACTCCTGATAGCAGGTGATCCACCTGCATTGGCCTCCCAAAATGCAGGGATTACTGGCATAAACCACTGCGCCACATACCAGAAATGAAAGTTCTATCTGTGAAGTGATGTAATTCTGGCTGGGTGAATGACAGGTGAGAAGAAATGAAAATAAAACACAATTGAACATATTTAGAATACAGTGAAATTAGTTGGCTTATTGGAAATAGTTAAATGACTACCAATGTAAATAGCATATTTATTGTGAATGAATTGCTAATCTAGATTTGAGAGATAAAATCATTATTTTTACAACACAGAAACATAAACTGCATTTCCATATACCAACAATAAATTTGAGAGTAAATTAAGAAAACAATTGTTTGCAACAACATTGAAATAACATAATGCTCAGCAATAAATTTAATAAGGAGGTACAAAACTTGTACAATGAAAAATACAAGATAAGAATATATATGAAATAAACTAAGAAATACTTAAATAAGTGGCAAGGAATTCCATGTTTATGGACTGGAAGCCTTAATAAAGTTAAAATGACAATATTAGCCAAAGTAGTGTACAGAGTATTGTAATCCCAATTTTTTATTTTTTCCAACTTTTCTTCTGCACAAACAGAATAGCCCATTCTAAAATTCATATGAAATTTGAAGGTGCTCTGAATATCCAAAATAATCTTGAAAAACAGAACAAAGCTAGGTGGCTCACATTTTAAACTTCAGAACATAAAAAGCTACTGTAATTAAAAGTTTGACACTGGCATAAAAGCAATGATAGAGATAAAATTAATAAATAGATAACTCTGAAAAAAATACCTTGCATAAATTGTTAATTGTCTTTTGACAAGGGTGCCTAAACCATTATGTAAAGGAAATGACAGTTTGTTCAACAAGTGATGCTGGGAAAACAAGTCCAAGTTTAAACCAGTAAGTTTAAATCTTTTCCACATTCCATGTAAAAAAATTAAACAAAAATAGATTCAAGACATAAAAACAACTGTTAAAACTTTAGTGGTTTCTGATAGTTGTTGTTATTTATGTGAGGTCAGTACTACCATGAACAACTTTATACACACAATGTGTAAAACTTAGAAGAGATAGGTGCATTCCTAGACACACACACACCCTCCCAAGACTAAGCTAGGAAGACACTGGTTTCCTAAATGGACCAATAACAAGTTTTGAAATTGAATCAGTAATACATAGCTTGTAAATCAAAAAAAGCCCTGGACCTTATGAATTTCCAGCCAAATTCTACCAAATGTACAGAGAAGAGCTGGTACAATTCCTACAGAAACCATCCCAAAAAAGGAGGAGAATTTCCTCCCCAACTCATTCTATGAGGCCAGCATTATCTTGACATGAAAACCTGACAGAGACACAAGTATAGAAAACTTTAGGCCAACGTTCTTGATGAACATCAACACAAAAGGTCTGAACAAAATATTTGTAAACTGAATCCAGCAGCACATCAAAAAGATAGTCATCATGGTCAAGTAGGCTGCCTTTCTAAGATGCAAGGTTGGTTCAGCATATGCAAATCAGTAAACGTAATGCATCACATAGACAGTATTAAAAAGAAAACATGATTATCTCAATATATGCAGGAAATAATAAGAGCCACCTATAACAAACCCACAGCCAACATTCTGCTGAATGGGCAAAAGCTGGGAGCATTCCCTTTGAAAACCAGTACAAGGCAAGAATGCCCTCTCTCACCATTTCTATTCAACATAGTATTGGAAGTCCTGACCAGAACAATCAGGCAACATAAAAAAAGTAAAGAGCATCCAAATAGGAAAAGAGAAAGTCAAACTATCTCTGTTTGCAGATAATAGGATTCTATATCTAGAAAACCCTGTAGTTACAACTCTAAAACTTCTTTAGTCAATAAACAACTTCAGCAAAGTTTCAAGATGCAAAATCAATGTGCAAAAATCACTAGCATTTCTCTCCACCAAAGATAGCAACCCTGACGCAAAATCAGAAAGGCCATCCCATTCACAACTGCCACAAAAATAATAAAATATCAAGGAATACAACTAACCAGGGAGGTGAAAGAGCTCTACAATGAGAATTGCAAAACACTGCTTGGAGAAATCAGAGAAGACACAAACAAAAGGAAAAACATCCCATGTTCATGGATAGGAAGATCCAATATGACTCAAATGGCTATACTGGACAAAGTAATTTACAGATTCAATGTTATTCCTTTCAAATTACCAATGAAATTATTTACAGAGCTAGACAAAACTATTTTAAAATTCATATAAAACCAAAAGACTGGGAGTGCTGCCTCACGCCTGTAATCCCAGCACTTTGGGAGGCCGAGGCAGGCGGATCATGACATCAGATTGAGACCATCCTGGCTAACACAGTGAAACTCCGTCTCTACTAAAAATACAAAAAATTACTGGGTATAGTGGTGGGCACCTGTAGTCCCAGTGACTCAGGAGGCTGAGGCAGGAAAATGGCATGAACCCAGGAGGTGGAGCTTGCAGTGAGCTGAGATCCTGAAATTCCACTCCAGCCTGGGCAACAGAGTAAGACTCTGTGGGAAAAAAACAAAACAAAACAGAACAAAAAAACCAGCACAAATAGATGAGGCAATTTTAAGCAAAAAGAGCAAAGCTGGAGGTATCACGTTACCTGACTTCAAACTACTCTACAAGGCTACAGGAACCAAAGCCGCATGATACTGATACAAATACAGGCACATAGAGAAATGGAACTGAATAGAGAACCCAGAAATAAGGCTGCACATCTGTGACCATGTGATAATCGACAAAGCTGACCAAAACAAGCAATAAGAAAAAGATTTCTTATTCAATAAACTGTGCTTTGATAACTGGTTAGCCATATGTGGAAGACTGAAGCCAGACCCCTTCTTTACACCATATACAATAAATAAAAAATGAATAAATAAATAAATAAATAAATAAATAAATAAATAAATTCAAGATTGATTGAAGACTTAAATATAAAACTGAAAAGTATAAAACCCCAGACGACAATCCAGGCAATACAATCCTGGATACAGGAACGTGCTAAGATTTCATGACAAAAACACCAAAAGCAATAGTAAGAAAAGCAAACATTGACAAGTAAGATCTAATTAAACTACAGAGCTTTTGCATAGCAGAAAATAAAACTATCAATGGAGTAAACAGAGAACCTAGTGAGTGGAAGAAAGCATTTGCAAGTTACACATCTGAAAAAGATCTACTATCTCAGCATCTATAAGGAATTTAAATTTACAATAAAAGAAACCTCATTAAAAAGTGGGCAAAGGACCTGAATAGACACTTTTCAAAAGAAGACAAACATATCGCCAACAAGTGTATTAAAAAAACCTCAGCATCACCGATCATTAGAGAAATGAAAATTAAAACCACAGTGAGACGGCCAGGTTCGGTGGCTCATGCCTGCAATCCCAGCACTTTGGAAGACTGAGGCAGGCAGATCACGAGGTCAAGAGATTGAGACCATCTTGACCAACATGGTGAATCCCTATCTCTACTAAAAATACAAAAATTAGTTGGGTGTGGTGGCATGCGCCTGTTGTCCCAGCTGTTCAGAAGGCTGAGGCAAGAGACTCGCTTGAACCTAGGAAACAGAGGTTGCAGTGAGCTGAGATCATGCCACTGCACTCCAGCCTGGTCACAGAGTGAGACTCCATCCCAAAAAAGAAAAAAAGAAAGAAAGAAAGAAACCACAATGAGATGTCATCTCACACTAGTCAGAATGGCTATAGTTAAAGGGTCAAACAATAAATGTGGGCAAGGTTGTAGAGAAAAGGGAACTTATACACTGTTGGTGCAAGTGTAAATTAGTTCAACCATTATGGAAAGCAGCTTGGCAATTCCTCAAAGAGCTAACAGCAGAACTTCCATTCAATAGTCCTGCTTGCAATCCCATTGCTGCGTATATTCCCAAAGAAATAGAAATTATCCCACCATAAAGACACCTACATGTAAATGTTCATTGCAGCTGTATTCACAATAGCAAAGATGGAATCAATCCAAATACTATCAGTAACAGATTAGATTAAGAAAATGCACCACATACATGTTATGGAATACTAAGCAGCCATAAAACAAAGAGATTATGTCATTTGCGGCAACATGGATGTAGCTGGAGGGTATTACCTTTAGCGAACAAACACAGGAACAGAGAACCAAATACTGCATGTTCACAGTTGTAAGTGGGAACTAAATAAGAACTTAGGAACTCAAAGAGGAAAACAAAAGACATTGGGGTCCATTTAAAGTTAGAGGGTTGGAGGAGGGTGAGAAACAGAAAAGATAGCTATATGGTACTGGGCTTAATACCTGGGTGATGAAATCATATGTACAGTGAACCCCTGTGACATATGTTTACTATGTAACAAACCTTCACGTCTACCCCCAAACCTACTGTAAAAGTTTTAAAAAGTTAAACTTAAAAAACTCTTAGGAAAAAGCATATGCAAAAATCTTATAACATTAAATTTGCTGATTGTTTCTTGACTGTTACACCAAAAGCATAGGCCACAAAATGAAAAACAGATAAATTGGACTTGATTAAAATGTCAATCCTTTATATTTTTTTGATATGAAAAACACCCTGTTGTTCATGTTTTCTGATACCAAAAAAACTCACTTCTACTAAAATTTGGTACAAAAAGCATGAACAACAAAGTGAAAAGACAATCAGCAAATAGGAGAAAAGATTTGCAAATCACATATCTGACTAGGTACATAAGGTATAATATAATGAGCAGAATATATAAAGAACTTCTAAGACTCAACAACAAAACAAAACAACAACAGTATTTATAAAAAGGGAGAGGACTTGAATCTATATTGGGTCAATAAGCCTACAGAAAAATGCTCAGCATCACCAGTCATGAAGGACATGCACATCAAAACCACAATAAGGTACCACGTTACATCTATTAAGGTGGCTATATTAAAACCAAAACAACAAAAATGAAAAAGAACAGGTACTGGCTAGGATGTGGGTGAAGTGGAACCCTGGTGCATGGCTGGTGAGAATGGTTTATCAACTGTGACCAGTGGTTTATCAACTGTGACCAATAGTTTGGCAGTATATCAGAAAGTTCTATATAGAATTACCGTATGTTTCAGCAACAGGTGGAACACTTCCATATGTTTCAACTACAGGTGTATTCAAAATAATTACATGCAAGGACGTAATCTGCAACCTCTGCCTCTGGGACTTAAGTGATTCTCGTCCCTCAGTTTCCCGAATAGCTGGGAACTACAAGGATGCACCACCATGCCCAGCTAATTTTTAAATTTTTAGTAGAGACAGGGTTTTGCCATGTTGCCCAGACTGGTCTTGAACTCCTGAGCTTAAGTGATATGCCCATCTCTACCTCCCAGACTTTCGGGATTACAGGTGTGAGCCACCATGCTAACACCTCTGTTATTCAATTTAAGAACTGCATGCACAGATGTGTTTGGGTTTTTCAATTTTATTCACTTATGGACTGATACTTTCACACCTATTTTTATAGCCACATCATTTACAGTATAAAAGGTAAAAACAAATCCAGATATCTTCTAAGAGATAAACACATAAAGAAAATGTGGTATAGATACACAACAGAATATTATTTAGCCTAAACATGAATGCAATCCTGCTGGGCATGGTGGCTTATGCTTATTATCTCAGGACTTTGGGAGGCAAAGATGAGAGGATGTCTTGAGCCTGGGAATTTCAGACCCGCCTGAGCAACATAGCAAAATTCCATCTCTACACGTAGTACAAAAATTTGCTGGCCTTGATGGTGTGTGCCTACAGTCCCAGACACAGGGGAAGTCCATGTGAATCAGAAGGATCACTTGAGCCTGGGGAGGTTGAAGCAGCAGTGAGTCACGATTGCATTGCTGTGCACTCCAGTTTGGGTGAAGAAAGAGACTCCATCTCAAAAAAAAAAAAAAAAATGCAATGCTGATACACGCTACAACATGGATGAAACTTGAAGACATTATACTATGTAAAACAAGCCAAATACAACAGGATAAATATTTAATGTCAAATTTTTTGTGTAGGGGAATGTCATATGAGGCTGGCCCATTCTGAGGAAGAGCAGACTGTTGGGATGTTAGAATACTGATGGCTCATGTTTACAAACCAGGTAATGGTTCGCAAAGCTGGAAGGCAAATTCTGCTGTGGTACCCATCCATCTCAATTGATTGTTCTGAGCCCTGGAGCTGTTATCTTGTGCTTTCCAAGGCTGAAGTTCTGTGCAGACATATTTCTATGCCTCATCTGGGGAGCAGAAAGTTGCATGGGGTATAAGGAGCAGCAGTGATGGCCAGAAATAGCTCTGAGTCTTCCAAGTCTGGCTGCCGGTTACTGTCTTTGCAGAGTTCCACACAGGAGATTGACACAGTGTTTTAATCGGGTCACACTCTGTTTCCTCTGGTGCAGGACAGAAGCTTGCTGTTGCCAACAAGGGCCAGCATTGAAATAAGGTGAGTGGAAGAACAGAGGGTTCTCTAAACCATACCAGAGATGGCTGAGAAAGGCCCCCTGTGCAGACACTGCCATGACAACCCAAAAGGGCTCTGTCCCATATATTAACACACATATAGATATTGATATAGAGGTAGATATTTGTTCTATTCCTTCTATTCCTCTGAATAAGTCTAATGCAAACTGTAACTAGCAAAAGACTGCGTAAATTACCAAAAACGTACTAACAAGAAAAGTCGAGAATCAGATGGCTTCACTGATGAATTGTTTTAAACATTAAAAGTTGTAAATCCAATTTTTCTCACTCTAACAATTGCAATTAGTCAATGCAATATACCAACTCAGTAGAATGAATTTTAGAAAAAAAAGATCATCTCAATTGATGAAGAAAAAATTTGAAACAATCCAAAACATTTTTATAAGAGCACCTGGTAAACTAGATATAGACTAAAACTTCCTCAACATAAAAAAAGGTACCTATAAAAAACTCAAAAGTACCATTATATGCAATGGTGAAAGACTAAAAACTTTCTCCTTAAGATCAGGAACAAGACAAGGATAGTTGCGTTCATCACTTCTGATCAAAATTGCAATACAAATCAGGTCAGAATAATTGAGCAATACAAGAAAAGAAACATTCCAAATGGAAAAGAAATAAGCTTATTTCTACATATAGATATTATAATTTTATGTATATAATTAAAATCCTAAGTAATAATAAAACTGTTAACACTAATAATCAAATTCTGCAAAGTTGTAGAATAGGAGGTCAATATATACACATTAATGGAATAGAATTAAGGGTCAGGAAATATATCCATACATGTAATTTTTTTTTTTTTTTTTTTTTTTGAGACGGAGTTTCACTCTTGTTGTCCAGACTGGAGTGCAATGGCGTGATATCAACTTATGGCAACCTCCACCTTCTGGGTTCAAGGATTATCCTGCCTCAGCCTCCCGAGTAGCTGGGATTACAGGCATGCACCACCATGCCCGGCTAATTTTATATTTTTAGTAGAGACAGGGTTTCACCATGTTGGTCAGGCTGGTCTGAATTCCCGACCTCAGGTGGTCTGGATGCCATGGCCTCCAAAATTGCTGGGATTACAGGCATGAGCCACCGTGCCCAGCCAACTCTAACCAATTCTTGAACTTGGCTTGCTTTCTTGTGTACCTTATAAAAGCCTTTCCTGCATGCTCCTTGGGTGGACTACAAATCACGGCTGGTTGCTTTCCATTTCACTAATCACTGTTTGCTCAAATAAACTGGTTAACGTTTTAATATGGATTCCCTTTATTTTTATTTTATTTTATTATTATTTTGAGATGGAGTCTCGCTCTGTTGCCCAGGCTGGAGTGCAGTGGCATGATCTCGGCTCACTGCAAGCTTCACCTCCCGGGTCATGACATTCTCCTGCCTCAGCCTCCCTAGTAGCTGGGAATACAGGCACACTGCCCGGGTAATTTTTTTTGTATTTTTAGTAGAGACGGGGTTTCACCGTGTTACCCAGCATGTTCTTGATCTCCTGACCTCTTGATCTGTCCACCTCATTGCCCCAAAGTGTTGGGATTATGGGTGTGAGCCTCTGCACCTGGCTGGACTCCCTTTAATTTTTAACAAGAGAGAATGGGGACCCCTCCAGCCGCAGCTCCTCCCACGCACACTCCAAGTCGGGTTTCTGCCCTTATGACCCACTCCTATCCCTGAACAATATGAAGAATACTCAGTGATTGGACTCCGGTGAAGACTCCAAGATGGCGATCGCCACCTTGGATACCCTGACTCAACATTTCTGGGTTCACCTTTCCTGTTCCCGCCACCCCGACGAATGTGCATGCCCACTAGGGCATGTCACACTCAGAAGTGCAAAACTCAACCGACCCCGCCCCTACTCCACCCACTCCTCACCCAGCATCCATAAAAGCGCGCTGCACCTTTGGCAAAGCATGACTTCCCTGGCCCTCCCACTGTGGGCCAGTGAACCTCACCCCAGAGCTCAATAAAGATTTTTGCCCTCTTTGTCTCGCCTCTCGGCCTTATTGATCCACGGTGTCCTTCCGTTGCCTTTCATTGGTGCCGAAACCCAGGAGGGGACAGCTCCTAAGCTCCCCCAGAGGCTCAGGGGGACTCCCCTCCTGGTCGGATCAGGCCTGTCCCTCAGTCAGGTCAGGCTTCTCCTACACGGCCATCCGTTCGTTTAGTCCGGTTACTTGCCGCCAGGTCACAGTTGCTGCAGCTACTCCAGTCCAATTTGGCTGACGCGAGGTGAGTACCTCTCCTTTTTCCTTTTGTCCCTTCGTCCCTGGCCGAGAGTCATGTGCATGACCAGGGAGAGTTTCCTTCCTCAAGGGAAGGCCAGTCCATCACCAGGTGACCCAAGTTTACTTCCCCAGGGGAAGTCCAAATCTGCACTGACGACTCTGAGACGTCTGTGTCTGAAGTAGCCGATCCGAGGCTCCAGGAACCACGTGGTCTGAGTGAACCCAGAAGGCCGCTTCTGCTGTCCCTCAGACCGCTGCCATAAAGGGAAGAGGATGGGGTCCACCCAGTCCAAAATCACGCAAAACACCCCCTTAGGGTGCCTCCTGCGCAACCTCCCAACTTTACAACTCGATCAAGATTTAAAACAAAAGCGACTAATTTTCTTCTGCACAGTTGCCTGGCCACAATACACCTTAGACAACCAATCTCGCTGGCCCCCTGAAGGCACACTCGACTTCAGTATCCTAAACGACCTCACCAATTTTGTCAGAGGTGAGGCAAACAGTCAAAAATCAAATTTGTTCAAAGGTTCTGGGACCTCTGCTCTCGTCGGACAGCTGCCGCCAAGTGTTTTCACTGGAGCAAGTCCATCTGGCTAGCCTTCCCCTTGAAGTCTGGCCAGCCTCTCTTGCCGTTAATCTTGTCTGTGGCCCCCATCTTAGTCTCTCCGCTGCCATCTCCTTCTGCACCGCCACCATCTTACTACCTGTTTCCTCACCTCCGCCATCTTACTTCCTTTTTTCTCTGCTGCCATTTTAGTTCTTCTGCCACCATTCAGCAGCCATTTTAATTCCCGTTCCCATTTGTTCTTTTAACCCTGCCCACCTAACTCCTTGGCTTCCGTCTTATCCCCATTCTTATTTCCACCTCCCCGTAGTGCCATACCAGTCCACTACATCTACTACTCCTAACACATTAGCTGTGGGCAGTGATATCCGCTAATCCTGGATGAGGCAGTGGAGGGCCCCCAAACCCCTATCCAGGACTTAGTAAAGCTGGCGTTCAAAGTTTTTAATTCCTGAGAGGAGGCGGCTGAGGGACAATGACAGGCAAGACTGAAATAAAAAGTTCAGCTCCAAACCCAAGCCCTGGCAGCTGCCCTGCAACCGGCATTCCCTAAGAGCCCCAGCAGGAGAGGTAGCGGTACAATCTCCCGGGCCCCGTCTGGCACCTGCTTCAAGTGCTGCAACTCAGGACACTGGGCCAGCTGGTGCCCTAGCCAACAGCAACCATCCTGCCTGCCTTGCAACTGTTTCAAGTGTGGCAATCGAGGTCATTGGGCAAAACAGTGCCCAAACCCCAAGCCACCAATGTGCCTGTGCCCTAACTGCCAACAAATGGGGCACTGGAGGTCAGACTGCCCCAGCCTCAGAGTGGCCGCTGTGTCTCCACATGGCGACCCCTCCCCCGATGGCGAAGGTGCCCTCCAGCTCCTCCAACTGGACGACGACTGAAGAGGCCCAGGCTCGGGAACCCCTCTCACCCTTGCCGAGCCCAGGGTAATGCTTCAGGTAGCGGGTAAGTCCATTTCCTTTTTGCTAGACACAAGGGCTACCTACTCTGTTTTGCCATCTTTTAGCAGGTCCAGCTGCCCCTCCTCAATCTCTGTTATAAGGATTGATGGCACTCCCTCCACCTACCGCCAGACGCCTTCACTGCCCTGCCGCCTAGACCACTATATAACTTTCTTGAACTCATAATCTACCATCCTTCCTTTTATTCCTTACTAAAGCAAATACATCGAGTTATCTTCTTACTTTAGTAAACACTTTCTCAGGTTAGATTAAAGCCTGCCCTACCACTCATAAAACAGCAGAGGTAGTAGCTTCAACCCTCATTGAACAGATAATCCTGCGATTTGGCCTGCTTTTATCTCCAAAATAGTCAAACAGGTGGCAACCACACTTGGTGTTAACTAGAAGCTACACATTCCGTACCATCCGCAGTCTTCTGGAACAGTGAACACACCAATGGCCTTGTGAAAGAACACCTAATCAAATTGGCTCTTGAGACACGCCAATCATGGATAATCTTACTTCCCTTTGCCCTCGCGCGGCTCCAGGCAGCACCCTGAAGCCCCACAGGCCTTAGCCCCTTTGAACTCCTATACGGGCGCCCCTTCCTCTTTCAAGAGCTCCCTGTGAATACCCCACCTTTTGGCACATACCTGCCCTGCCTCACCCTGTTAAGGGAGTTGCTAAGAGAACATGCCAACCACAGCCTTCCAAAGCCCGGACGACTCAGCCCAGACAGTCTGGCCTAATAACCCCAGGAGATCAGGTACTAGTAAAAGACCTCCAGGCAAGAGGTCTCTCCCAACAGTGGAAAGGCCCCTATACGGTAATTCTTACAACACCAGTGGCAGCTAAACTTATAGGCCTTCCCTCCTGGTACCATATTTCCCATCTTAAGAGGGCACCTACACAACATCAGGCCACTTGGACTGTCACCTCCCTCTCCCCAACCAAACTGAAACTCTCTAAATCAAATACTGCATGAATTCTCTGCATGACAGGCTCCAACAATTTATGCAGGTTCTTTTCGAGGAAAGCTGGTCATTCCCTAGTTTTGCTAACACCCTTCGCTGGCCTGAAAATCTGTTGTCCTATATAGACGAACTGGTGTGGCAAGGCTCCCTCCAGAACTTTCACCAACATGAAGTTCGCTTTGACAAGCCCCCTCTCAGACTCCCTCTCACTGGGTTTTTTTCCCTCACTGAGAATTGGAGTTCCGGACAGGCAGTCTCCTCTAGACTAGTAGCCACAGCAGCATGCCTGCCAGCAGGGTGCCAGGCACCCATAGCTTTCCTAGGTCTAAAATTATCTTCCCTAGGCCCAGCTAGAAAAAAACCCTGCACTTTGCTTCCTGTATGATCAAAGTAACTCCAAATACAATACCAGCTGGGCCAAAGAAAATGTAGGCTGTCCGTGGCACTGGTGCAATATCCATGAGGCATTAACTCGTACTGAAAAAGGATCTGACCCAATGTTCTATGTCAATACCTCCACTGGAGGATGGGATGGCTTTAACGGATTTAACCTCCAAATCTCTGACCCTTGGGACCCTGCTGGGCCTCCAGTGTAGATGGAGGACTATATGAGCACAGAACTTTTATGTATCCAGTAGCTAAGATCCGCATTGCCAGGACGCTTAAAACCACTGTCACATGTTTATCCGACTTAGCCTCCTCAATCCAGTCAGCCAAGAAAGAGCTTGCCACCCAGCTTCAACTGGCAGCTGACCAGGCCAAGTCCTCCCCCTTCTCATGGTTAACTTTAATCTCAGAAGGTGCACAATTGCTCTAATCCACAGGGGTACAAAACCTCTCCCACTGCTTCCTCTGTGCAGCCCTGAGAAGACCTCCCTTAGTAGCAGTTCCTCTCCCTACCCCCTTTAATTATACAAGAAATTCATCCACCCCTATACCACCGATCCCAAAAGGACAGGTCCCACTATTCTCAGCCCCTACAAGACACAAGTTCCCGTTCTGTTACTCTACTCCAAATGCCTCTTGGTGTAACCAGACCAGGATGCTTACCAGCACCCCAGCACCTCCCGGAGGCTACTTCTGATGTAACCCCATGCTAACTAAAGTTCTTAACTCAACTGGTAATCACACCTTGTGCTTATCCATCTCTCTCATCCCTAGCCTGACCCTATATAGTCAGGACGAACTTAGCCATCTGCTAGCCTGGACCGAGCCAAGGTCGTGAAATAAAAGCAAATGGGCTATTTTCCTACCCTTAGTACTAGGCATCTCCTTAGCCTCCTCCTTAGTGGCATCAGGGCTAGGAAAAGGAGCCCTCACCCACTCAATCCAAACATCTCAAGATCTGTCTACTCGCCTGCAGTTGGCCATTGAGGCATCAGCCGAGTCCCTGTCCTCCCTACAGTGACAGATCACTTCAGTAGCACAGGTCACGGCAAAGAACAGGTGGGCCTTAGACTTGCTTATGGCAGAAAAAGGAGGGACGTGTTTATTGTTACAGGAAGAATGCTGCTATTATCTCAATGAGTCAGGGGTAGTTGAGACCAATTTACAAACTTTAAAAAAAAAAAAGATCCAAGAGGAGTTAAAACACTCCTACGACCCTCTCTGCCCTGGTCTTTCTGGTAGTTTTCACCCGTGGTTCAACAGATGCTCCCTTTCTTTATCCCAATTATAATTCTCTGTATAATATGTGTTTTGCCCCAATTCTAGTACAGTTTCTCCACCAGCGGATACAAGAAATCACGAGGGTCGCTTTCAACCAGATATTACTTCACCCCTACATCCAACTGCCAACCTCTGATTTAGGCCCCCTCCCCAACGATGCCCCTTAACAGCAGGAAGTAGCCAGACGATTTTGTCATCCCTTTTCTATAACCAAAAAGAGGTTGGACTGATTGGACTCCAGTGAAGACTCCAAGATGGCGATCGCCACCTCGGATACTCTGACTCTGCATTTCCGGGTTCACCTTTCCTGTTCCCACCACCCCGACTAACGCGCATGCCCACTAGGGCATGTCACACTCAGAAGGGCAAAACTCAACCGACCCTGCCCCTTCCCCGCCCACTCCTCACCCAGCATCCATAAAAGCACACTGCACCTTTGGTACAGCATGACTTCCCTGGCCTTCCCCCTGCGGACCAGTGAACCTCGCCCGAGAGCTCAATAAAGAAGATTTTTGCCCTCTTTGTCTCGCCTCTCGGCCTTATTGATCCATGGTGCCCTTCCATTGCAGGGCTGTGGGAGCACAGCAGAACGCCACTCAGGGAGAGGACAGGACTGCACGAGGTGGGACGCAGGGATCCCCACTGCTGGCCCAGCCACCATCTTGTGGCCACAGGGGACTGACAGCCACGCTGCACAGGAGACTTGGAGCTGACCGTGGAGAGGCCAGTCCTGCCGGTTTTACAGGCTGCTCTCTTCTCTTGGGATGCCAAACCCCCATACTCTCCATTTCACAGCTTGCAGGATGTCCTGGTATCTTAGCTATGCGTTGGCAAGTACCTGCAGATTACAGGGCTATTAACAGAGACTGTGAGGAAGTCACCTGGAGCTCCCAACGTGGAGAAGGCGGAAGAGGAGAGATAGTTGCCAAGTTCCCAGCGCAAGGGAGAGAAAAAATTCCCGCCAAACACCAGAAGCCACGCCCTCCCTTCCTCTCCAACTGCTTGCCTGATTGGACGGTTCCCACGCCACTGCCAAGGATTAGATAAAGTTCCAGGGCCCACCCACTCCCGCCCCTACCCCCACTCCTGCCCCTACCCCCACTCCCCCTCAACCTTAGTGCCTTTCTGTTTTTTTTTTTTTTTTTTTTTTTTTTTTTTTAAATTAAGTTCTGGGATACATGTGCAAAACGTGCAGGTTTGTTCCATAGGTTTACATGTGCCATGGTGGTTTGCTGCACCTATCTCAAACTCCCGACCTCAGGTGATCCACCCCTCCACCTCCCAAAGTGCTGGGATTGCAGTCATGAGCCACCGTGCCCCTCTGCTGCACCTATCAACCCACCATCTCTGTTTTAAGCCACACACACTTTAGCTATTTCTCCTAATGCTCTCCCTCTTCTTGATGCCCATTCTCAGACAGGTCCGTGTGTGATGTTTCCCTCCTTGTGTCCATGTGTTTTCACTGTTCAACTTCCACTTATGAATGAGAACATGTGGTGTTGGATTTCCTGTTCCTGTGTTAGTTTGCTAAGGATGATGATTTCCAGTTTCATCCATGACCCTGCAAAGGACGGGAACTCATCTTTTTATGGCTACATAATATTCTGTGGTGTATATGTGCCTAATTTTCTTTCTCCAGGCTATCATTGATGGGCGTTTGGGTTGGTTCCAAGTCTTTGCTATTGTAAACAATGCTGCAATAAACATACGTGTGCATGTGTCTTTATAGTAGAACGATTTATAATGCTTTGGGTATATAACCAGTAATGGGATTGCTGGGTCAAATGATATTTCTGTTTCTAGATCCTTGAGGAATTGTCACACTGTCTTCTACAATGTTTGAACTAATTGACACTCCCACCAACAGTGTAAAAGTGTATCTATTTCTCCACAGCCTCACCAGCATCTGTTGGTTCCTGACTTTTTAATAATTGCCATTATAACTGGCATGAGATGGTATCTCATTGTGGTTTTGATTTGAATTTCTCTAACGACCAGTGAAAATGAGGTTTATGTTTTTTGGTCACATAAATTTTTTTTTTATTATTTATTTATTTATTGAGACAAAGTCTTGCTCTGTTACCCAAGCTGCAGTGCAGTGGCAGGGTCTCAGCTCACTGCAATATCTGCTTCCCAGCTTCAAGTGATTCTCCTGCCTCAACATCCTGATAAGCTGGGATTACAGGGGCCCACCCAAAGACCCAGCTAATTTTTTGTATTTCTAGTACAGACGAGGTTTCACCATGTTGGCCAGGCTGGTCTCATGATCCTCCTGCCTCAGCCTCCCAGAGTGCTGGGATTACAGGCCCGAAACACCTCACTCAGCCAAATGTCTTATTTTGAGAAGAGTCTGTTAATATCCCTTGCCACTTTCTCATGGTTTTCTTTTCTTTTTTTTTTCTTGGGAACTTATGTTCCTTCTAGATTCTGGATATTAGACCTTTGTCAGATGGATAGATTGCAAAAATTTTCTCCCATTCTGTAGGCTGCCTGTTCACTCTGATGACAGCTTCTTTTGCAGTGCAGAAGCTCTTTAGTTTAATTAGATCTCATTTGTCAATTTTTCTTTGTTGCAATTGCTTTCGGTGTTTTAGTGATGAAGTCTTTGTCCATGCCTATGTCCTGAATGGTATTGCCTAGGTTTTCTTCCAGGGTTTTTATGGTTTGGGTTTTTACATTTAAGACTTTAATCCAGCCAGGTGCAGTGGTTCACACCTGTAACCTGAGCACTGTAGGAGGCTGAGGCAAGCAAATCACAAGGTCTGGAGTTTGAGACCAGCCTGGCCAACATGGTGAAACTCCGTTTCTACTAAAAATACAAAAAATTATCTGGATGTAGTGGTGGGCACCTGTAATCTCAGCTGCTTAGGAGGCTGAGGCAAGAGAATTGCTAGAGAGGTATTTCCCTTTCTATTTGAAAATGGAGTTTCAGTGAGCCGAGATCAATCCACTGGACTCCAGCCTGGACAACAAAGTGGGACTCCATCTCAAAAAATAACCCGTGAAACAAAAATCTTTAATCCATCTTGAGTTAATGTTTGTATAAGATGTAAGGAAGGGATCCAGTTTCTGTTTTCTGCAAATGGCCAGCCAGGTTTTTCAGCACGATTTGTTAAATAGGGATTTTTTTTTCCCCTTTGCTTGTTTTGGTAAGGTTTATTAAAGATCAGATGCTTGTAGATGTGTGGTGTTATTTCTGAGATGTCTGTTCTGTTCCATTGGTCTGTATATCTGTTTTGTACCAGTAGTTGTTGTTTTGTATAGTTGTTTTGGCTGCTATAGCTTTGTAATATAGTTTGAAGTTGGGTAGCATGATGACTCAAGCTTTGCCATTTTTGCTTAGGATTGTCTTGGGTGAACAGGCAAACAGGCTCAAATAGTTGGAGTCACATGCCCAGAGTATCACAGCTAATTAAGAAGTGAGCTGAGACTTGAAATGCACTTGTTCTTTCCCTTTCCTGAGTCTGTTGTATAATGCATCTTAGCAGCTATTTAAAGGTAGGAAGTAGAACATTTGGAAACCTTTTTCACAACTTTTTAAGCATTTTGATAAGCAGGAAAGACCCTTGTCCCATCCCTGAGCCCCTCTCTCACAACACTGCACCCCACTGCTGACCACATCGTGAGGTGGCCATTAGGAATCAGGCAGGAAGCCAGGGCTGGGAATAAATAAGCAGGAATTATATTGCCCAAATTTGCTCATCTAAGAAAGGCTCCTCAACCATACTGTGTGAGGAGGTTATTCCAGGGTAGTTGTGCCCTGACTGTGCTGCATCTCAGGCTGACTTCTGTTTTTGAAAATCACTGTATTACTCTTATTAACGGGGGTAATTCTCTTTCTATTTGAAAATGACCGACTGTCCTCTGCAGGTGTCCTGATTTGATTTGCTAGTTTAGATTCTGAAGGTAGTGGTGAGAAAATATTCGGGCCACATTTAGAATATCTCATTCTCAGCTGGAGGACATATAGAAATTTCTTAATATCTAACCGTTTTCTCAATAACCATTATATTTAACTGTGATAGCTTGGAGGGCAGGGCTGGACACAGATGACACAATCTTCAAAGTTTAATTTGGTTGTATTTTTTTGTTTCATTTTGTTTGGATTTTGGATACTAGGTCTTGCTCTGGTGCCCAGGCTGGAGAGTGGTGGTGCACTCATAACTCATAATTTGATTGTAATGGTTCTTTAAATAACATATTTTTGGCTGAGTTTGGTAGCTCACACCTGCAATCTAAACACTTTGGGAGGCCAAGGTGGGATGATTGCTTGATCCCGGAAGTTCAAGACCAGTCTGGGCAACATAAGTTGTCTCAGTCTCTAGAAAAAGATTTACAAATTAACTGGGTGTAGCGTTGCTTGCCTGTAGTCCTAGCTACTTGAGAGGCTGAGATGGAAGCATCCCTTGAGCCTAAGAGCTTGAGGCTGCAGTGTCCCATGATTCAGCCACTGCACTGCAGCTTGGGTGACAGAGTGAGACCTGTATGTGTATGTATGTGTGTGTGTATGTGTGTATATATGTGTGTGTATGTGTGTATATATGTGTGTGTATATATGGGTGTGTGTGTATATATATACACCAGTATGTATGTTAAAAAATTCAAGCATGGGAGGTAAGTGAAAGCCCATGGTGGGGGATGTGGAGATAGGCGGGTATGGCTCCAGCAACTCAGTGAGACTTGGTTTTCCATCTTGAAGAATTGCCCATCCACACTGAAACCATACCCTAGCACAAACCAGTTCTCACACTACACCTGCTGGGATACGACTGTGTACTCTTTTTTTAAAAATAAAATCTTTCACCTAAGAGAAGGAGAGGAGAAAATGAGGGTTTCACATTCAAAGACTTCATTTTCTTTTTTTTTCTTTATGAAACAACAGCCGCTTGTCATTTGAGTTGTCCAAAGGTGACTGACAGCACTAATACACTTAAGGAATCAACCAAAGAAAATAGGCCTCTCAGGTGAGGAGGAGGCACAATGGTAACTAAACCCAATCCATTCTCAGCTTTGCATGGTGAAGGCATCTCAAGAAGTGGTGTTAGCCATGTGAGCCGTGTTCACTGGACAAGGCCAAGGGAAAGGAATTTCTAAGACATAGAGCACTCTCTAAACACTTCAAAAGACATTCAGCTATACACATGGCTGATGACCTGCCTGCTCTGCAGAGGGATTGCTGAGCATCAGCCACCAGCTGTAAAAGCTGTAAACTCTTCCTCTCATAGGGACAGGCCACCCCCACACACCTCCCCCACCGCGAGCCCATAGGCTCCGGTAGTAAGGTTCACCTGGGGGACTGCCTTCCTCCCATCTCATTAGCTCTCCAAGAGTGTCCAGATGACTCTAAAACCTAGCCCCACAGCCTGGCACCTCTCCCCCACCTAGCCTTCACACTGGCCTTTTCTCTTCTGTCACCAGTGTCAGGTGATGTTCACCAGAGCTACAGTCATGAGTCTGGTAAACGACAGGTGAGTAAACTCCACCTGAGTGCCTGTTAGTCCACCCTCTTATC
The DNA here is from genome assembly GCF_000001405.40 of Homo sapiens. Classification (NCBI taxonomy): domain Eukaryota; kingdom Metazoa; phylum Chordata; class Mammalia; order Primates; family Hominidae; genus Homo; species Homo sapiens. The sequence continues at coordinate 17,619,932 of NC_000024.10, forward strand.
ACCCACACAAATGACATTATAAGCATAATTTTACCTTTGATCTAATTTATACATATTCTTCTTTTCATAAGATTACTGACAACAGCCCTCACAACCAAATGAGTCTGGGTTACAGAACACACGGGCGAGGCTGGTGTGGCAGGTTTCACTTACTTTATTCCAATGTGAAATGAAAATGTGATGGTTTAGAGACAAGAAAAAGTTATTTATCAAGTGTGGAGTTGCTGCACTTGCCAGTTCACCCTCACTTCCTTTGAAACAAGGTATCTGAACAGGCCATATTCAAAAGTAGCTCTTTGCAAAACCCCAGACAGAAGCCCCAGTCAGACACAGCTTCCTCAGGCTCAGAGGGCGGCAGCCTCCTCCTCCATGTTGGGCTCTGCCAACAGGAAAGGGAAAGAGCACAGACAGGACTGACAGGGAGTAGCCCAGGGTCTTAGGGATCCCCAAACTTGCCAAACCTGGTCTCTGCAGACGGGGCTGTGTGGCAAGGATCAGGAAGGGAGCTGGGCTCCACACAGAGGTGACAACCACTCCTGTATCTCTAAATTTCCACCAGGATCCATGATCCAGCCCTGCTTTCCCCCAGGCCCTTCACCTCCCCCCCGCCCCCCCACACACTGTGCGTTAGGCAGCTCAGGTCAAAATGGCAGAAGAATACATTCAGATTGTAGCTTTCAGGTATTCCCATCTGGCATGCAAGGAGTAGGGAGGCAAGTCAGGGCCTGTGGTGGTGCCTCTTGCTATGTCTGAGGGCAGGCGGGCCAGAGTTGGGCACATGGATGTCTACATGACCACCATTGCTGACTCCCTGCCCATCACTCAGAGCTGCAACCAGCCCAGGCCTATCACGATTAACAAAACCACTGCAGCTCTCATCATGTCACAAAACTAATGTGCACCCAGTGCCAGCCCTACACAGATCTCTGGCTTCCTATTCCAGGACACAGAAAAGCCTCCTATCTTTGCTATTTAAAATCCAGATTTTAAGCCATATTGAGCCTGGGGATAGTGGCAGCAAAAGCAGCAGCCAGATGTATACACTCCAGGTGTATATACTCATGGCTTGGGCACGTTCCACAGTTGTTGGAGGATGAGGCCTGAGAGGCACCTGTTTCTCAGCTGCTAACTGATGTCCACACACTCCATTCATGTGTCTTCATGTAGGCCTCTGCATCAAATATTCATTGAGCCATTGCAAACATATCTTTTTGGAGGCATCGTTAATTGCAGCACCAGCCCCCACTTGTTCTAGAGGCAGTCAGGAGCAATCTGGTCAGCTCCTAATCCCCTAGGACAAAGGTGCTGTCCTCTTGCCAGTGGTCACATCCAGCAGCACCATCTCAGGATGTTTTTTTCAAACACAAGCAGTGTGAGGTAGCAGGCATGGCATGACAGGCTCAGGACCATGGGCAGCTGACTGCTGGAGAAGAAGCACAGTGCAGATGCATCTGTGGGTGGTGCCATAACAAGCCAATGCAGCCACAGCCCCTGCCCCCCCCACAACCCCAGCCCAGATGGCATTCAATTCTTCCCAGATGGTATTGGGGTGCCCGATGCCTATCACTCGCCCACTAATTAGCACTGCCTTGTGTTGGTTACTCAGGAGAGGGGGTGGGGGGTGTAGATCCAGGTGGGCACCACCTCACAGCCAGAGTCCACCTGACTGCCGACCAGCAAGCAAGCCCAGGTAGCTCTGCTCTACACACTTGGCCTCATCACCTCTGGCTGCACTTTCTGTGTATACTTTGCACAAAGGTAGCAAAAAGAGGTCAACAGTAGCTGTTTTGACATGAAAGTCTATGCCCCCTTAAGATCTTCTAAAATATTGTTGTCTTAAGCCCTCTTTCTTCTAATACAATTTTTACCAATACACAAATACGAGACAGAAACTACTATAAATGAAATATTAGGATATTTAAAACTGATAAATAAACAGACAAACATGAAAACAGTCACTGTTTGGTTGCAGAGCACACCCTCAGGAAGCAATTATCAGATGAGCAGACAGGCCCCAGATCCCCCACCCAACGATGCTCTATCTCACTTTGCAGAGCTTCTGCGTTGGCCAGTCCTCAATGCTTTCTGGTGAGATGTCCAAGGTGAAGTGAATGTTGAAGGCTGTACAGCTGATGGAGCTGACTGCCTTGCACATGTTGTAAATCACCCCCTGGATCCAAGGGTCAGCTGTGGTGAAACCTCTTGATGGGAGGTAGTGCCAAGCCACCATCAGTGTGCCTGGGCTGCCCTGATCTATACACCCCAGCTCCTTGCTGGGATGTCTGCCTGCTTCTCTCAGGGGATGGGTCATGAGCCACCTCTGGCAAGGACCAGCTGGCTGGACAGGCTGGGTCCTCTCCCCCAACATCCTCAGCAGCCTTGCCTAAGCTGTCACCTGTGCCGATGATCTCCAAGGTAAGATTAGGGGAAATTTCTTAAGACAACTCTTTCCCCCTAATTTCTCTATCTTAATAACAGCAATGATAACTTTTAAGCCCTAGCAAGCTGAACCTGCAAGACAAATGAGCTCCTGCCTTAGAAGGGCCAAAGTTGGGCAGTGTGTGCCCAGGTGAGAGACCATTGGTTGTTACTGAAGGTGGGGAGCTGGCTGGCCCTGGACACTAAGCCTAGTGAAAAGTAGGGTCTTCTTCCAGAGAATCAAATTCTCGAAGGCCAGAAAAAGATGCTTGGGTCGTTTGCCAAGAAGCAGAAGGCTAGAAGGCCTTGCAGGGAACCCCAGGCAGCCTTCAGGGTGACTGAGAGGGCTGGGCTCATTCCTGCTTTCCTTGCTTTCATTCTGTCAGCAAGAAAACCTGCCTGCAGATGGTAGGTGGGCCTGAGGCTGCCACTCAGTCACTAGGGGCTGTAGGCACTTTCACTGTGGTTCTTTCTTGAAGCAGCCACTCAGGCCGTTCTTGCAGAGCAGTTCCCTCATTGTCTGCAGCTCCTTGTTTCAGTCCTGGGACCATAGAGGGACCAGGGAGGGAGGCAAGGGCTCAGCCTGTGCCCCACAACTTGCTCTGAGAAGTCTACCTTTTCTTTCTTTCTTTTTTTTTCCAGACGGAGGAGAAGTCTCTTTTGTTACCTCCCTATGGACAGCCTCAAACTTCCAAATGAACAGATCCAGCATGGAGCCTCCAGGAAAGTGCACAGAATTCTGTCTAGTACCCAGAGGAAGGGGGTTCCCACTGAGGGCAGGATGAGTCTGCCTGCCCCTGTTCAGGAAGGTTCTCCTCATAGTTCAGCCTCAAGGTGCGGGCATTCTCTGTGTGCACACAGTCCATGGCACAAACAGGAGAGAGGGAGATACAGAGCTGACCGAGCCAAGAACCTGGACATAGGCTTCTTCTCTGAGACTTCCATCTGCTCTAGGATCTTCTTGCCCTGAGAAGCTGCCCTGAGGTCAGATAGAAGCAAATGGCCACCACTTCCAGAGGTGCCCCCTGTCACACTGACAGCTCCCTAGAGGGGACTCAAGCAGTGGGGACAGATTGTTTGGGCGGAAACTCTGGAGTTTGGCCTGGCTGGTTCATCCAATAAGCCCCTGTAACATGACACAAGTCGGGGGAGATGAAACAGTGACTTTTATTTTATTTTACTATTTTATTTTATTTTATTTTATTTTATTATTTTATTTTATTTTTTGAGAAGAAGTCTCACTCTGTCACCCAGACTGGAGTGAATCAATGTGATCTCAGCTCACTGCAACCTTCACCTCCCGGGTTCAAGGAATTCTCCTGCCTCAGTCTCTGAGCAGCTGTGTCTACAGGGCATGCATCACCATGCCCAGCCATTTTTTGCATTTTTAGTAGAGATGGAGTTTCACCATATTGGCCAGGCTGGTCTCAAACTCCTGACCTCATGATCTGCCCTCCTTGGCCTTCCAAAGTGTTGGGATTACAGGCACGAGCCACCATGCCCGGCAGCCTTACCTTTTCTTTCATGGCATGACAAAGTGTTTTGTGAAGTTCAGGCTGTGGTACTTGAGCAGCTCCAGTGGCGAATGGCTTAGGAAGCAAAGGCTGGTGAGCTTGGGGTTGAGCAATAGGCTGTAGGCCTACAAGGAGGAAGTGGGCACTGAGCAAGTGTCCTGGTTGTCTGTCCACAGGCCCAGAACAAGTGACATACCAGGAGCCTGTGGGGAGCTGGCAGGGACTTACTGGATCCAGTAAAAGTCCCATGTGGATGCAGTGATGGGGCCCTTCGGGTCCTTGTCTGTAATTACAAAGAGGTACATGAGGTCCCCTTGCATCTTGCAGTTTCTAGGAAGTGGGTTCCAGCTGCTCATGCTGGGCACTTTTAGGCACTAAAGCCCTTCAGGAATGGTCAAGTAGAAATAAGCTCTTCACTTCACCAAGGACCCTCTTCTTTGCCCCCTTTGGGAGTTCCACCTTCCAGTCATGGCTCTGGAGACACAATGGTCCCTCTTGGGACCCTGGCAAGATGTACTCAGGTGGCAAACAGTCAATGAGGCTCATCTCCAAGCCATTCTTTCACTCCTACTGTTTGAGGAACTCGAGGCTGGTGGTCAGCACAGGGCAACCCAAGGCCAGCTGTCTCCACCTAAATTTGACCCTGGTTTGAGTGCCGCTAGGCCAGACCCCTCCAGGTGAGAAAACCTGGTCCTCAGCCTCTGGCTTCCATGCTCCCCTTCCCTCTTTTCAATCCTGGCCCCAATGTCTCCTCCACCTCTCAGGTCATTGGAGAATATGCTCGGGAAGAACAAGCAGCTTTAGTCAGCCCTGCTGAAGGCAGCAGATGGGTTCAGGCTCTTAAGCTGCTCTAGGACGTGGTTCATGTGGAAGCAGGCCTTGAGTAGTGTGTGTAGCTCTTTCAGGGAGAAGGAGTAGGATGTTACCAGGGCCTTGTATCCTAAAACATCGCATCTAGCACAGAAAATAGTTTGCAAGATGCTTTCATGGGTGATTTTAATTTTCAACTTTAGGCTTCCATTTTCAAATTCCATAATGAACACATAAGGTGGGGTTCTAATTTCAACACACACACACTCACACAAACACACACTCCTGTCTGCTAGTAGGCAGGGATCATTTCTTACAAAGAATCTCCTGCCAAATGCCTCTGAAGCACACGTGGGTCTTGAGCCGACAGGGCTAACTGCTTTTTCTGCACTAGTGTCTTGGGTTGAAGGAGCGTTTAGAGCTGCCTTTTTGGGCAGCCCTCATGAAGGGGTGTGCTGAGGACTCCCCAGGACCTCCTACTTCAGACGGTCTTCCAGTGTGTGTTTCACTGAAGTTTAATGGTGACGGTTTGGGGAAAGAGGAAAGTTCCTGTGATCAACTATGGGCACCATTGAGCTACAATTCTTTTCCACAATTGCTCTTAGCAAGCAGGTAGACCCTGGGAACATAAGTGGCTTTTCCCCAGAGAACATGAATACATGAGAGATTTTGCTTTACAACCAGGTGAATCTCACCACAGCAGTTGGTGCTGCACTGGACAGATTTCCCCACTCAAATACTGTGAAGCTTTTTAAGTTTTTTTTTTTCTAAGACATCATTTATTTTTATAGAATTTGATTGGGCTGATATCAAGCCTGGCTTTGTACTGCCTGAATTTTTTAGAATTACAACTCTGTTCTTACATTCACATGCTTATCTGTGACACAAAGACCTCTGAGGACTGGGGAAGTGCTGCCTGGCCCTTCTTTTTTGGGGCCCTCCCCAAGGCAGTCTACCCAACTTCCAAACCAGCCTTCCCTCATACACAGCCCTGAGCCCTCCTGCAGCTCCTCACTGTTTTGCCGCCCTGGGAAGTGGTTTGGCATGTTGCTAACCAGGTGCAGTGAGAAGGAGGTGCAGTGACACATTTCTTCATGGACCATCAGCACCGGCTAAATCTCCTGCAACATCTCCTTAAGGGACAACTGCAGGGAGAAGGCCCCAACAACTCTGATGAGAAACCACATGGATGGAAGCAAGGTCTTACTGTTTCCCCAGCCCAAAGTCCTGAGAATCATGCCCAAAATTCTCAGATTTCCACTTTTTGCATATTTAATTATTTTTAGAATCCCAGGCCCCCTCTATACATGCCACACCTACCTACACCTGACTGTGTGTGCAGAACAGAGTCTGGCCACACTGACTATTCCTGAAGACCAAGAAAAATCCCTATGCAGAGTAGGGGGAGATGGAACAACCAAGGTAGACAAAATGGCAGCTTTGCCTCATCCCTTGCCCAGTGCTAAGGTCCCCAGGGCAAACAGCTTTTGCCTTCAACTTCAAGTTAACAGCATACAAAATATATACATTTTTACTTCCCCCACTCTATTATTAATGTTACAAATTATATCTCTATATATTGTATGCATTTTCACAGAGATTTAAGAATTGTATGCACCATTATTATAACAATAGCAAATTTTGTATCTGTGTATATATTTATATTAACAGAGAGCTTTACATTTTCATATCATTTTATGATGCTGTCCAGCATCATTTAATGTTTCAACATAATTGACTGTCTTTTGCATTTTTTTCTAGGGTTATTCTAGTAGTAAGCAACCTTAGTTTTTTTATTTTAAACTTTGAAAGGCTTTATTTTTTTCTAATTTTTGAAGTACAGTTTTTTCCAGGTCCATTATTCTTGGTTGTTAGGATTTTTTGTTTCATTGCTGATATGTGTAAGGTTTCAGCATGCCCTCTTTTTCTCCCAGATAACATTTATGTCATTTTCTTCCCATATTCTTTTCATAAGACTCTTTCTCTGAATATATTGGTCTACTTGATAGTGTCCAGTAAGTCTCATATTTAACCCTTATTTCTTCCATTTTTTTCAAAAGTTAGTTTCCAGGCCTAAATATTTGTGAATAATATATATTTAATTTCCTGATTCTTTTTTTGCTCCAATGTTTGCTGTTGTGTCTCTGCAGTGAATTTGCAAATGCCAGTTATTGGATCCTTCAATGCCACAATTTCTGTTGGGTTTTTAGAAAAAAGGTTTCATCTCTTTGTTGATATCACATTTCGGTCATTTATTATTTTTAAATGTTATTCAATTTTCTATTTTTGTTTCATTTTTGTTCACTGAGAATGCTTAATTATTTTTAATTCTTTATCAGATATGCAAAAATCTTCATTTCTTAAGAGTCAACTTCTGGATATTTATTCTGTTTCTTCCAGTGAAGTATATTTTCCACCTTCTCCGTATGCCTTGTAATTTTTTTTATAAGATCTGGAAAATTACAAAATATCCATCAAATCTAGTATTTAAAGCCTGGCACGGCTGGGCACGGTAGCTCATGCCTGTAATCCCAGCACTTTGGGCAGCTGAGATGGGCAGATTACTGGAGGCCAGGAGTTTGAGACCAGCCTGGCTAACATAGCAAAGCCCGTCTCTACTGAAAATACAAAAAAATTAGCTGGGCGTTGTGGTGCACCTCTCGTCCCAGCCACTCAGGAGACTGAGACAATAGAATCACTTGAACCCGCGAGATGGAGGTTGCAGTGAGCTGAGATCACTCCACTGCACTCCAGCCTGGGCGACAAAGCAAAACTCTTTCTCAAGAAAACAACAACAACAACAACAACAACAACAACAACAACAACAAACTGGCTTAGTAAAGGGTGATATTGACAGCAATCAGCCAGGCTATAGATTCTGGGTGCTTCACAGATGCATTCTCAGATATGTCTTCTCTGGATCTTTGTGTATTTCTCAGTTAAAGAGAATTTGTTTCATTGTTTTTAGATTGATTAGCTATTTTCTTCCCCAGTTGACTGTCTGTGGTATTGCAGTTTCTCTAGTGCTGCAATTTTCTTTCTTGTCATCAGACACAACTGTCATCTGTATGAGTCCATCATGTCCTTCAGCACTCCATGTCAGGAAAGACAGAATCTAGTCATTAGGCAATATCTCAAAAAGACAAACATTTCAACACATAACTCTACAGCGTTAATTCTCTCCTGAGGAAGATGCTGAAAGTTGGGCATTTTCCGGTGAGCCCACTTACTATTGCGGGGAAGGGGAAAAAAAAAAAAAAAACTCTGGTGGAGAGTCTGTAGCAAAGAAAAAATTCCTGCAGTGTGAAAAGAGAGGAGGCAACAGCCATACACAAAGCAAGGTGAAAATAAATGAGCAGGTAACACATGGGAGAGGTCCAAAGGTCACAGAGAAAGACAGAGTTTAAATAGGGTTTGGTCATCTCTGTTGCAATGGAAATTGTTTTAGAAAAGCCTAATTTTATTTTTCTTGCTGTCACAGAGAAACATGTTCCTGTCCCATGCTTACTATGCTCTTCAATCTTCTATGGCTTCTTTTCTCCCTCCCAGAATCTTCCAGTGCATTCATACTGAAAACCAAAGTCCTCCCAGAATCTGTAAGAACCTACATGATCTGATTAGTGTTCATTAATTTTGGGAATCTGGGGAAATCTGTGCACATTTCTGGAGACCTCTACGTTATGCAATTTTTTAATAAATATGTGGTGCATCAAGTCAAAAGTGTGTGAAGGGAGTTGTGAAGGCATTGGGAGGCATTGGGAATTGGTTTAGAAATTCCAAGAACAGTAGTGTAAAGGTCATGTGAGCAAGGTGCTTGGAGCTGTTGCGGCAAGCCATCATTGCTTGTGAACATCCTGCTCACCGGTACGCCAGGGGTTGGAAAACCACACTTGGCAAAGAACTTGCATCGATATCAGGACTGAAATACATTGATGTGGGTGATTTACCTTGAGAAGAGCAATTGTGTGATGGCTATGATGAAGAGTATGATTGTCCCATTTTAGATGAAGACAGAGTACTTGATGAGTTAGATAACCAAACGAGAGAAAGTGGAGTTATTGTTGAATACCGCGGTTGTGATTTCTTCCCTAAAGGCTGGTTTCATACAGTTTTTTTTGCTGACGACAGATACCAACGTATTGTATGAAAGACTTGAAACAAGGAGCTATAATGAGAAGACTCTAACGACAATATTCAGTGTGAGATTATTCAAGTTCTTTATGAAGAAGCCACAACATCCCACAAGGAAGAAATTGTACATCAGTTGCCCAACAATATACCAGAAGAGCTAGAAAATAATGTAGATCAGATTGGCTGGGTGCAGTGACTCACGCCTGTAATCCCAGTAGTTTGGGAGGCCGAGGTGGGTGGATCACGAGGTCAAGAGATCAAGACTATCCTGGCTAACACGGTGTAACCCCATCTCTAGTAAAAATACCAAAAAAAAAAAAAAAAAAAAAAAATTAGCCGGGGCATGGTGGTGGGTGCCTGCAGTCCTAGCTTCTCAGGAGGCTGAGGCAGAAGAATGGTGTGAACCTGGGATGTGTAGCTTGCAGTGAGCTGAGATCACACCACTGCACTCCGGTCTGGGTGACAGAGCAAGACTCCGTCTCAAAATAAATAAATAAATAAATACATAAATACATAAATAAATATAAATAAAAAGGAAAATAATCTAGATCAGATCTAGAAATGGATTGAACAGTGGATCAAATATCATAACTCTTGACTTATAAGGCCAGCTACTTTACAATCACTCTTGTTGATATTACTTTGCCGACATCATAGAAATTCTTCAAGGATCAGTAACACTTTATTGAAATCATGTTGCAGGACTAGCAGGTGGATAGTATAGAGGTGTATGCCTGTGTTTCTTTTTCTCCATGAGAAACCTAAACATCTGAAATATAATGAATATAGTATTACTAAGGATTGAGACAAAAACTGTAAGTTTAACACAAATTGCTAAGAAATAAATAATCTGACAAAATGGGTGGATATGTTTTAAGTTTATTACAGGAAAAAAGCAGATGATCTCTTAAAATAAAACTAAAGACTAAAGAGAAAGCATCACAGTATTCCTTTTTTCTTTCTTCAAATTAGAGAATAAGGGAAGTGTTGTACTCTATACAAAATTTAAAAGGTACAAAAGAGCATGTTGAAAAGTTAGGTCTCCCTTCCAGACCACAATATCCACAGTTGCTCTAGGATCCTTCACTTCAGGAAATAATGTTACTGGTTTCCCATATGTCTTTTGAGAGGCTTTATGCCTGGACAGTGTATACATATGTGTGTACAATTTTTTTAAGAATATAGTAGTATATTGCACACACTATTCTGTACCTCTCTTTTTTTACTTAATATATTTGGAGATTATATCATATCAGTACAGAACTCCCTGTTCTTTTTTTTTAGCCAAGATATACGTATCATACAATAAAATATACAATTTTGAAGTGTATAATCAGAACTAGATATGGTGGCTTGGGCCTGTAATCCCAGCAGCTGGGGAGGCTGAGGTGGAGAATTGCTTGAGGCTGGAGTTCAAGAACAGCCTAGACAACATAGTGAGACCTTCAAATCTAAAAACAAACATAAATGAAATATACAATCCATTTGTTTTTAGCTTATTAACAAGGTTATGACTGTCACCACTGTGGGGGAAGCAGGGATGATAAAGGGAAATCCTATACCCTTTATCAGTCACTCTCTATTCTTTCCTCCTCATCCCTTTGCAGTTACCAGTCTGCTTTCTGTCTCTATGGATTTGCATATTCTGGATATTTCATATAAATGGGATTATACAATAAAAAAAAGAAATTCCAGGAACACCAGAGAGAGAAGACACATGTTTTCTGCTTTATAATTTCATATCCTATGAAGGTTTAAAACATAATTCCACAAAAAATTTGATGGAAAATCTTTATGTGCAAAAGTATCTTGTTAAATATAAAAAAAAGTTTTATGGAGAATTATTTTTTCTTATCAAGACCTAATCTTAAAAATTTAAACTCTATATGCCAACAGTGTCTATTGTAGGGTGGTTTATTGTATGTACTCATTTTATGGATTCCTTACAAAAACTTTTCCCATAGGGGAAATTAGAACATTGCTGTACATACATTGAATTTCCAATTATTACCTTATTTCTCACTTATTATTTTGTGATTCTGTCTTCTTTAACAACAAGAATATCATGACAGCGTTTTCACTTTCTGAATTGTCATATGTCTGTAATTTGTCTGTAATCTTAGTTTCAGAAGTTCTACAATAGTATGTTCAAGGCCTGGCATGGTGGCTCACACATGTAATCCCAGCACTTTGGGAGGCAGAGGTGGGCAGATCACGAGGCCAGGAGTTTGAGACCAGCCTGGCCAACATAATGAAACTCCAACTCTACTAAAAGTACAACAATTGGCCAGGTGTGGTGGCATGCACCTGTAATCATAGTTACTCGGGAGGCTGAGGAAAGAGAACCACTTGAAACTGGGAGACAGAGTTTCAAGTGGTTGCAGTGAGCCAAGATCCTTCCACTGCACAACAGCCTGGGCAGCAGAGTGAGACTCCACCTCAAAAAATAAATACATAAATAAAATAATACAACATTCTCAAATGTATATGTTATATATAAATTATATAATTTATTAAAATATTTGTCTTGTATGTTTCATTGACTTTAGGAACAATGTGATTAGTAGCATTTTCTTCCAGTTTCCTCAATTTTTACCTGAATTGTAGCACAACTTATTCCCAGTATTACTTTATATATCAATTTTTATACTGTATTTAAAATATATATAGTTATTGTATTTAGAAATGTAAGACTTTTCTTCTAAAGGCTAGATTACAGCCTCACCACTTTGTAAGACAAGCAGCAATGGGCCGGGCATGGTGGCTAATGCCTGTAATCCCAGCACTTTGGGAGGCCAAGCCGGGCGGATCATCTGAGGTCAGAAGTTTGAGACAAGCAGCCTGACCAACATGGAGAAACCCCGTCTCTACTAAAAATACAAAATTAGCTGAGCGTGTTGGCACATGCCTCTAATTCCAGCTACTCAGGAGGCTGAGGCAGGAGAATAGCTTGAACCTGGGAGGCGGAGGTTGTGGTGAGCTGAGATCATGTCATTGCCCTCCAGCCTGGGAAACAAGAGTAAAACTCCGTCTCAAAAAAAAAAAAATAAATAAAAAATAAAAAATAAAGGAAAAACAAAGCAGCAATATATCAATGTATCAGTAGCATAATTTAGAAGTTTCTCTAGTATTACTTAAATGCTTATTTTTTAAAACTTTCTCATCAAAGCTTTATGAATAATTATAATATGTTTTCTTTGAAATGTTGTTGCCTTAACTGTATCAAACAATTAAAAATTCATGCTTTTCATGGATGCACAGTTAGAGTTGAAAATTGTAGTTATCTAGATTTTTTCTCTGTTTATTGAGGATTTTATGGGTTAAAGTTGCTCTTCATTAAGTTTTGTATTTTATATTTCTGTATTTTTCAGAGTAGGCTGCCTCACATCAATTGTGTTTCTAGCTTCTACCTATTTATTATGGTTTTGAATTGCAGCATTCAAATCAGAATTTTGGGGGTTAATGTTAATTTTAACTTTGTTTGCAATTTTGTGTCTGTTTGTTTCATTTTTTAGGGTAGGCCACCTTACATCAGTTTACTGTTTTTAGTTTTAATTTATATATTATAATTTTGTATGACAATTGTCAACTCTGTACATCTTAATACAGTGTGAGGCAAAAGTCAACTATGAATCAGCCCTACTTCCTTTTTCAATATAATTATCTAAGTGTTTGTTTGCTTGTATAAACGTTACGCCTATTTTGTTTATGATTTGTATATTTTTCTTCTTGGCTGGTGGCCAATAATTGATTCTGTCTAGGTGAGTATTCATGGAAATTGTCTTAATTTCAACACCTTTATCTTATAATATCTTAATGTGAAAGAAACTGTTTTGTGGTTTGAAGGTAGGTTAGATGTCTTATTTATTTTTAAGACAGAGTCTTGCTCTGTCACCCGAAGTGCAGTGGCACAATCTCGGCTCACTGCAACCTCCACCTCCCAGGTTAAGGCAATTCTCCTGCTTCAGCCTCCTGAATAGCTGGGATTAAAGACATGGACAACCATGCCTGGCTAAGTTTTGTATTTTTAGTAGAAATGGGGCCAGGCTTGTCCTGAATTCTTAATCTCAAGTTATCTGAACACCTTGGCCTCCCAGAGTGTTGGGATTACAGGCCTGCGCCACCTGCCCTCAGGTGTCATTGTTAATTTTAATTGTGGTAAAAATATGTAACATAAAATTGAGAATCTTAAATATTTTTTCTTATACAGTTTAGCCATGTTAAGTGTATTTACGTTGTTATGCAACATATCTGTAAAACTTTTTCTGTTGCAAAACTTAAAACTCAATATAAATTAATAATACCCATTTTTTTTTTTTTTTTTTTTTTTACCACCAGGCTCCTGATGAAAACGATTCCATTTTCTGTTTTTAAAAGTTTCAATACTTTCGATATTACAAGTAAGTGGAATCATAAAGTATCTGTTTTACTGTGGATAAGTTTAGTTAGCATCATGTGCTTCAGGTTTATCTTTATTGTGGATGTTACAAGATTTTCTGCTTTTAAAGGCTGAGTAGTTTTCCATTACTTTTATATGACAAATTGTATTTATTCATTTATTTGGTGAAGAAAGTTTGTTTTGCTTTCAAATATTGGCCTTTTTGAATAATGTTTCAAAGAATATAGGTGTTCCATTAACTATTTGCCCACATGTGCAAGGTTTTCATCTGTGCTACATTGTGTTTTATTGGAAAACTTGTCTGTCTTTATGCCAGAACCAAACTGTTTTTATTACTGTAGCTTTGTAATGTGCTTCAAAATCAGAAAAGGTGACATCAATAACATTGTTTCTTTTTTTTTTTTTTTTTTAACATTTTTGGGCTCTTTTTTTGTCCCTGAGATTCCATATAATTGTTGGTTACTTTTCCTATTCCTGAAAAAAAAAAATTAATTTAAAAGGGATTGCATTGAATCTGTAGTTCACTAGGAAGTATGAACATTTTCACAATATTAAGTCTTACAACCCTTGAACACAAGCATGCTCAAAAGTGAGTTGTTTAATTTCCATATGTGCTGATATTTTTGTTTTCTTCTGTTATCAATTTCTAGTTTTATTCCATTTTGATCAGAAATAATAGTCTTTAAGATTTCTATTCTTAAAAAATTATTAAGTCTTGTTTTGTGGCCTAATAGGTTTTGTATCCAGGAGAATGTTTTATAAACTATTGAGAAAATTGTGTTCTTCTATTGTTGTGTATTCTGTATATTCTCATTAGATCTAATTTTTCTGTAGAGTTTTCAAAATTTCTGTTTCCTTATTAATATTTAGGCTAGCTTTACTATTCATTATTAAAAGTTTGAATTAAAGTATTCTACCATTTTTTTTGTCTATTGTAATAATTATTTCAATGTTTACTTTGTACATTTGGAAAGACTGGTGTGAAAAATTTATGTATCTATCTATCTATCTATCTATATATATATATACACACATATATATAATAAAATTTCATAAGTTCTAAGTGAATGAGCCCTTTTATTATTATTTAATGCTCTTCTTTGTCTCCTGTGACAGTTTAGACTAAAAGTTTACTTTTATTTTTGAGGAGGAGTCTCCCTCTGCCGCCCAGGCTGGAGTGCAGTGGTACGACCTCAGCTCACTGCAAGCTCCGCCTCGTGGGTTCACCCCATTCTCCTGCCTCACCTCTCGAGTAGCTGGGACTACAGGTGCCCACCACTATTCCTAGCTACGTTTTTGTATTTTTAGTAGAGATAGGGTTTCACCGTGTTAGCCAGGATGGTTTCCATCTCCTGACCTTGTGATCCACCCACACTGGCCTTTCAAAGTGTTGGGATTACAGGCATGAGCCACCATGCCCAGCCTACTTAAAGTTTGTTTTATGAACTATGACTAAAATATATTTTGCCTAACACAGCTGTGACCAGCACTGCTCTCATAGGATTTCAATTTACATCAAAAGTCGATTTTGATCTTACTACTTTCAGTCTAGTTTTGACATTAGATCTAAAGTGAGTCACTTATGGAAAGGATAAAGTTGTTGTTGATTAATCCATCTATTCAATTTACATGGTTTGATTGAAAAGTTTAGTTCATAAATATTAAGATATCTTTTTGAAATTGAAGAACTTAATTTTGTCATTGTTTTCTCTGATTTTCATAGCTATGTGATCCCCTTTACCCACTCCTTTCAATCTTCCCTTCTGTGTTGATTTTTATAGTGGCATGCTTTAATGTATTTGTGTGTGTGTGTGTGTGTGTGTGTGTATCTCTGTAAATGTTTTTCTTGCAGTTACCATGGGGATTGCATAAAACCTTCTGTTTTTCTTTTGAGATGGATTCTGACACTGTCGCTCAGGTTGGAGTGCAGTGGTGCAATCTCAGCTCACAGCAACCTCTGCTTCCTGAGTTCAAATGATTCTCCTGCCTCAGACTCCCCAGGGGCTGGGATTACAGGGGACCACCACTATGCCCAGCTAATTTTTTGTATTTTTAGTAGAGATGGGGGGTTTCACCATGTTGACCAGGCTGGTGTCAATCTCCTGACTTCATGATTCTCCCGTCTCGGCCTCCTAAAGTGCTGTGATTACAGGCATGAGCCAACATGCCCAGCCAGCAACAAATTAATTTCAATTGCATACGAACATTCTTTCTCTTTCCATCTGCCTCAACTTAATATTATTGATGTCACTAATATCTTTTTATATTATATATCATTAACAAATGTTTTTGCGTATTTTTAGTCTTTTGTTTTTTGATTATATTACATAATTACGTATGTTTTCTGAACCATCATTTGAATTCATCAGAATTTTATTTTTGTGCTTGCATGTTTCTTTTCCAAAGAGTTATGTACTTTCATCTAATTTTGCAATGCTATTTAGCATGACTTTATTTTTCATGAGAAAATCTCTCTTTAGCATTTCTTGTAGTGCAGTCCTAGTGGTGATATGCTGTTGCAGTATGTGGTCATCATGAAAAGACTTTGCTTTTTCTTCATTGTGATAAATAGTGTATCTGGATATAGTATTGTTGCTTAAAATTTTTTGTTCTTTCAGCACATTGACAATATTACCCATGTCCCTTCTGGCCAGCAAGATTCCTGCAGGTAGATTCACTGATTATCTGACAGAAGAACCCATATAAATGACACATAGCTTTTCTTTTTTAGCTTTCAAGATCATCTACTAGTCTGTGACTTTCAAAACTTTGCTTATAATTTTTCTCATTATGAATCTTTTTGTGTTTATCTTAGTTAAAATTTGTTGAACATTTTAATTTTTATGTTTTTTTCTTAAGCTTGATAATTTCTCAGGCATTTTTTCTTTTTATATTCTTCAACTTCATAATTTGTTCTCTAATAGTTTTTATCTTATTGTGTTTGTTCTCATTTTCCTGATTTTATTTCGTTGTCTGTGCTCACATTTTGCTCACTCAGCACCATTTAGATAATTATTTTAAAATTTTTTAGGTAATTTATACTTCTCTATTTCTTTAGGGTAGATTTCTGGATATTTATCTTTTTTTTATTATTTTTCCGTATTGCCCTAATACTTTGTATATATTGTAATTTTTGGCTGATTATGTTATATTACATTATATATGTCCATTAAACTTGGCCATTTAAAATAATCACTGGTCACAGTTTTTACTTAGAGGCTTTGTTCTGAGAGAATCTGATACAAACTTGTTGGCCTAGAAATTCTGAAGTTCTCTCAAACCTTTTCTCAAGATTCATTTTCTTTTACTACGTTTGGTCTCAGCCAAACCAATCTGTCATTCAAAGTACACTACTATGTCTTTGAGCATTCTGAAGCCAGGAGTGGGGAGTCCACTCCTAGATGCACCATGCTGTATTGGGAAGGAGAAAGAACTGTGGTGTGTAAATGTAACAAACATTCCTTTTTTTTGTTTTTTTTTTTTCTGGGATATGGTTTCACTCTCATTGCCCAGGCTGGAGTGCAATGGCACAATCTCAGCTCACTGCAACTTCTGCCTCCCAGGTTCAAGTGATTCTCCTGCCTCAGCCTCCTGAGTAGCTTGGATTACAGGCATGCACCTCCATGCCCGACTAATTTTTCATTTTTAGTAGAAACAGGTTATGTCCATGTTGTTCAGACTACATTTGAACTCCTGACCTCAAGTATTCCACCTGACTTGGCCCCCCACAATGCTGGGATGACAGGCATGAGCCACTGCACCTGGCCACAGACATTCCTTCTTGTGAATGTGGAGGACATGCATGCCCCTGACAAAAAAAGCTTTAGAGTTTTTAAAAAATTTGATATGGGTTTGGGGGTAATCTAACCACTACTATAGCTACAAGAAATCCTCGTGTAATTTTGTCAACTGTGAAGCAACAGCATCCATCAGTATTAATAGCCTGTATGAAGTGCATTTTCCCACTGAGTTCTCCAAAAAAGTCCTCAGTGTAGAGATAGGAAAACACAGGCTTCGCAATTTCAAATGGCTGCTGAACAGCACATGGGTCAGAACTAAGAACCTTCCAGAGAGGGCTGCATGAAATTTCCTCTAAATTACCTGAAACACAGCAGCTTCTGACACTGAGTGCAAGAACCTGGAGAAGCCATATTTCCTCTGCATTTTGGAGACAGTGAACAGGGCAAGACAGCTTAGAAAGAATTAAAGCAACATTTTTTTCTTCCTTTTTTTTTTTTTTTTTTTTTTGAGACAGAGTCTCACACAGTCACCCAGGAGTGGAGTGCAGTGGCAGGATCTCGGCTCACTGCAAGCTCAGCCTCCTGGGTTCACGCCATTTTTCTGCCTCAGCTTCCTGAGTAGCTGGGACTACATGTGCGTGCCACCACATCCGGGTAATTTTTTTGTGTTTTTATTAGAGATGGGGTTTCACCGTGTTAGCAAGGATGGTCTCGATCTCCTGACCTCATGATTCACCCACTTCGGCCTCCAAAAGTGCTGGGGTTACAGGTGTGAGCCACTGTGACCGGCCCTTCTTTCTTTAATATTAAGGAAAGTCTTGAGAAAGAGACACAACATTTCCAGACCTGGTAAGAAGATAAATGCTGGGAGACTCCAGGATTAATGACAGAGTCAAAGATCTGAGGAGATAAATTGAGGAACAGAAAACCCATATCTATATTTAAAATAACAACTACCAAGTGACTTAAACACATCAGTTGGAAAAATGGAAATAAAAGGAAAAATATGTTTTTATTGTGCCCACAGACATGAGATTGTCAGAAAATTAAAAGAATGTTAATATCCAGGGGAGGCTGGGTTCAGAGAAGCAGCTTTATTCAGGGACTGTTGATGACAATGTACTTGCCACAGACCTTGTGGAAAGTCATCTGCCTGTAGCTTTGGAAATTTTACATATGTATATCATTTTACCCAGTAATCACTTTCCTGGCAATCTACCATTAATACATATCATGTTCCAAATTGTGTCCCTTCTCCCAAATTTATATGTTGCTATTCTAAAATTTATATGTTGACATTCTAAGGCATATATAATATAATTAGCCTCAAATTGTGAGTGAGTGTGTGTTTGGACATATCGCTTTTAAAGAGGTGACTATGATTAAGTAAGTTCAGTAAAGTGAACCCTAACCTAACATGACTGGAGTCCTTTCAAAAAGAGTAAAGACGCAGAGGCTCAAGAGAAGACACTCTGAAAACAGAAATAGAAGGTGGTCGATTAATCTCAAGTAGAAATATGCATTAGAGAAACCACTTCAGCCAATAGCTTGTTGTTCAATTTCTAGCCTCCAGAATTATGAGAAACTCAGTTTCCATTGAGATCTTCAGTACACGGTACTAGATTATGGAAGCCCAAGCAAACTGTTCCAGCCAATCATGACACACAGATAAATTTTCTTCATTACAGCTAAAATGAAAATAGAATGTTATCATGGCAGGCTCCACCAGCATTGAAAGGCTAAGCCACTCTGCGAAATTACCTTCTTGTATAGAACATTACGAAGACATGTGAAGGCACAGCTTCTACCCTGATGGGCTACAGGGATGAGTTCTCTGAGGTGCCACATTGCAGGCAAATGAAGGGAACAAAGTAACCTCTTTTTCACGTAACCTCTTCCCTATTTTTGTGTGAAAACCTTCTTAGTAATAGTGGTGGCTTTTAAGTATTGGAGAAAGTCTGGCAATACAGTGAAGCTGCCTGCTACAGAAGATACCTGGGCTAAATAGTTAATACAATACAAACTATAGCAACATGAATAAATACAGTCCAGTGTAAAGTAAAAACAACACAAAGGCCTCCTCTGGTATTTCTACAAGTACGTGAACAGGGACTTTACACCTAACCAAGTTGCCATTGGGACTAATGAAAGCCAGATTTTTGGCTGCAGAACTTTGGGTCACTCTGAGAAAAAAGCTCTAAGACAGAGCCCAGAGACAGTCCATATTTGGGTCTGGGTTTTGGACCCATCCTGGCATTGTCAGGCCCCAGTCTGTAGAGACTGCCATGTGCCTGCTCTCACCATAGCTCACTGGGCCCTGCTTGGTGGTATGGTGAACCTGCCCCTTGTCCAAGGAGATGGGGACTTGAACTCATCAAACAGCTGCTCATTGATTTTGATACAGCTCTGTAAAGAGAATGCCCAGCAGCCAAGCCAAGCCAAAAAAAAAAAAAAATGTTAATGGTCTCCCTTGTTTTTACCACAAGGTGACATCCCCATTAGAAATTCTGCTCCCGCCTGGGTGCGGTGCCTTATGCCTGTAATTCCAGCAGCTTGGGAGGCTGAGGCAGGTGGATCATGAGGTCAGGAGATCGAGACCATCCTGGCTAACATGGTGAAACCCCGTCTCTACTGAAAAAAAAAAATTAGCTGAATTTGGTGGCAGGAGACTGTAGTCCCAGCTACTCGGGAGGCTGAGGCAGGGGAACAACGTGAACCCAGGAAGAGAGTTTGCAGTGAGCAGAGATTGAGCCACTGCACTCCAGCCTGGGTGACAGAGTGAGATTCTGTCTCAAAAAAAAAAAAAAAAATTATGCTCCCCAGATCAGACACATAGGAGCATCTTCATAGATCCCCAGTGCATGAAGAAACCAGAGGACAGCTGAAGACCTTGAGATTCACATCTGAGTAGACACACTTGCTCTCCAACACTCAACTATTTATTCAACCAGCCATGACCTGGGTTTGAACATGACGGACTCACCAGAGTTCCAAAGCCTGACAACCTGCACCTGTCAGGAAAAGCCACCTCCTTTCCTGTTCCCCCTGAAACACATGGTTATGGTGGGCCAGATGGGGTTTCCCAGATTAGATGACAAGAGAGGCCTGGCATGGACAGACCTGCCCTGGACTACACTGCAGTTCCTGTGGGTGCCTCTTGCCAAATGGGCACAGGTATCAAGGATGTGGGCTCAGCCAACATCTGTATTATTTGAAAAGGCTCTCAACTTTGGACCTTTCTAAGGTAACAGCTTAGGAATATCACCACGAAATAAGAACATAGTGTTCTCTTAAGCATATCCCATGAAATGAGCTAGGTACAGGGCTGTCTCTAGAGTGTGGATGTCTAGTTTTCAAAGTTCTAAATTCTATCAGGTTCTGTCACAAGAGGAGTGTGTTAGTTCTTCAAGGTTCCATCATCCCCTGAGCCCTTTTCTTCTATAAATGTATGCAAAGTCTCTGCACAGCTGCTGATTACTCACCTTCCTATCCCGTGTCAACTCTTCATCTGTACACAGTTATGCAAACACAAGCCCCTTACCCCATGAAAACATCTAAATACAGCCAGGGCCCCAGGTTTGAGGGAAAAGAGCTGGATTAGAACATTCTTTTTCTTCTCATTTCTGTGATCATAAAAAAACCACTGTGTTTCAAGTCTCCCCAGCCCTGAAATATATGCACATTGGGGATTCTGCTAGCATCGGCTTCCAAGCAATTTCTTTGAATATATAGGAGGTAGAGTGAATAAAATTCAGTTAGGTGCAGTGGCTCATGCCTGTAATCCCAGCACATTAGGAGGCCAAGGCAGGTGGATCGACTTAAGGCCAAGAGTTCGAGACAAGCCTTGGCAAACATGGCAAAAATTCAGGAGGCTGGGGTCAGTGAGTCGCTTCAACCAGAGAGGCAGAGGTTGCAGTAAGCCGAGAATGTGCCACAGCACTCCAGCCTAGGTGATAGAGCAAGATCCTGTCTCAAAATAACAATAATAATAAGCATGATAAAAAGATTAGCTAGGTGTGGTGGTGCATGCCAGTACTCCCAGCTACTCAGGAGTCTGAGATAAGGAGAAGATCACTTGAAGCCTGAAAAATTGAGGCAGCAGTCAGTCATGACCCACTCTAACCTGGGCAATCCTGTGAGAAAGAGAGAAAAGAAAGAAGGAAAGAAGGAAAGAGAAAGAAAGAAAGAAAGAAGAGAGAAAGAGAGAAAGAAAGAAAGAAACAAATGCGGGCAGATCACGACGTCAGGACATCAGGATCATCCAGAACAACATAGTGAAATTCTGTCTCTACTAAAAATACAAAATTAGCTGGGTGTGGTGGCGCGTGCCTGTAAATTCAGCTACTCGGGGGGCTGAGGTAGGAAAATCACTTGAACCAGGGATACGAAGATTGCAGTGAGCTGACATCATACCACAGCACTCCAGCCTGGTGACAGGGCTAAAAATAAAATAAAATAAAATAGAAATAGAAATAAAAAATAAAAAAAAAGAAAACTGCACTTCAAGCTTGGCCACCATCCCATGTGCATCTCATATTGGATCTGCCCATTTGTCAACTCCGAGATCTATATTTTCCATCTTTTTTTTTTTTTTTTTTTGAGATTGAGTCTCCCTGTGTCACCCAGGCTGGAGTGCATTGGTGCAAGCTCCTCTGCCTCACAAGTTCAAGTGATTTTCCTGCTTCAACCACCTGAGCATGTGGGACTACAGGAGTGCGCCACCAAGCCTAGCTAATTTTGTATTTTTGGTAAAGACGAGGTTTCACCATATTGGTCAGGCTAGTCTCAAACACCTGACTATAAGATCCACATGCCTCGGCCTCCAAAAGTGCTGGGATTAGAGGAGTGAGCCACCATGCCTGGCCTCATCTTTTTTTTTTTTTTTTTTTTTTTTTGAGACAGGGTATCACTCTGTCATCCAGGCCAGAGTGCTGTGGTTCGAATTAGGCTCGCTGCTACCTCCACCTCCCAGGCTCAAGTGATTCTTGTGCCTCAGCTTCTCTGAGTGTCTGGGATCACAGATGCATGCCACCATTTCCGGCTGATATTTGCATTTTTAGTAGAGATGAATGGGGTTTAGCCATGTTGGCCAGGCTTGTCCACTCATCCTGTTTTCTTTTTTTTAAATTCATTTTTTTTTTTTTTTGAGATGGATTCTTGCTCTGTCACCCGGAGCAAGAGGGCAGTGTCCTGATCTTGGCACACTGCAACCTCCACCTCCCAGGTTCAAGTGATTCTCCTGCCTCAGCCTCCCCAATAGCAGGGATTACAGGCTCCCACCACCACACCCTCCTAATTTTGTATTTTAAGTAAAATAAAGACATGGTTTCACCATCTTTCAAGGTTTCACCACCTGTTCAAGACAGGCTGGTCTTGAACTCCTAGCCTCATGATCCACCCACTTCAGCCTCCCAAAGTTCTGGGATTAAAGGCATGAGCCACCCCCACCACCAGCCCCACTCATCTTTAAGATGACAATACTGTACAGTAGTTTCAGAAAACAGGGTGCACTTACCGAATCCTACACACGTTCCTTCCTTGTTGGGTTTGTGTAATTTTGGTCACCAGTCAAGGAGATACACCTTCCCCCACCTTTTTCTTTTATTTGTTTCTTTCTTTATTTTAATCCTCCTGCCTTGGCCTCCCTAAGTGCTGGGATTACTGGGGTGAGCCACCATGCCCATCTGTCCTAAAGACATATCCATTGAAAGTAAGAAATAGAGAGGTCCTTTCAGTCATGTGATTTATTGATTGATTCAGAGACAGTGTCTCATTCTGTCACCCTGGCTGGAGTGCAGTGGTGCCATCAAAGCTCATGCACTGCAGCCTGGACACACCTTATTTCAAGTGATCCTTCCTCCTCAGACTCCAGAGTAGAGTAACTGGGACCACAGGCACGCGCCACTGTGCCCAGATTATTTTTAAATTTGTTCTACAGACAGAGTCTCATCACTTCATTGCAATCCTCCTGTCCCAGAGTCTCAGAGTGCTGGAATGATGGGCATGAGCCACTTTGCCTGGCCTCCTGGTAATCACTCACAACCACGACATGTGTTCTGATTTTTTTTCTTTCTTTTCTTTTCTTTCTCTCTCTTTCTTTCTTTCCTTCCTTCCTTCCTTCCTTCCTTCCTTCCTTCCTTCCTTCCTTCCTTCCTTCCTTCCTTCATTTCTTCCTCTCTTTCTTTCTTTCTTTCTTTCTTTCTTCTCTTTCTTCTTTTTTTGATGGAGTCTTGCTCTGTGTGAGGCGAGGAGCATCACCTTGGAAGCCACAGCACCGCATTACAAAGCCCCATTCACATGCACAAAGCTTTATTCCCTTCCTGAATTCCTAGCTGGTGACTTCTATGGCTTCAGGCTTCTCTCCATTCAGAAGCTTTTGCAGGAGCCACCCCACCCAAAGCCTGGGGTGTGGGATGGAGCTAGAAAGTCAGTCTCCCACCTTTTCTAGCTTGGCCACAACATCCTCTGTCCCCCACCGCTTGCTCACCCTTTGAGATCCCCGGCCTCCATCACCTTGGAGGCTGACCTCTTACTTTACTTTATGTCTTTCTTCCTTTCTTGGGCTTGAGTAGGGGGTGTAGAGGTGAGAGTGTGTGCGGGGAGGGATGTGTGTGATGAGGACATAGGGGAGTGTCCTAAGGGTCGATTTACTCTCATGCTTCTTTTATCACCATCACCGTAGATGAAACCAACAATAAACTAAACACGGTGTGTTCTCATCTGTAAGTGGGAACTACATAATGAGAACATGTGGGCAGAAAGAGGGCGACCAGAGACACGGGACCTTACTTGAGGGAGGAGGAATGGTAGGAGAGATAGTTTCAGATTAAAACACAAAAACTGTCCGGTATTGCGCTGAGTACCCAGGTGATGAAATAATCTGCACTCTGAACCCCCCAGTCAGAAGTTACCTATATGACAATCTTGCACATGTATGCTTCAACAAGAAATAAAATTTGAGAAAGAGAGAGAGAGAAACAAAACGAAACACCACCTCCTTGACCTGAGGCAGGGGGTACCGGCCTTATAGGGGACATTCAGTGGCAATGCAAGAAAGCCACAGTTAGCCCCATGGAATATATTCTGCCACTTAAGGGATCAGAAACTGCAAACAACTGTAGGTTCTAAAGGGGAAAAGGGAAGGAAGGCAGGGGATTATTTCAGTCTTTTTTTCTGAGACTGAGTCTCTTGCTCTGCTGCCCAGTCTGGGGTGCATTGGCACTATCTTGGCTCACTGCAACCTCTGCCTCCTGGGTTCCAGCAATTCCCATGCTTCAGCCTTCAGTAGCTGGGATTACAGATGCACACAGCCACGACAGGCTAATTTTTGTATTTTTAGTAGAGACGGGGTTTTGCCATGGTGGCTAAGCTGGTCTCGAACTCCTAACTTCAAGTCTCCTGGCCCTCCCAGAGTGCTGGCATGACAGGCGTGAGCCACCGAGATTTCAGCCTTTAAAAGTGTATGTTCTGCCGCCTTTCACTGCAGCCCTTATGTTCTGAATGGTGTGTCATTTCTGCTATAGGTTGACTCCCTTAGTCCCCTCTCCCCGTTATTACTCAGTTAAGTAAGTTAGTTTTGTTTTTTGTCTTCTTGGCTTTTAGACGGTGCTGTCACCACAGCTGTTGTCGGTGGCTAGCAGACCGTGTGTCATCCCAAGTCAGATGCACGGAATCCCACTGGGAGGGGAGAAAAGGATAGGGGTATCTGGAGACTTTTGCCTTGGGAGACTGTCATTTTTCACCACTCACAAAAACATGGGAGCAGGGAGAGTGCTTTGCCTTCCACCCTCTGAAGTTTCATCTGAAACCTCAACTCGTCAGAGGCAGAAGAATAAAAGAATAGGCAGATATGTTTCTGGGACCTGTCTTCATGGGAGTCTACAGAACGAAGGCCCCAAGAGGATGGGGAAATTGTCCGTGTATATGCTTGAATTCCACAGGGTGTGTTTTGTTCGACTGTAGGTCCTGAGACTCCCGTTCTGGGGAGGGCCCTGCACCTTCCACGAAAGGAAGGAGTGCCATGTTTAGAGAGGATGAGAGAAATCTAGACAGACAGGCATTGCTGGGCTTCCCCACTCGGTGTATGATTTTGGGAGGTAGAGGCCAGGTCTGCACTTGGATGGAAGGGGCATGTTCAGGCTTTTCCCCCTGTCTCTTGTGGAGTCTACATCTCGTATTTCCCTGACAAACTCCTCAATTTAAAAATTAACGGTGAAACAAAATCTGACCTAGTGAAACCACCTGTGAAGGCAATGAGAAAGAAAGCTCATTATTGTGGCATAAAACTCTATACACATGGTGGGGCACGGTGGCTGATGCCTGTAATCCTAGCACGTCGGGAGGCCGAGGTGGGCGGATCACCTGAGGTCGGAGTTCGAAACCAGCCAGACCCACATGGAGAAAACGTGCTTGTACTAAAAATAAAAAATTAACGGCGCGTGGTGGCATATGCCTATAATCCCAGGAACTCAGGAGGCTGAGGCAGGAAAATCGGTTGAACCTGGGAGGCAGAGGTTGCAGTGAGCCCAGGTTGTGCCACTACACTGTAGCCTGGGCAACAAGAGCGAAACTCTTGAGTGATTTCTAGTAAATGGCACTGTATCGCCGCCAGGCTAATACGGCGGTGATGTTCTCGTGGAGAGACACTGTGGGGAGTGATGTGTAGTGTGCGGACTCCGATCTTAGAGGTCGTATGTGGATGCTCTGGGATTCACTGAACTAAATTTTTGAATGATTCACGACAGAGAGGACTTTGCGGAACACGACTGAGAAATGGGTACTTCAGGAGTGAAAACTGGCCTGAGGACAGGAGGGAATTTGGTGTAAGCTGTCCTCTCTGGGAAATCCATGCTGTGTCTGGTAGCGTGGATTTCACGGACTTTGTTCCATTGTGACAGGTATTTGCCACTCTGAGGTCGTGGGTCTGGAGTATACCCTGAAACGCTATGGACTGGACTTCTGCCTTAGATAGGTCCCACCTCCAGCCCTAGCCTCCATCCGCACACCCGTGCCCCCGTGGTCCTCTTTTCTCTCTGGGGGAATGGAAGTTCCAGAAGATCCCATGGGCAGAAACGTAGGCTGTGTCCTCTGTGGGGCTCTGGTCGCTAGTCGTGGGAATTGCCTGGGAGTTCTCCCTGGGCCCGGAAACGACCTGATGTGAGAGGGATCTGGAAGAGGCCAGTGACTGGGGTGTGCCTCTTCCGCACTCCATCCCCAACCTCCACCCTGACACAGAAAGACTCATTATTCGTTTCTTTTCCGTGCCGACTGACACTTGCAAGCATCGGTTGTCTTCGGGCATCACCTAGCGGCCACTGTTATTGAAAGTCGAGGTGGCACGGAGGGACGTCTGGCCGACTTCACAGAGCCTGGGGCCACTGGCTTCTCTCCCTCTCTTCTGGAGGCCCGTCACTCTCTCCCTTCTTCCTAGGGAACCTCCGACCTGGCGGGGTCCCTGTTGTTCTTTTCTCAGCATATTATTTTGCTTCACCTGTTGGTTTCTTTAATGCTCATAGGCTCTTCCATTTTGGCTTTATGTACGGTCACTTTAATTTTTAAGTCGCCGCCCGGACCCCCAAGCCCTTTTACCTTAATTTAGTGTTAGTTAGGTGGGTTTTCCCCAACCCCCTCATCTCCTACCACTGTGCTTGGAAACGTTCGAGAGTCACCAGGGTGTGCCTCCCTCTTCTCTCCCCTTCCCCCACCGCTCGCTGGTGATCTCATTCCCACCAGGCTGACATTTGCATTGGTGGTCGTCAGGCCTCACTCATTGGCCACAGTTTTTAAAGATGGGGGCGGCACTGTCCCACTTCCCGAGAGGCAGCTTGGGCCGATGGGATAGAGCTTGACCCGTGTGGACAAGCGGACAGGCAGGCGGGACCGACTGCAGTTATGAGTTTTTTCCCCCATTGTTCCTCAGGCCTCTCTCCCTAGGAAAGTTCCATCCTGGCTGGGTCTTAATCACCTTTTATCAAGATTTTTTTTTTTTTTTTTAATTTTCTCCTCCCTCAGGCCAGCATATTTTCAAAATGGGAAGGGCGTCACCGCTCTACCCTGGGCCTTATTAGTATGTGCCCAAAATAGAACCGCTTTCTACAAAGCATTTTGCTGGTTTAAGATTTCCAGAGACAATGCTTTGACCCTTGTTTGCTTGCTTGTTTTGTTTTGTTTGTGTTTTTTTTCTTTTTCGTATTTATTTATTTTCCGCTGAAGTAGAATTCACCAATTTTTAGGAAGATGTATATTTTCCCAAGGACATATTAGCCGCTGTTTTCTTCTGTTGTTAACTAGCACTTTTGTGAATCTCTCAACGTATAGTGAGAGCCAGTTGATGTAAACTATAGTTCATAACATCTTACTTTCTAAAAATCTGCAAGTGAGTGTTGCTGCTGCCGCTGTTCTTTTTGATGTTCTTGTTTTCAATCATATTCTGGCCACTGTTTATGGCATCAGAGCATTATACAATACATGTAATTATTTCTTGAGTACCCCATTCCTCTTCCTCTCTCTCTCCCTCTCTGTCTCTGTCTCTCTCTCTGTCTCTCTCACTCTGTCTCTTTCCTTGTCTATCTTTCTCTCCATCTATCTCTCCGTCTCTCTCTGTTTCTGTCTCTCTCTTCCTGTCTCTGTTTCTCTCAGTCTGTCTCTCTGTCCTCTGTCATTCTTTCTTTATCCATGTCTCTCTCTCTGTCTCTCTTTCTGTCTGTGTCTCTCTCTGTCAGTCTCTTTCCCTGTCTGTCCATCTGTCTCTCTCTTTCTTTCTCTATGTCTTTCCTTTTTCTCTTTCCTTTCTTTGTGTCTCTGTCTCTCTCTGTCTGTCTCTGTCTGCCTCTCTCACTTTCTCTCTCTCTCTGTAACTTTCTTTCTCTGTCCTATTCTTCCCTCCCTGTCTTTTTTCTACTATAGGCTCGGGTAGATCTAATCTATTACCAAGGCTGAATTATTAACTGTAGAACTCCCAGATCTGATTTCCATACAGAAAACTACAGAACTGGAGAGTTCATTTCTGGGCTTGGATATCTCATGGATATTACACACTAATAAAAAGGCAACCTTAAAATCTGGGTTTGCTTTTCCCTTGCCTCGGCTGTGACCCAGACTTACTGTCTCAATAAATCGTACCTCTGTTCACCTAGGATGCTAGGAGGGTTTTCTCAATCTGTATCCCCTGTGTCCTAAACAACTCGTGACCAAGCTCTGTCCATTCTTTCTAAAATATATATCTCCAAATACTTCTCTCAATTTCCAGAAGTCCCACGGCCCCTTGTGGAACCACTGGCTCTTTGGAAAACCTCCCAGAAGTGGTTTCAGCTTCTCGGATAGGAGGTGTAAGCCTGCTGAGAACTTTCCTTCCCAGGATTCTGTGTGAACAAAAGTGCCTCTGCTGGGAACTGTGATCCTGGAGACCATGCTTGCTAGTGCTGAATGATTCTCTGGAAGGATGCATGGGACTCCACAAAGCTGACCACCCCCAAATAGGTCAAATACATACCTCTACATTGGCCTGCTGCCTCCACCATACATCCCTCTCACTGTCACCATCGGCATCCTTGTGAGCTTGCCCAAGGCACCCACTCCAGGGAAACCCCTGGGAGGGCGGCCTTCCTCTGCTTAAGTCCAACGTGATGGCAAACTCCACTTACATCATCTCCACTGCACTGTGAAGATGTGGAGAGTAGGGTAGAGAGGACAGCAGGAGGTGAGACGTCCTGGCAGGTGATGAGTTCCCTAGACTTTGACCAACCCAACCACGTCCCATGTCTCCAGCACATGCCGGACACCGCCATTCTCTCCCCTCCTCTGTCCACAGTACCCCCCACCAGCATACACGCTGGAGGTTACAAAACCACACGGTATGAGTAGAGCCTGACACGCTCCTTATGTGAGTGTCTGGATCATCGTTCATCTGCGGCTGCATGCTAGGAAACAGATTCTCCCATTTTTATTGAATGGAGCGAGAGCCCATTTCAGGAGGAGTTCTGCAGAGAGCCTAATTATCCCGCATGCGTGGCTACAGGCTAGAAGTGCATATCGCTTCTTAAGTGCAGGGGATTCCTTAGGCTGTCAGGTTTGTGTGACTACCTCTCAAACCCTTCCTTGAGGCCATAAAATATTTTCAACCCCACCCCACAACATTTCCCTGCGTGCTCAATATATCCTGTCAATAGACCTGGGCATGACGCTTTGAGTTAAACACATTCATTGGCTTTGTTTGTTTGTTTGTTTCTGAGATGGAGTCTCACTCTGTCCCCCAGGCTGGAGTTACAGTGGCTCCGCCTTTCAGGTTCAAGTGATTCTCCTGCCTCAGCCTCCTGAGTAGCTAGGATTACAGGCATGCACCACCACACCCAACTAATTTTTGTAATTTTAGTAGAGATGGGGTTTCACCATGTTGGCTAGGCGGGTCTCACAATCCTGACCTCGTGATCTGCCTGCCTTAGCCTCCCAAAGTGCTGGGATGACAGGCATGAGCCACAGTCCATGGCCACCTTCATTGGTTTTAAATGGAGATTCAAGATTCAAGCCACACCTCATTCTATGCCACAGAATGAGTTCTTTATCATACCGACTCCGGAAAGGCCGGCCCCTTGTCATCCATTTCCAACAAAGAGTCACCTCATGTTTGGAAAATGGATCCACTTTCAAGTTCAGTAGATGCATGTGGCATGTAGGACGAGGGATTGTTCCTTCTGACTTGGTCTGCACAGTGGAGCCTAGGGCTAGAACTCAGTGAGGACCGATGGCTCCTTCTACCCTGGATTCCATCGACCCCACCCTGGAACACAGGCCTTGGCAGATCCTGGCCCTTCCTGGCCCTTAAGACACTGTCAGAAACATTGCTCCAAATGACTGTGGCTTGTGCCTCTAACAGAAACATTTGAAATCTATCCTCTAAACGTGGCCACCTAAAACCACAGAAGTGCAGGACATTCGGCCACCATCCACCTCCCCGCTTTAGGGAAAGAATGCTGAAAGTCTCTTGTTGATTCTCCCTTGATTTGAGTTCTTTGTGGGCATGTGGTCAAGTTGTAATGAGACCAGATGTATTAAGTCAGGCCGGATGCAGTGGGTAACACCTGCAACCTTAGCACTTTGGGAGGCTGAGGAGGTAGGCATGCTTTAGCGCAGGAGATCGAGTCAAGTCTTGGAAAACACAGCCAAAACCCGAAGTGCATTCCTGTGTGGTCCCAGCTACTCAGGAGGCCAAAGTGGAAGACTCACTTAAGCCTGGGGAGGTTGGTGCTGCAGTCAGCCATAATGGTGTCACTGCACTGCAGCCTGGGTGACAGAGTGAGACTCTGTCACAAACAGACAGTCGGACGGAGACCAGCTGTATTATGTTCTTCTCAGGGTAGGAAGCAAAAATAAGATAATACAGCATTTAAGTTTTTATTTTAAATTTTAATCTATTTATTTATTAATTTTGAGTCAAGGTTATGAAACCAGCTATTTTTGTATTTTTCTACAGAGGAGGTTTCATCGTATTGCTAAGGCTGTTCTGGATTGCCTGGGATCAAGGGATCCATGTGCCCTCAGGATCCCAAAGTGCAGGGATGACAGGCATGAACCAGTTCCCCTGAACACACTGTTTTGTTTGTTTGTTTGTTTTGTTTTGTTTTTTCCCTTTTTCAATCACTTGTCTTCATGAGAGTTTCACCGCAGAGTGTTTGGCTGGCTTGTTTAAATTCAATCTAAATAGAAATTGAAGATATCAGCATCTGGTGTTTTGGACTCTGAGGTGACAATCCCCTTGGGCTGTCTATCATAGGACCGTACACATAATGAGTAAAAACAGTAACATTTACAATAGGTAATTTTGTTTTACAGAAATACACGGTTGCACCCAAATGATTCTTTTAAAAATTGTCTTAGCCTTGGTGGGTGTGCCAGTGATTCTTTTAGTTTGGACCTTGACTGAGAATTTCCAGTTGGTCTCTCATTTCTGATTGGAAATTCCAGATGATCTGATGGTTAGGGACTTAAGCTATGTCTTCCAGGGACACTGGCTGATTTGTTGTGGGGACCACCTAGGAGATTACTGCTATTGGATATCACCTAGCAGACACTTACTCTGAAAACTGAGGCCTCAAGGAGGAGGGCCGCTCAGGCTGCCTGCACACAGCCTGAGGCAACTATGTCTTCTTCATTGCCCCTGGCATGCCCCCACTTCCAAGTTCCTCCCTCCATTGTTGCCTAGCAATTTGCCACACTGACGACTGGGACTGATTGTTCTTTATTCACATATAAAAAATATAGGCCAGACATTGTGGTCCATGCCTGTGATCCCAGCACTTTGGGAGCCTGATGTGGGTGGAACATGAGGTCAGGTCCTTCAAGACCAGCCTGGACAGCATGGTGAA
Source organism: Homo sapiens (assembly GCF_000001405.40). Classification (NCBI taxonomy): domain Eukaryota; kingdom Metazoa; phylum Chordata; class Mammalia; order Primates; family Hominidae; genus Homo; species Homo sapiens. The sequence goes on from NC_000024.10 coordinate 17,651,304, forward strand.
ACCCTGTTTCTACTAAAAATACAATAAATTACCTGGGCATGGTGGTGTACATCTGTAATCCCAGCTACTTGGGAAGCTGAGATAGGAACATTGCTTGAACCCAGGCAGCAGAGGTTGCAGTGAGCCGAGATCACACCACTGCACTTCAGCCTGTGTGATACAGTGAGACTACATTTCAGGGAAAAAAAAAAAAAAATCACACCTCGCCAGGAAGGCAACAAAACTGGATGGAGGATGAGTTTGATGAATTGACAGAAATAGGCTTCAGAAGGTGCAGAATGAGAAATTCCTCTGAGCTAAAAAAGTTTGTTCTAACCCAATCTAAGGAATCTAAGAAACTTGAAAAAGGTTAGAGAAATGGATAAATAGAATAACCCATTTAAAGAAGAACATAAATGACCCGATGGAGCTGAAAAACAAAGCACAATAATTTTGTGAAGCATACACAAGAATCAATAGCTGAATAAATTAAGCAGAGAAAAATCAGAGATTAAAAATCAACTTAATGAAATAAAGCGAGAAGGCAAGATTATAGAAAGAAGACTAAAAAGGAAAGAACAAAGCCTCCAGGAAATATAGGACTATGTGAAAACACCAAATCTACACTTGATTGGTAATCTAAAAGTGACAAGGACAATGGGACCAAGCTGGAAAACACTGCTCAGGATATTATCCAGGAGAACTTCCCCAACCTAGCAAGACAGGCCAATATTCAAATTCAGGAAATACAGAGAACAACAGAGAGATACTCCTTGAGAAGAAGAATCCCGAAAAATATACATAATTATCAGAGTCACCAAAGGTAAAATGAAGAAAAAAATGTTAAAGACAACCAGAGAGAAAAGTCGGGTCACCCACAAAGGGAAGCCCATCAGACTAATATCGTGGGATATTCGGTTTTTCACTACAGGCGGCAATGGGCTCCGAAATGTTCCCTCATAGATTCTACAATAAGAGTGTTTCCAACCTGCTGAATCAACAGAAAAGTTTAACTCTGTGATATGAATCCATGCATCACAAAGCCGTTTCCCAGATACTTTGTTTATATTTTTTATCATGGGAAATTCTGTTTTTCCCTATAGGCCTTGATGGGCTCTGGAATGTCCCATTGTAGATACTACCAGAAGAATTTTTCAAACGTACTGAATCAAAGGAAAGGTTTACCTCTGTGAGATGAATCCACACATTGTTAAGTGCTTTCACAGACAGCTTGTTTCTTGTTTTTATTGCGGGATACTCAGTTTTTCCCTATAGGCTCTAATGGGCTCCAAAATGTCCCTTCATGGATTCTACAAAGAAATAGTGTTTCCAACCTGCTGAATCAAAAGGAAGGCTTACCTCTGTGAGATGAATGGACACTTCATAAAACAATTTCGCAGATACCTTGTTTCTAGTTACTGTCATGGAATATTCGATTTTTCATTATAAGCCTCAATGGTTACCAAAATGTCCCCTTCATAGATTCTAAAAAAGATGTGTTTCCAACCTGCTGAATCAAAAGAAAAGTTCAACTCTGTGAAATAAATCCATACATCCCAAAGATGCTTCACAGATAGCTTGTATCTGTTTTTTATCTCCAGATATTCAGTTTTTTCACAATAGGCCTTAATGGGCTCTGAAATGTCCCATTATATATTCTACAAAAAGGGTGTTTCCAGTGTGCTAAATCTAAAGAAAGGTTTATCTCTGTTAAATGAATCCACATATCACAATGAGGCTTCACAGGTAGATTGTTTCTCATTTTTATTGAGGGATATTCATTTTTTTTCAATAGACTTCATGGGCTCTAAAATGTCCTTTCTTAGGCTCTACTAAAAGAGGTTTCCAACCTGCTGAATCAAAAGAAAGGTCCATCTCTGTGAGATGAATGCACACATCACACAAAGGTTTCACAGATAGCTTGTTTCTAGATTCTTTTTTGAGACGTAGTTTTGCTCTTATTGACTAGGTTAAAGTGTAATGGTGCGATCTCTGCTCACTGAAACCTTCACCTACAGGAGGTTTAAGCAATTCTCCTGCCTCAGCCTCCCGAATAGCTGGGATTAGAAATATGCACCACAATGCCCAGAGCAATTTGTATCTTTAGCAGAGACAAGCTTTCTTCATGTTGGTCAGGCTGGTCTCAAATTCCAGACCTCAGGTGAGTTACCCTCATAAAGTGCTGGGATTACAGGTTTTAGCCACAGTACCTGCCCTTGCTTCTAGTTTTTATTGTGAGATATTCAGTTTTTCATAATAGGTCTCAGTGGGTTTCAATATGTCCCTTCAGAGATTCTACTTAAAGGGTTTTTCCAACCTGTGGAATCAAGAGAGAAGTTTAACTCTGTGATATCAATCCAAATATGATATAGGTATTTCACAGATAGCTTGATCTAGTTTTCATAGCAGGATATTCAGTTTTTCACTGTAGGTCTTAATTGGCTCTGAGATGTCCCTTTGCAGATTCTACAAAAAGAGTGTTTTGAACTGGCTGAATCAAAAGAAAGGCTTAACTGTGTGACATGAATCATACATGTCACACATCATAAAGCGGTTTCACAGATATCTGCTTGCTAGTCTTTATTGTGGGATATTCAATTTTTCACTGTAGGCTTCAATGGGCTCCAAAATGTCTCTTAGTAGATGCTTTTTTTTTTTTTTTTTTTTTTGAGATGGAGTCTCACTCTGTCACCCAGGTTGGAGTGCAGTCGCATGATCTCGGCTCACTGCACACTCCAGCTCCCAGGTTCACACCATTCTCCTGCTTCAGCCTCCCGAGTAGCTGGGACTACAAATGCCCACCACCATGCCTGGCTTTTTTTTTTTTAATTTTTAGTAGAGATGAGGTTTCCCCATGTTAGCCAGGATGGTCTCAAGATCCTGACCTCATGATCCAGTTTCCTCAGCATCCCAAAGTGCTGTAGTTACAGGTGAGAGCATGCCTAGCTGTCCCTTAATAGATTGTAAAAAAAGGAGGGTTTCCAACCTGCTGAATCAAAGAAAGGCTTAACTCTGTTAGATGAACTCACACAATGCCAAGTGGTTTCCCAGATAAGTTGTTTCTAGTTTTTATCACGTGATATTCTGTTTTTCACTATATTCCTTGATGGGCCCAGAAATGTCCTTTGTACATTCCACAAGAGGAGTGCTTGCAGAATCAAAATAAATTTTTAACTCCATAACGTGAATCCACACATAGCAAAGCAGTTTTAGAGACACCTTGTTTCCAGTTTTTATCATTTAGTTTTTCACTATATGCCTCAATGGGCTCCAAAATGTCCCATTGTAGATTCTAGAAAGAGAGTGTTTCCAACATGTTGAATCAAAAGTAAGTTTTAACTCTGTGCAATAATAGCATACAACATAAAACAATTCAACAGAAAGTTTGTTTCATGTTTTTGTCACAGAATATTTGTTTTTTCACTATAGGCCTCACTGGGAATTGAAATGCCCCTTTGCAGATTCTACACAATGAGGGTTTCCAACCAGACGAATCAAAAGAAAGCTTTAACTCTGTGAGCTGAATCTACACACCACAAAGTGGTTTCACAGATAGCTTCTTTCTAGTTTTTATTGTGGGATATTCGGTTTTTCACTGTAGGCCTTATGGGCTCCAATATTTTCTTTCAAAGATTCTGCGAAAAGATTTTTTCCACCCAGCTGAATCAGAAGAAAGTTCAACTCCATGAGCCAAATACACACACACAAGGCAGTTTCACAAATGACTTCTTTGTAGTTTGTACCACAGGATATTCGGTGTTTCACTATAGGCCTCATAAAGCTCTGAAATGTCCGTTCATAAATTCCATACATAGAGTGGTTTCAACCTGCTGAAGCAAAATAAATGTTTATCTCAGTGAAATGAATCTGCACATCGCAAAGTGGTTTTACAGTTGGATTCTTTCTAGTTTTTTTCGAAGGATATTCCATTTTTCTCTATAGGCCTCAATGGGATACGAAATGTCCCTTTGTAGATTCTTCAAAAAGAGGGTTTCCAATATGCTGAATCAAAGGAAAGTTTTAGCTCTTTAAAATGAATTGACACATCAGAAAGCAGAGAGCTTCTTTCTAGTTTTTATCGTGGGATATCTCAATATAGGCATCAGTGGGCTCTGAAATGTTCCTTAGAAGATTCTAGAAAAAGAGTCTTTTCCACCTGCTGAATCAAAAGAAAAGTTTAATTTTTTGAAGCCACCCCTTCCAAAGTGGTTTAACAGATAATAACTTTCTAGTTTTCATTGCAGTATATTCGGTTTTTTAATATAGGCCTTAGTGGGCTGCAAAATGGCTCTCATAGGCTCTGGAAAAAGAATGTTACCAAGCTGCTGAATCAAAAGCAGGATTTCACTCTTGGAGATGAACTCACAGATTGCAAAGCAGTTTCACAGATAGCTTCTTTCTAGTTTGTATTGTGGGATATTCAGTTTTTCACTAGAGGCCTTACTGCACCTTGAAATATGTCTTGGCAGATTCTATGAAAAGAGTGTTTACAAACTGCTGATTCAAAAGAAAGGTTTAACTCTCTGAGCTGAAACCACACATTACAAAGCAGTTTCACAGATAGTTATTTTTTCTAGTTTTTATAGCATGATATTCAGTTTTTCACTGTAAGTGTCAAGGCCCTCCGAAATGTCCCTTTGGAGACTGTACAAAACAAGTGTTTCAAAAACTGCTGAACGAAAAGTAAGGTTTAATTCTGTGAGCAGAATACACACGTCACAAAGCATTATCACAGATAGCTTCTTTCTAGGTTTTATGGTGGGATATTAGATTTTTTACTATAGGCCTCAGAGAGGTGTGAAATATCCCTTCACAGATTCTACAAAAAAAGGAGTTTCTAACCTGCTGAATCAAAAGATAAGTTTAACTTTGTCAGCTGAACCCACATCTCACAAAGCGGATTCACACATAGTATCTTTCCCATTATTATGGCTGGACATTTGAGGTTTTACTATAAGTTTCAGTGGGCTGAGAAATGTCCCATTGCAGATTCTACAAAAATAGTGTTCCAACCTGCTGAAACAAAAGAAAGGTTTAATTATGTGAGCTGAATCCACAAATCACAAAACAATTTCAGATACTTCTTTCTAGTTTTTGTGACTGAATATTGGGTTTTGCACAATAAGCCTCAGTGGGCTTCAAATTTTCCCTTCACAGATTCTACAAACCAAATGTTTCAAACATGGTTAATTAAAAAGTAAGTTTAAACTCTGAGCTGAATAGAGAAATAGGAAAGCAGTTTGACAGAGAGCTTCTTTCTCTTTTTTATTGCTGGAAATTTTTTTCTCATTGTAAGTCTCACTGTACTCAAAATGTCCCTTCACAGATTCTACAAAAAAGAGAACTTGCAAACTGCTGATTCAAAAGTAAAGCTTAACTCTGTGAGCTGTTTGCACATATGACAAAGCATTTTCACAGATAGCTTCTTTCTAATTTTTATCTATTAAAATTCCATGTTTCACTATAGGCCTTACTGTGCCAGGAAATGTCCCTTTGCAGATTCTACAAAAAGAGTGTTTCCAAACTGCTGAATCAGAAGAAACGTTTGAATCTGTGAGATGAATCCACACATCACAAAGCAGTTTCACATATAGTTTCTTTCTAGTCTTTAATCAAGAAATATTCGGTTTTTCACTATAGGTCAAAATGATCTCTGAAATGTAGCTTCATGGATCCTACAAAAGAGTGTTTTCAAACTCCCAAATCAAAAGAAAGTTTTAACCCTGTGAGCTGAATGCCCACATCACAAGGCAGTTTCACAGATGTTTCTTGCTAGTTTTTATCAAGGGATATTCTGTTTTTCACTGTGGGTCTTAATGACCTTCAAAATGATGCTTTGCCAATTCTACAAAAACAGTCTTTCCAATCTGCTTAATCAAAAGAAAGGTTTCATCCTGCAAGATGAAACCACACATCACAAAGCAGTTCTACAGATACCTTTTTTCCAGTTTTTATTGTGGGATATTCTGATTTTCACTGTAGACCTCACTGTGTTCCAAAATGTCCCTTTGTAGATTCTTCAGACTGTTTCCAAATAGCTGAATAAAAGTAAGGTTAGCACTGTAAGCTGAATACACACAGAGCAAAGAAGCTTCACAGATAGCTTCTTTCTAGTTTTTATTACAGGATAATTAGTTTTTCCCTAGAGAACTCAGTTAACTTTGTACTGTCTCTTTACAGATTCTACAAAAAGAGTTTCCATCCTATGGAATCAAAAAAAGCTGAATCAAAAGAAAGCTGAATGGACTCATCACAAAGCAGTTTCACAGATAGATTTTTGTAGATTTATCATGGGATATGCATTTTTTTCACCATAGGCCTCACTGAACTGCAAAATCTCCCTTTGCTGATTGTACAAAAAGTGTGTTTCCAAACTTCTTAGTAAAAGAAAAGTTTAAATCTGTGAGCTGAATGTACACACCATAAAGCAGTTTCCCAGATAGCTTTTTTCTAGTTTTTATCACAGGATATTAGGTTATTCAATAAAGACCTCAGGGGCTTCTGAAACGTTTCTTCACATATTCTACATAAAGAGTGCTTCAAAACTATTGAATCAAATAAAAAAGCTTAAGTGTGTGAGGTGAATCCACAAATCACAAAGCAGTTTCACAGATAGCTTCTTTCTAAATTGTATTGTGAGATATTTGACATTTACTATAGGTCTCAGTGAGGTGTGATATGTCCCTTGGTTGATTCCACAAAAAACTGTTTCTAGCCTACTGAATCAAAGACAGGTTTAACTTTGTCAGCTGAATTCACAACTCAAAAAGCAAATTCACAGACAGTATCTTTCCCATTTTTATGGCTTGATATTCTGTGTTTCACTATAGGCCTCAGCGGGCTGAGAAAATTCCTTAATAGATTCTACAAAAATAGTGTTTACAACATGCCTAATCAAAAGAAAGGTTTCAGTCTCTGAGCTGAATCCACACATCACAAATCAGTTTTCTATATAGCTTCTTTCTAGTCTTTATCAAAGGATATTCAGTTTTTCATTATAGGCCTCAATGCCTTTTGAAATGTTCTGACACACAATCTACAAAAAGAACGTTTCCAAACTGCTGAATCAAAAGTAAGGCTTAACTCTGTAAGCTGAATGCATACATCACAAAACAGTTTCACAAACAGCTTCTTTCTAGTTTTTATTTCAAGATATTCAGTTTTTCACTACAGGCCTCAGTGGGCTCAGAAATGTCCCTTCACAGATTCTACAAAAAGAGTGTTTCCAAACTGCTGAATCCAAAGTAAGGTTTAACTCTGTGAAGTGCATACAGACGTCACAAAACAGGTTCACAGCTAGCTCCTTTCTTGTTTTTATTTCAGGATATTTTGTTTTTCACTTAAGCCCTCAGTGCCCTTTAAATTCTCCCTTCAGAGATTCTGCAAAAAGGGTGTTTTTAAACTGTTGAATCAAAAGAAAGGATTAACTCTGTAAGCCAAATGCAGACATCACAAAGCAGTTTCACAGATAGCTTCTTTTGAGTTTTTGTCATGGGATATTTCCAAACTGATGAATCAAAAGAAAGGTTTCATTCTGTGAGCTGAATCCACACATCACATAGCAGTTTCACAGATACTTTCTTTCTAGTTTTTATCATGAGATATTCGGTTTTTTACTGTAAGCCTCAATCCCCTCCAAAATTTCCATTTGCATATTCTACAAAAAGAGCCATTCCAATCTGCTGAATCAAAAGTAAGTTTTAACTCTGTGAGCTGAAGGTACACATCAGAAAGCAGTTTCACAGATAGCTTCTTTCTAGTTTTATCATGGGATATTCTGTTTTTCACTACAGGTCTCAGTGGACTGAAATATCCCCTGGCTGATTCCGCAATAAGGGTGTTTCCAAACTGCTTAATCAAAAGAAAGGTTCAACCCTGAAAGCTGAATCCACACATGAGAAAGCAGTTTCACAGATTTACAGTTTCACAGTTCCACAGTTTCTCATTTTCATTTTAGGATATATATTTTTTTCATATATTTGGTGCCTCAGTGGGCACCAAAATGTTTCTTTGCAGATACTATAAGAGGAATATTTTGAAACTGTTGAGTCAAACGTTACATTGAAAAATGCGAACTGAATGTGTATGTCACAAAGCAGTTTCACAGATAGCTTCTTTCTAGATGTTATTTTGGGATATTCAGTTTTTCACTATAGGCCTCAGTGAGGTCTGCAGTGTCACTTTGCAGATTCTACAAAAAGAGTGTTTCCAAACTGCTGAATCAAAATTAAGGTTGAAATCTTTGACATTAATGTACACATCACAAAGCAGTTTCACAAATAGCTTCTTCCCAGTTTTTATTTTGTGATCTGTTTTTCACTGTAGGACTTACTGTACCCCAAAATGTCGCTTTGTAGATTCTAGAAAAAGTGTTTCCAGTCTGCTGAATCAAAAGAAAGGTTTCACTCTGTGAACTGAATGCACACATCACAAAGAAGTTTGGTGGGTAGATTCTTTCTAGGATATTTTATTTTGTGATATTCAGTTTTTCACTTTTAGGACTCAGTGGGCTCTGAAATGTCCCTTTGCAGATTCTACAAAAAGAGTGTTTCAAAACTACTGAATCAAAAGTAAGGTTTAACTCTGTGAACTGCATGCACATGTCACAAAACACGTTCACAAATATCTTCTTTCTTGTTTTTATTTCAGGATACTTGGTTTTTCACTACAGGGCTCTGTGGTCTCTAAATTGTTTCTTCACAGACTCTATAAAGAAGCTGTTTAAAAACATCTGATTCAAAAGGAAGATTCAACTTTGTGAACTGAATGCACACATCAAAAGCAGTTTCACAAATATCTTCTTTCTAGGTTTTATCCAGAGATATTCAGGTTTTCACTATATGCCCCAAAGAGCTCCAAAACCCTTTGCAGATTCTACAAAAAGTGTGTTTCCAACCTGCTGAATCAAACAAAAGATTTCACTCTACGAGCTGAATGCATGCATCACAAAGAAGTTTCAAAGATAGCTTCTTCTAGGTTTTCATTGTGGTATATTCGGTTTTTCACTATAGGCCTCAATGCCCTCCAAATTGTCCCTTTGCAAATACTACAAAAAAGAGTGTTTCCAACTTGCTGAATCAAAGGACAGGATTACCTCTGTGATCTGAATTCGCACGTCACAAGGTAGTTTCATGGATAGGTTTTTCTGTAGTTTTTGTCGTGGGATATTCAGTTTTTCACTATATGCCTCAGTGCATTCCCAAATGTCCCTTTGCAGATTCTACACAATGAGGGTTTCCAAACTGCTGAATTAAAAGAAAGGTTTAACTCTATGAGCTGAATCCACACATCACAAAGCAGTTTCACAGAAAGCTTCTTTCTAGTTTTTATCAGAAGATTTTTGGTTTTTCACTATAGGCCTCAATACCCTCATAAATGTGCCTTCTCAGATTCTACAAAAAGAGTGCTTCCAAACTTCTGAATTAAAAAAAGAGAAAGGTTTCACTCTACGAGTTTAATGCACAAATCACAAAACAGTTTCATTGACAGCTTCTTTCTAGTTTTTATCATGGGATATAGTGTTTTTCAGTACAGGCCTTCTGGGCCTTGAAATATCCTTTCACAGATCCTACAAAAAGTGTGTTTTCAAATTGTTGAATCAAATGTAATGCTGTACACCACGAACTGAAAGCACACAACACAAAGGAGTTTCGCAGATAGTATCTTTCAAATTTTTATTTTGGGATATTCCATTTCTCACTATTTGCCTCAGTGGGCTCCTAAGTGTCGCTTCACAGATTCTACCAAAAGAGTGTTTCCAAACTGCTGAATCAGAAGTAAGGTTTAATTATCTGAGCAGAATTTATACATCACAAAGCAGTTTCACAAGTAGCTTCTTACTAGTTATTTTGGGATATTCTGTTTTTCACTGTAGGCCTTACTATGCCTCAAAATGTCATTTTATAGGTACTGTAAAAAGAGGGTTTCCAATCTGCTGAATCAAAATAAAGGTTTCACTCTGTGAGCTGAACGCACACATCACAAAGGAGCTTCACAGATAGATTCTTTCTAGATTTTTTTTATGAGATGGAGTCTCACTCTGTCAACCAGGCTGGGGTGCAGAGGCTGGATCTTGGCACACTGCAACTTCTGCCACCCTGGTTCAAGTGATTCTCCAGCCTCAACGTACCAAGTAGCTGAGATTTAGGCTCCTGTCACTGTGCCCAGCTAATTTTTGTTTTTATACTAGTGACGGGGTTTCACCATCTTGGCCAGGCTTGTCTTGTACTCCTGACCTCGTGATCCACCCACACAGCATCCCACAATGCTAGGACTAGGGGCATAAGCCACGATGCGCAGTCAATTATTTTTCTAGTTTTAATAGTGGCATATTCATTTTTTCAGTATAGACCTCAATGCCCTTTGAAATATCCCTTCACCGATTCTAGACAAAGAGTGTTCCCAAACTTTTGAATCAAAAGTTAAATTTAACTCTGTGAGCTGGATGCACACATCACAAAGCAATTTCACAAGTAACTTCTTACTAGTTTTTATTTTGAGATATTCTGTTTTTCACTGTAGGCCTTACTGCACCCCAAAATATCACTTTGTAGATTCTACAAAAAGGATGTTTCCAATCTGCTGAATCAAAACAAAGGCTTAATTCTGTGAGCTGAATGCACACATCACAAAGCAGTTTCACAGATAGCTTGTTACTAGTTTTTATCCCGGGCTTTTCGGTTTTTCACTGTGGATCTCAATATACTCCAAAGTGTCTCTTGGTAGAGTTTAAAAATCAGTGTTTCCAAACTGCTGAATGAAAACAATGGTTTAGCTCTGTGAGCTGAATGCACACATCACAAATCAGATTCAGAGATAACTTCTTTATAGTTTTTATTGTGAGATAATTGGTTTTTCACTATAGGCTTTACTGCACTCTGAAATGTCTCCTGCAGATTCTACAAAAAGAGTGTTTCCAAACTGCTGAATGAAAAAAAAAGGTTTAAATCTGTAAACTGAATCCATACCTCACAAAGCAGTTTTACAGAGAGTTTCTTTCAATTGTTTATCAAGGAATATTTGATGCTTCACTATAGACTTCAATGCCCTCCCAAATGTCCCTTTGCTGAATCTACAAAAGGAGTGTTTCCAAACTGCTGAATCAATGGTAAGGTTTAACCCTGTGAGCTGAATGCACATATCAGAAAGAAGTTCTATGACAACTTCTCTCTACTTTTTGTTTAGGGATATTCGTTTTTTTGCTATAGGCCTTAATGCACTTTGAAATGTACCTTTGCAGATTCTACAAAAGAGTGTTTCCAAACAGCTGAATCAATGGGAAGGTTTAACTCTGAGCTGAATGCATACATCACAAAGCAGTTTTACAGATAACTTCTTTCCAGTTTTTGTCTGGGCATATTTGGTGTTTCATTATAGGCCTTGCTGTTCTCTGAATTGCCCCTCACAGATTCTACAAAAAGAGTGTTTCCAACCTGCAGAATCAAAAGATAGGTTTAACTCTGTGAGTTGAATGCACATATCACAAAACAATTACACAGATTTCTTCTTCGTAGTTTTTATCACAGAATATTCAGCTTTTCACTATAGGACTTACTGTGCACTGAAATGTCCCTTCACTGATTCTACAAAAAGAGTGTTTCAAAACTGCTGAGTCAAAAAAACAGTTTAATTTTGTGAGCTGAATCGACACTTCATAATTCAGTTTCACAGATAGCTACTTTCTAGATTTTATCACAAGATAGTCAAAATTTTTCCTATTTGCATGGTGGGCTCTGAAATGTCTGTTCTAGATTCTATAAAAGAGTGTTTCCCTACTGTGGAATAAAAAGAAAGGTTTAACTCTGTGAGCTGAATGCAGACACCACAAAGCAGTTTCACAGATAGCTTCTTTCTGGACTTTGTCACAAGATATTTTGTTTTTCACTATAGGGCATAGCAGGCTCTGAAATATCCCTTCATACAATCCACAAAAAGAGTAATTCCAAACTGCTGAATCAAAAGAAAGGTTTAACTCTGTGAGCTAAATCCACACAATACAAATAAGTTACACTGACAGCTATTTTCTGTTGTTTTTATTGTGGGATATTCTGTTACCACCATACGTCTTAACTGTGCTCTAAAGTATCTCTTTGCATAATCTACAAAAAGAGTTTTTCCATCTGCTGAATCAATAGAAAGTCTTTTTTTTTTTTTTTTTTTTTTTTTTTTTTTTGAGATGGATTATTGCTCTGTCACCCAGGCTGGAGTGCAGTGGTGCAATCTCGGCTCACCACAAGCTCTGCTTCACAGGTTCATGCCATTCTCCTCCCCCAGTCTCCCAAGTAGCTGTTTTTCCCCTTAGGCCTCAGTGGCTCTCAAATGTCCCAGAGTGTTTCCAACCTGCTGAATCAGAAAAAGGTTTAACTCTGTGAGATGAATCCATACATCACATAGCAGTTTCAAGGATAGCTTCTCTCTAGTTTTTGTCTCAGGATATTCAGTTTTTCCCCATGAGCCACAGTGGGCTTCCAAATGCCCTTTTGCAATTTCTTCAAAAAGAGTTGTCTCCAACCTGCTGAAACAAAAGAAAGTTTTACCTCTGTGAGATAAATTTACACATCACAAAGCAGTTTCACAGAGAGATCCTTTCCAGTTTTTACCCCGGGATATTTGACTTTTCCCGATAGGCCTGAATGGAATCCCAAATGCCCCTTAGCAGATTCCTCAAACCGAGTGTTTTCAAACTGCCGAATCAAAATAAATTTTTAACCCTGTGAGATTAATTAAAACATCACACAGCAGTTTCACAGAAAGCTACTTTCTAGTTTTTCTGGGGATATTCTGATTTTCCCCTTAGGCCTCAATGGACTGCCTAATGTCCATTTGCAGATTCTCCACAAAGAGCATTTCCAACCTGCTGAATCCACATAAAGTTTTAACTTTGTGAGTTGAATACACACATCACAAAGTAGTTACACAGGCAGCTTCTTTCTTGTTTTTATCTGGGGATATTGAGTTTTTCCCAAAAGGCCTCAGTGGACTTACAAAAGTTCCTTTGCAGATTCTCCAAGGAGATTGTTTCCAACTTGCTGAACCATGAGCATGAAATGTTCCTCCATTTGTTTGTGTCCTCTTTCATTTCTTTGAGCAGTGCTTTGTTGTTCTCCTTGAAGAGGTCCTTCATGTCCCCTGGAAGTTGGATTCCTAGGTATTTTATCCTCCTTGAAGCAATTGTGAATGGGGGTTCACTCATGTTTTGCCTCTCTGTTTGTCTGTTATTGGTGTATAGGAATGCTTGTGATTTTTGCCCTTTGATTTTGTATCCTGAGACTTTGCTGAAGTTGCTTATCTGCTTAAGGAGATTTTGGGTTGGGACAGTGGAGATTTCTAAGTATAAAATCATGTGATCTGCAAAGAGGGACAATTTGACTTCCTCATTTCCTAATTGAATACCCTTTATTTCTTTCCCCTGCCTGATTGTTCTAGCCAGAACTTCCAACACTATATTGAATAGGAGTGGTAAGAGGGTATCCCTGCCTTGGGCCAGTTTTCAAAGTGAATGCTTCCAGTTTTTGCCCACTCAATAGGATATTAGCTGTGGGTTTGTCATAAATAGCTCTTATTATTTTGAGATATGTCCCATCAATACCTAGTTTATTGAGAATTTTTAGCATGAAGGGCTGTTGAAATTTGTGAAAAGTCTATTCTGCATATATTGAGACAATAATGTGGTTTTTGTCTTTGGTTCTCTTTATATGATGGATTACGTTTATTGATTCCCATATGATGAACAGCCTTGCCTCCCAGGGATGAAGCCAACTGGATTGTGCAGGATAAGCTTTTTGATGTGCCGCTGGATTCGGTTTGGCAGTATTTTATTGAGGATTATTGCTTCAATATTCATCAGGGATATTGGTCTAAAATTCTCTTTTTTTGTTATGTCTCTGCCAGGCTTTGGTATCAGGATGATGCTGGCTTCATAAAATGAGTTAGGGAGGATTCCCTCTTTTCGTATTGATTGGAATAGTTTCAGAAAGAATGGTATCAGCTCCTCTTTGTACCTTTGGTAGAATTCAGCTGTGAATCCGTCTGGTCCTGCACTTTTTTTGTTAGTAGGCTACTAATTATCGTCTCCATTTCAGAGCCTCTTATTGGTCTATTCAGGGATTCAACGTCTCCCTGGTTTAGTCTTGGGAAGGTTTATTGCCTATATTCGATTCTTCTCTTTTCTTCTGTATTAGTCTTGCTAGTGGTCTATCAATTTTGTTGATCTTTCCAAAAAAACCAGCTCCTGGATTCATTTATTTTTGAAGGGGTTTTTTTTAACGTCTCTATCTCCTTCAGTTGTGTTCTGATCTTAGTTATTTCTCAACTTCTGCTAGCTTTTGAATGTGTTTGTTCTTGATTCTCTAGTTCTTTTAATTGTGATGTTAGGCTGTCAATTTTAGGTCTTTCCTGCTTTCTCTTGTGGGATTTGGTGCTATAAATTTCCCTCTGCACACTGCTTTAAATGTGTCCCAGAGGTTCTAGTATGTTTAGTCTTTGTTCTGTTTGGTTTCAAAGAACATCTTTATCTCTGCCTTCATTTCATTATTTACCCAGCAGTCATTCAGGAGCAGGTTGTTCAATATCCATGTAGTTGTGTGGTTTTGAGTGTGTTTCTTAATCCTGAGTTCTAATTTGATTGCATTTTCATCAGAGAGAGAGATTGTTATAATATCTGTTCTTTTACATTTGCTTAGGAGTGCTTTACTTCCAACTATGTGGTCAATTTTGGAATAAGTGTGATGTGGTGCTGAGAAGAATGTATATTGTTTTGATTTGGGGTGGAGAGTTCTGTAGATGTCTACTAGGTCCACTTGGTCCACAGCTGAGTTGAAGTCCTGGTTATCCTTGTTAAGTTTCTGTCTTGTTGCTCTGTCTATTTTTGACAGTGGGGTGTTACTGTCTCCCGTTATTATTGTGTGGGATTCTAAGTCTCTTTGTAGTCTCTAAGAACTTGCCTTATGAATCTGGTTGCTTCTGTATTGGATGCATATGTATTTAGGATAGTTAGCTCTTCTTGATGAATTGATCACTTTACCATTATGTAATGGCCTTCTTTGTCTCTTTTGATCTTTGTTGGTTTAAAGTCTGTTTTATCAGAGACTAGGATTGAAAACCCTGCTTTTTGTTTGTTTGTTTTCCATTTGCTTGGTAGGTCTTCCTCCGTCCGGTTATTTTGAGCCAATGTGTGTCTCTGCATATGAGATGGATCTCCTGAATACAACACACTGATGGGTCTTGACACTATTCAATTTGCCAGTCTGTCTTTTAATTGGGGCATTTAGCCCATTTATATTGATGGTTAATATTGTTATGTCTGAATTTGATACTGTCATTAGTATGTTAGCTGGTTATTTTTGCTCGTTAGTTGATGCAGTCTCTTCCTAGTATTGATGGTCTACAGTTTAGCATGTTTTTGCAGTGGCTGTTACTGTTTGTTCCTTTTCATTATTAGTGCTTCCTTCAGGAGCTCTTGTAGGGCAGGCCTGGTGGTGACAAAATCTCTTAGCATTTGCTTGTCTGTAAAGGATTTTATTTCTCCTTCACTTATGAAGCTTAGTTTGGCTGGATATGAAATTCTGGATTGAAAATTCTTTCCTTTAAGAATGTTGAATATAGGCCCCCATTCTCTTTGGCTTGTAGAGTTTCTGCCAAGAGATCAGCTGTTGGTCTGATGGACTTCCCTTTGTGGGAAACCCAACTTTTCTCTCTGGCTTCCCTTAACATTTTTTCCTTCATTTCAGCCTTGGTGAATCTGACAATTATGTGTCTTGTGTTTGCTCTTCTTGAGGAATATCTTTACAGCATTCTCCCTATTTCCTGAATTTGAATGTTGGTCTGCCTTGCTAGATTGGGGAAGTTGTCCCAGAAAATATCCTGCCTAGTGTTTTCAAACTTGGTTCCATTCTCCCTGTCACTTTCAGGTACACTAATCAGATGTAGATTTGGTCTTTTTTCATAGTCCCGTATTTCTTGGAGGCTTTATTTGTTTCTTTTTACTCTTTATTTTCTAAACTTCTGTTCTTGCATTGTTTCATTAATTTTATCTTCTATCACTGATATGCTTTCTTCCATTTGATTGAATCAGCTTTTGAAGCTTGTGCACGAATCACATAGTTCTCGTGCCATGGTTTTCAGCTCCATCAGGTCATTTAAGGTCTTCTCTATGCTGTTTATTCTAGTTAGCCAATCGTCTAATCTTTATTCTAAGTTTTAACTTCATTGCAATGTGTTCAAACATCCTTCTTTAGCTCGGAAAATTTGTTATTACCAATCTTCTGAAGCCTACTTCTGTCAACTCATCAAAGTCATTCTCCCTCCAGCTTTGTTCTGTTGCTGAGGAGGAGCTTGTTTTCCTTTGGAGGAGAAAAGACACTGATTTTTAGAATTTTCAGCTTCTTTGCTCTGGTTTCTGCCCATCTTTGTGGTTTTATCTACCTTTGGTTTTTGATGATGGTGAACTTCAGATGGGGCTTTGGCATGGATGTTCTTTTTGTTGATGTTGATGCTATTCCTTTCTGTTTGTTAGTTTTCCTTCTAAAAGCCAGGGCCCTCAGCTTCAGCTCTGTTGGCCTTTGCTGGAAGTCTACTCCAGGTCCTCTTTGTCTGGGTATCACCAGTGGTGGCTGTAGAAGAGCAAATACTGCACAAAAAGAAATGTTGCTGCCTGATCTTTCCTCTGGAAGCTTCGTCTTAGAGGGGCACCCAGCTGTATGAGGTGTCAGTCAGCCCCTACTGGGAGTTGTCTCTCAGTTAGGCTACTTGGGGGTCAGGGAATGACTTGAGGAGGTAGTCTGTCCATTCTCAGATCCCAAACTTCATGCTGGAAGAACCACTACTCTCTTCAAGGCTGTCACACAGGGACTTATGTCTGCAGAAGTTTCTGCTGCCTTTTGTTCAGCTATATCCTGCCCCCAGTGGTGGAGTCCACAGTAGCAGGCAGGCCTCATTGAGCTGTGATGGGCCCCACCCAGTTTGAAGTTCCCAGCTGCTTTGTTTACCTACTGAAGCCTCAGCAATGGTGTATACCACTCCCTCAGCCTTGCAGTTGCCTTGCAGCTTGATCTTGGACTGCTGTGTTAGCAGTGAGCAAAGCTCTGTGGGTGTCAGACCCTCTGAGCCAGGAATGGAATGTAATTTCCTGTTGTGCCATTTGCTAAGACTGTTGGAAAAGTGCAGTATTAGGATGGGAGTGTCCTGATTTTTCAGTACCATCTGTCATGTCTTCCCTTGGCTAGGAAAGGGAATTTTGCGACCCCCTGTGCTTCCCAGGTGAGGCAATGTCCCACCCTTCTTCAGCTCACACTCCATGGGCTGCACCCACTGTCCAAAAGGCCCCAGAGAGATGAACCCAGTACCTCAGATGGAAATGTAGATATTACCTGTCTTCTGTGTCACTCTGGGAACTGTAGACTGGACCTGTTCCTATTCGGCCATCTTGGATCACTCCCTCACTTCTTTCTAGTTTTTAAATGGAGATGTTTCGTTTCTCCCCATATGCCTCAAAGGGCTCCCAAATGTTTTATTGCACATTCTCCTAAAAGAGGGTTTTCAACCTGCTGAATCAACAGAAAGCTTTAACTCTGTGGAATGAATCCACAAGTCACAAAACAGTTTCACAAATAGCTTCTTTCTAGTTTTTATCTCTTGAAATTATGTTTTTCTGCATAAAACTCAAAGGTCTCCCAAATATGCCTTCACAGATTCTCCAAAAACAGTGTTCCCAACCTGCTGAATAAAAAGGAAATTTTAATTCTGTGACATGAATCCAAATATCAGAAAGCAGTTTCACAGATAGCTTCTTTATAATTTTCACCTGGGGATATTCAGTTTCTCCCCAAGGACTCAATGGGCTCAAAAAGTCCCTTTGGAGATTCATTAAAAAGAGTGTTTACAACTTACTGAATCAAAAGGAAGGTTTAACTCTTTGAGATCAATCCAAATATTACAAAGCAGTTTCACAGATAGCTTCTTTCTAGTTTCTATCTGAGGATACTTTGTTTTTCACTTATGCTTCAGTGAGCTCCAATATGTGCCTTTGCAGATTCCACAAAAAGAGTGTTTACAACCTGCTGAATGAAAAGAAAGGTTTAACTCTGTTAGATGAATCTACACATCAGAAAGTAGTTTTACAGAGAGATTCTAGTTTTTTTCTGAAGATATTTGTTTTTTTTCCCAGAGGCTTCAATGGCCTTCCAAATGTCTTTTTGCAGATTTTCCAAAAACAGTGTTTCTAACTTCTGAATCAAAAGGCAGCTTTAACCCTGTGAGATAAACCCCGATATCACAAGGCAGTTTCACAGATAGCTACTTTCTAGTTTTTTTCTGGAGATATTCAGTTTTTCCTCATAGGCCTCAGTGCACTCTCAAATGTTTCATTGCAGATTCTCCAAAAAGAGTGTTTCAAACCTGCTGAATCAAAAGAAAGTTTTATCTCTGTGAGGTGAATCCACACATCATAAAACAGTTCCACGGATAGCTTCTTTCTAGTTTTTACCTATGAATATAATGTTTTTCCCCATAGGTTTCAGCAGACTCCAAAATTTTCCTTCACGGATCACTTTCTTGACTTGATAATCCAAAGTGGCCTTTTGAGCTGTGTCTTGCAAAAGGGTGACAAAATCTGGATAAAGCTCTCTTGGAGCCTGTTGAACTGAGTTAGAAGAAGGGTAAGTAGTACCAGGGTCATGAACTTTTTCGAGGCTCTTAGGCATATATTTCTGAGATGATCAACAGCTTCAACACCCATTACCATTGGTTGATTTCCAGTACCTCATGCCTGTCCAATTCCAAGCAATTGATCAGATGTGATATTAATGGGAGGTTAGGCTTGAGCATTTCTGCATGCCTGATTTGTTGCTTCATCCATCCACCAGGTTTTAAATTACAGAAATTGAGAGAGGGACAGGGTTGATCAGGCTAATGACTTCTAATCCATATTAAATGTTGGTTATAAGCCACAGATTGTAATAAGGAATGAACATAGGAGAATTTGGTCCATATTGTCCAATTGATTGCTTTAAGTCTTTTAATATTTTAAGAGGAAACAGCTCCCAGTGTGCTTGAGCATGTTCTCTGGCCTCCTCCCTGAATCATAATTTGTATTTGGGTTGGCTTGGAGCATTCCTTTACCATAATTAACTGGTGGACAAGCCGCGATCATTCTCTCACTGTAATTGGCTGTTGGGCAAGCCTGAAGCTTCCCTTCACCATAGTTAATGGTGGGACATGCAACATTTAGAGTAGTAAGCCACATCTCAGGCTCCCTTTCCAAAAATTCATAAGGCTGAGGCAGGGGTGGCCATTCCAGGCCTTCCCTTAAAGGCACAGTAGGTGGTACTGTTTCTGCAGTAGTTGGAACTGTTCCTTTCTTAATTTTTTGGAGGTTAGCATATATAGCTTCCCATTTCTCCCCCTTTTTAAACCTAGACTGTGATGGTTCACTTTGCTGATCATCAGACTTCTGATTATTAAACTTTTCTACGTCATCCTGAAACTCCTACTCCTTCCTCCTCAGTGAGGAAGCACTTCAGTGCTGTTTTAGTTGCCAACCACACAGACCAAGTGGAGAAAGGAATGTTGTGGCTCTCTTGCTGTGCTGGTTTTAAGTCTGAACCAACCTTATACCAATCTTTTATATTCCTGGTGCCATATTCTGGGAACCAAGGAGAATACTCTTCTATGAGATGGAACAAAGATGTGAGATTTCAGGTACTCACAATTGTCCCACTGTGACACAATAACTGTGGCACCAGGCTTAAGTAATTAGTAAACTTACTTTCAGCCTGATCCATATTTTCCTGAGGTTACCATGGAATTCTCCATAGATCCTGAAGTAAAAACGTACGTGGGTGTCCTTTGTCAGTCACGCTCCACTTTCCATGCTCTGGCATTTCTTCACTGGATTATTTGTAGATATTACAGGGATACCTGCGTTGGGTGCCAGATATTGGGGAAACCAGCCCCGCACTACCCAGTGGGTACACTGACTCTGGTGGAGAAAAAAGAGTTAGACAGAATAAGTGTTTAAAATGTGGGTCTAGGGGACTGGAGCATTGAAGGTTTGCTCACAGCCCAGAGCTCTCAGGCTCCACACAATCTATTGATATACAGGCTGTTCTTACAGCAGATGAGAGGGGGAGCAAGGAATGAAGAAAAGGATTAATCAGTGAAGGAGATCTTGTGAGTCATTTGATAAGACTACAGCAGTGGTGATTTCTATGTATTTCCTTGTGGAGAGGAGTGTGTCTAAACTACTTAAGATCTTTAACTTATTGGGACTGAAACAGGTGGGAGCAGGTTTTAGGAGAAGCCCAGATGTTTGACTATACTCCACTGCTTCAAGGGAGTATTATCTCCCTGAGAAAACTGTGGAATGCTGCTGAGTGGTTATGCTCTAGAGGCATAAAAACCTGAAGGTAATAAGGAGACGTTTTTCCTCAGAGGCCACCCATGGCTTTCCATGGGTGTCTCACACAGGGAAGACCAACACAACTGGCACCCCAGAAACTCTCTTTCCCACATTTCCAACCAGATAAATCAAAAGAAAGTTTTAACTTTGTGAGACAAATCCACACATCAGAAAGCAATTTCACAGACAGTTTCTTTCTAATTTTTTGCTGGGGATGTTGGGTTTTTCCACATAGGCCTGAATGGACTCCCAAATGTCCCTATGCAGATTCTCCAAAAAGAGTGTTTTTAATCTGCTGAATCCAAAGAAAGGTTTAACTCTGTGAGATAAATCCACACATGAACAAAAGCAGTTTCACAGATAGCTTCTTTCTAGTTTTTACCTGAGGATATTTGTTTTTTTCTCAGTAGACCTTAATGGGCTGCCAAAAATCCCTTCATAGATTCTCCAAAAACAGTGTTTTTAACCTGCTGAATCGAAAGAAAGATTTGACTCTATGAGATGAATCCACACATCACAAAGCTGTTGCACAGATTCTTTCTAGTTTTTCCTGTGGAAATTCAGTTTCTTCTCATGGGCCTCAATGGGCTCCCAAAAATCCCTTTGCAGATTCTCCAAAAAGAGGGTTTCCAACTTGCTAAATCTAAAGAAACGTTTAATTCAGTAAGATGAATCCACACATCATAAAGAAGTTTCATAGAAAGTTTTTTCTAGTTTTTACCTGGGGATATTGGGTTTTTCCCTGTATGCCTCAATGGGCTCCAAATGTCCCTTTGCAAATTTTCCAAAAAGATTTTTTCCAACCTGTTGAATCAAAGAAAACGCCTAACTCTGTGAGAAGAATCGACAAACCACAAAGTAGTTTTACAGATAGCTTCTTTCTGGTTTTTACCTGACAATATTTGGTTTTTCACATTGGCCTCAATGGGCTTCCAAACGTCCCTTTGCAGATCCTCCATAAAGAGTGTTTCAACCTGCTGAGTCAAAAAACAGGTTTATCTCTATGAGATGAATCCACACATGGCAAAGCAGTTTCACAGATACCTTCTTTCTAGTTTTTTACCTAGGGATTTTTGGATTTTCCCCATAGGCTTCAATGGGCTCACAAATATCCCTTAGCAGAATCTCTAAAAAAGAGTGTTTCCAAACTGCTGAATCAAAGGAAACTTTTAACCCTGTGAGATGAATCTACACATCACAAATGAGTTTCACAGACAGCTTTTTTCTTGTTTTTACCTGGGAATATTCAGTTTTTCCACATGGGCCTCAATGGGCTCCTAAATATCCCTTTGCATATACTCCAACAAGACATTTTCTTTTCTTTTTTTTTTTTTTTTGGAGGTGGAGTCTTGCTCTGTCACCCAGGCTGGAGTGCAGTGGTGCAATTTCCCACTCACTGCAAGCTCCACCTCCTGGTTACATGCCATTCTCCTGCCTCAGACTCCCAAGTAGCTGGGACTACAGGCACCCACCACTATTTCTGGCTAAAATTTTTGTATTTTTATTAGAGATGGGGTGTCACCATGTTATCCAGGACTGTGTCGATCTCCTGACCTTGTGATCCACCTGCCTCAGCCTCCCAAAGTCCTGGGATTAGAGGCATGAGCCACCCCACCTGGCTGAGATTTTCTAACTTGCTGAATCAAAAGAAAGGTTTAATTCTGAGATGAATCCACAAATCACAAAGCAGTTTCACACATAGCTTCTTTCAAGTTTTTACCTGAGAACATTCTGACTTTCCCCATGATCTTTAATGGGATCTAAAATGTCGCTTCACAGATTCTCCAAAAAAAAAAAAAAAAAAAAAAAAAAGTGTTTTCAACCTGTCCAATCAAAAGAAAGGATTAACTCTGTTTGCTGAATCTGCAAATCACAAAGCAGTTTCACAGACAGCTTCTTTCTAGTTTTTATCATTGGATATTCCATTTTTCCCCATTGGCCTCAATGGACTTCCAAATGTCCCTTCACAGATACTCCAAAAAGAGTGTTTCCAACCTGCTGAATCCAAAGAAAGTTTTAACTCTGTGAGATGAATCCACATATCACAAGGTTGTTTGACAGACAGCTTGTTTTGTTTCTACCTGGGTACATTCTGTTTTTCCACATGGGCCCCTAGGGCTCCTAAGTGTCCCTTTGTGGATTCCCCAAAAAGAGTGTTTCCATCCTGCTGAATCAAAAGAAAGTTTTAACTCTGTTAGATGAATCCACACATCACAAAGCAGTTTCATAGATACCTTCCTTCGAGTTTTTGCCTGGGGATATTTTGTTTTTCTCCATGGGCCTGAATGAGCTCCCAAATATCCCTTCGTAGATTCTCCAAAAAACATGTTTCCAACCTGCTGAATCAAAAGAAAGATTTAACTCTGTGAGATGATCCACACCTCATGAAGCCGTTTCTCATACATCTTATTTCCAATTTTTATCTGTGATATTCAGTTTTTCCTCTAGGCTTCAATGGGGTTCCAAATGTCCCTAAACAGATTTCCCAAAAAGAGTGTTTCCAACCTGCTGAATAGAAAGGACGTTTTACCTCTGTTAAATGAATCCACACATCACAAAGTAGTTTTACAGATATTCTTCCTAGTATTTACCTAGGGATATTCAGTTTTTCCCCATAAGATTCAATGGGCTCCCGAATGTTCCATTGTAGATTCTCCAGAAAGAGTGTCTTTTACCTGCTGACTCAAAAGAAATGTTTATCTCTGTGAGATGAATCCACACATCACAAAGCAGGTTCTTTGATAGCTTTTTTCTATTTTTTACCTGGGGATATTGTGTTTTTCCCCATAATCTTCAATGGGTTCCCAAAGTCTCTTCTCAGATTCTCAAAAAGAGTGTTTCCAAATTGCTGAATTGAAAGAAACGTTTAACACTGAGAAATGAAGCACACATCACAAAGCAGTCATACTGATAGCTTCTTTCTAGTTGTTACCTGGGTATATTTTGTTTTTCCCCATGGGTCTCACTGTGCTTCCAAATTTTCTTTTACACATTCTCCAAAAAAAACTGCTTCCAACCTGCTGAATCAGAAGAAACGTCTAACTCTGCAAGATGACTCCACACATCACAAAGCAGTTTCACAGATATATTATTTCTAGGTTTGGGGAGGCATTGGGGTTTTCCTTATAGGCCTCTATGGGCTCCCAAATGTCTTTTCACAGATTCTCCGGAAAGCATGATTCCAACATCCTGAATCAAAAGAAATGTTTAACTCTGTGAAATGAATCCACATCAAATAAGGCAGTTTCACAGATACTTTCTTTCTAGTTTTTACCTAAGGATATGCAGTTTTTCCCTTCACAGATTGCTCAAAAAGAGCATTTCCAATCTTTTGAATCAAAAGAAATGTTTCACTCTGTGAGATGAATCCACACATCATAAAGCAGTTTCACAGATAACTTCTTTCTAGTTTTTACCTACAGATATTCAGTTTTTCCCTGTTGGCCTCAATGGTCTTCCAAATGTCCCTTTGGGAATTTTCCAAAAAATGGGTGTCCAACCTGCTGAATCAAAAGAAATATTTAATTCTGTGAGATGAATCCAGACATCACAAAGCAGTTTCACAGACAGCTTCTTTCTAGTTTTTTCCTGGGGATATTCTGTTTTTCCCCATTGGCCTCAAAAGTCTCCAAAATGTTCCTTTGCAGATTCTCCAAAAATAATGTTTCCCACCTACTGAATCAAAGCAAAATTTAACACTGTGAGATGAATCCACACAACATAAAGCAATTTCACAGGTAGATTCTTTCTAGCTTATATCTGCGGATATTCGATTATTTATCTTAAGCCTCAAAGCGTTCCCAAATGTCCCCTCACAGGTCTCCCGAAAGAGTGTTTTCAACTTGCGGAGTTAAAGAAAGGTTTACCTCTGTGAGATGAATCCACACATCACAACACAGTTTCATATATAGCTTCTTTCCAATTTTGATATGGGGATATTTTGCTTTTACTCTAGGCTTCAATGGGCTTTCAAATATCCCATCACAGATTCTCCAAATACAGTGTTTTTTAACTGCTGAATCAAAAGAAAGGTTTAACTCTGTGAGATCAATCTGTACATCACAAAGCAGTTTCACCTACATTTCTTTTCCAATTTTTATCTGGGGATACGTAGTTTTTCACCTAGGCCTCAATGGGCTACCAAATGTTGCTTCACAGATCCTCCAAAAAGATTGTTTCCAATCCTATGAATCAAAAGGAAGATTTAACTATTTAGATGAATCCACACATCACAAAGCAGTTTCACAGATAGCTTCTTTCCAGTTTTTTTTTTTCTGAAGATATTCAGTTTTTCCCCATAGGCCTCAAAGGACTCCAAAATGTCCCTTCACTGATTCTCCAAAAAGAATGTTTCCAACCTGCTGTATCAAAGTAAGGTTTAACACTGTGAGATGAGTCTGCACATCACAAAGCAGTTTCACAGACAGCTACTTTCTAGTCCTCTAATGGGACATATTCATTTGGACCCCACAGGCCTAGATGAGCTTCCAAGTGTTCCATTGCACATTCCCCAAAAAGAGTGTTTCCAACCTGCTCAATCAAAAGAAATATTTAATTCTGTGAGATGAAACCACATATTACAAAGCAGTACACAGATAGCTTCTTTTTAGTTTTTACATGGTGACATTCAATTTATCCCCATGGGCCACAATGGTCTCCCAAATGTCCTTTTGCAGATTCTCCCAAAAGAGTTTTTCCAACCTGCTGGATCAGAAGTGTTTAATTCTGTGCAATGAATCCTAATGTCACAAAAAAAAAATCTTCACAGGAAGTTTCTTTCAAATTTTACCTGGAAATACTGTTTTTTTTTTTTCTCCTTATAGGTCTGAAACGGCTCCCAAATATCCCTTCACAGATCCTCCAGAGTGTTTCCAACTTCCTGAATCAAAGGAAACATTTAACACTGCGAGATGAATCAACAAACTACAAAGCTGTTATACAGATAGCTTCTTTCCAGTTTTTACCTGGATACATTCAGTTTTATTCTTGAGCCTCAATGGGCTCCCAACTCTCTCTTTGTATATTCTTCAAAAACAGTGATTTCAACCTGCTGAATCAAAAGAAAAGTTTAACTCTGTGAGATAATCCACACATCAAAAAGCAGTTTCACAGATAGTTTCTTTCTAGTATTTTACTGGGGGTACTCCTTCTAGTATTTTACTGGGGGTACTCCTTATTTCCACATGGGAAGCAATGGGCTCCAAAACGTCCCTTCACTGATTCTCCAGAAAGACTGCTTTCAACTGCTGAATCAAAAGAAAGTTTTAACTCTGTGAGATGAACCCACACATCAAAAAGAAATTTCACAGATAGATTCTTTCTTTTTCTGGCAATATTCAGTTACTTTCCATAGGCCCCAAAGGGCTCCCAAATGTCCCCCAGCACATTCTTCACAAAGAGAGTTTCCAACCTACTGAATCAAAATAAAGGTTTAACTCTGTGAGATGAATCCACATATCACAAAGCAGTTTCATAGATAGCTTCTTTCTAGTTTTTAACTGGGAATGTTTTTTTATTGGTCTCAATTGGCTCCAAAACGTCCTTTTGAGATTCTACCAAAAAAGTGTTTCCAACCTGCTGAATAAAGGGAAACGTTTAACTCTGTGAGGTGAATCCAAAAACTACAAAGCTGTTATACATATAGCTTCTTTCTAGGTTTTACATTGAGATGTTGTACTTTTCACATTGGCCTCAATGGGCTCCCAAAAGTTTCTTTGCAGAACCCCCAAAAGAGCATTTCCAACCTGCTTAATCAAAAACAAACAAACAAAAGGTTTAACTCAGTGAGGTGAATGCACATTTCACAAAGCAGTTTCACAGATTGCTTCTTTCTAGTTTTTATCTGGTGATATTTGCTTTTTCACCATAGTCCTCAATGAGATCCCAAATGTCCCTTTGCATATTCAACAAAGAGACTCTTTCCAATTGCTGAATGAAAAGAATGGCCTATCTCTGTGAGATGAATCCACACATCATAAAGCAGTTACACAGATAGCTTCTCTTTAATTTTACCTGTGGATATTTTTTCCTATGTGCTTCATTGGGCTCCCAAATGTCCCTCTGCAGATTCTCCAAAAGGAGTGTTTCCAACCTGCTGAATCAAAAGGAAAGTTTAGCTCTGTGAGATGAATCCACACATCACAAAGCAGTTTCACAGATAGTTTATTTCTAGTTTTTACCTGAGGATATTAGGTTTTTCTTCATAGGCCTCAAGGGCCTTCCAAATGACCTTTCACAGACTGCCCAAAAAGAGTGTTTCCAATCTGCTGAATCAAAAGAAAGGTTTAACTCTTTGAGATGAACGCACATATCAAAAAGCAGTTTCACACATTGCTTCTTTTTAGTTTTTACTTGGCCATATTCATTTATTTAACATGGCTGCAGTGGTCTCCCAAATGTCCCTTTGCAGCTTCTAGAAAAAGGGTATTTCCAACCTGCTGATTCAAAAGAAAAGTTTGTCTCTGCAATACTAACTCATGCATCACAGAGTAGTTTCACAGATAGATTCTTTCTAGTTTTCATCTGGATGTATTCCATTTTCTTCATAGGCCTGAATGGGATCCAAAATGTCCCTTCACAGATTTTACAAAAAGACTGATTGCAACCTGTGAAATGAAAAAAAAAAAAAAAGGTTTAACTATGGGAGATGAATGCACACATCCAAAAGCAGTTTCCCAGATAGCTTCTTTCCAGTTTTCCCCTAGGGATATTTGTTTTTTCCCTTAGTCCACAATTGGCTCCCAAATGTCCCTATGCAGATTCTCCAAAAAGAATGTTTCCAAACTGCTGAGTCAAAAGAAAGTTTCATCACTGTGAGATCAATCCACACATCACAAAGCAGTTTCACAGATAGCTTCTTTCTAGTTTTTCCCTGGAGGTATTCTGTTTTTCCACATTGGTCTCAATAGGATCTCAAATGTCTCTTGGCAAATTTTCCAAAATGAGTGTTTCCAACCTTTAAAATCAAAAGAAAGGTTTATCTCAGTGAGATTAATTGAGACATCACAAAGTAGTTTCACAGATAGCTTCTTTCTACTTTTTACCTGGGGATATTCAGTTATTCTGCATAGACCTCAATGGGTTTACAAATATCCTCTCACAGATTCTTAAAAAAAAGTTTCCAACGTGCTGAATCAAAGGAAGGTTTATCACTGTAAGATGAATCCACACATCACAAAGCAGTTTCACGGATAGCTTCTTTATATTTTTTATCTGGGAATATTTGATTTGTTCCCTTGGGCTAAAATGGGCTCCCAAATGTTGGTTCAGACATTCTACAAAAACAGTTTTTCCAACCGGTGGAATCAAAAGAAACGTTTGAATCTGTGATATGAATCCACATATCACAAAGCAGTTACACAGAAAGCCTCTCTCTAGTTTTTACCTGGAAATATTCAGGTTTTCCACAGGAGCCTCCATGGGCTCCCAAATGTCTCCTGCAGATTCTCCAAAAAGAGTGTTTTCAACCTGCTGAATCAAAAGAAAGGTTTAACCCTGTGAGATGAATCCTTGCAACACAGAGCATTTTCACAGATATCTTCTTCCTAATTTTTGTCTGGAAATATTCCTTTCTCTTCATATGCATGAAGGGGATCACAAATGTCCCTTTGCAGATTCACCAGAAAGAGTGATTGCAACCCGCTGAATCAAAAGAAAAGTTTACCTTTGTGAGATGAATGCACACAACACAAAACAGTTCCCCAGATAGCTTCTTTCTAGTTTTTACCTGGGGATATTCTGTTATTCCCCTAGGCCACAGTGGTCTCCCAAATGTCCCTTTGTAGATTCTCCCAAAATGTGTTTCCAACCTGCTGAATCAAAACAAAACGTTTAACTCTGTGAGATGAAACCACACATCACCAAGCAGTTGCACAAATAGCTTCTTTCTAGTTTTTGCCTGTGGATATTTTGTTTTTATCCCTTTGGCATCAATGGACTCCCAAATATCCCTTTGTAGGTCTCCAGGAAGAGTGTTTCCATCCTGTTGAATCAAAAGAATCGTTTAACTCTGTAAGTTGAACCCACATATCACAAAGCAGTTTCACAGATAGCCTATTTCGAGTTTTTATCAGGAGATATTTGGTGTATCTCCATGGACCTCAAAAGGCTTCCTAGAGTCCCTTTGCAGATTGTCCAAAAAGAATGTTTTGAACCTGCTGAATCTAAGAAAGTTTAACCCTGTGAGAAGAATCCACACATCAGAAAGCAGTTTCACATGCAGCTTCTTCCCAGTATTTATTCTGGGTATTTGATTTTTTCCCTAGGCCTCAATAGGCTCCCAAATGTCCCTTAGCAGATTCTCTAAAAAGAGTGTTTCCAACCTGCTGCATCATAAGAAAGGTTTACCACTGTGAGTTGAATCCAAACATCACAAAGCAGTCTCACAGATAGCTCCTTTCCAGTTTTTATCTAAGGATATTTGTTTTTTTCTGCCTATGCCTCAAAGAGATCCCAAATGACCCTTCACACATACTCCAGAAAGAGAGTTTTCAACCTGCTGAATCAAAAGAATATTTAAACTCTGTGAGATGAATCCACACATCACAAAGCAGTTTCACAGATAGCTTCTTTCTAGTTTTTACCTGGGATTATTTGTTTTTTCCCCATAGACCTCAATGAACTCCCAAATGTCCCTTTGTAGATTCTCCAATAAGAATGTTTCCAAGCTGTTGAATCAAAAGAAAGGTTTAACTCTGTGAGATGAATCCACAAGTCACAAGGCAGTTTCACAGATAGCTTCTTTCTAGTTTTTATCTGGGGATATGTATTTTTTCCCCTTGGGACTCACTGAGATCACAAATTTCCTTTGCAGATCTTCCAGAAAGACAGTTTCCAACCTGCTGAATCAAAGGAAACGTTTACCTCTCTTAGATGAATCCACACATCACAAAGCAATTTCACAGATAGCTTCCTTCTAGTTTTTACCTGGAGATTTTTTTTTTTTTCTTACAGACCTCAATGGGCTCCCAAATGTCCCTTCAGAGATTCTCCAAGGAGAGTGTCTTTAACCTGCTGAATCAAAGGAAACGTTTGCCTCTGTGAGATGAATCCACAAAATACAAGGCTGTTATACAGATAGCATCTTTCTAGATGTTACTAGGGGATATTCCTTTTCTTTTTTTTTTTCTCATTGTCCTCAATGGGCTCCTGAATGTCACTTCACAAATCCTCCAAAAGAAGTGTTTCCAAACTGCTGAAACTAAAGAAAGGGTTAACTCTGTGAGATGAATCCATAAATCACATAGCTGTTTCATGGACATTTTCTTTCTAGTTTTCACCAAGGAACATTCCACTCCCATGGGCTTCACCGAGATCCCAAATATTTTTTGGCAGATTCTCCAAAAAGGGAGTTTCCAACCTGCTGAATCAAAAGCAATGTTTAACTCTGTGAGATGAATACAGGCATCACAAAGCAGTTTCACAGATAGCTTCTTTCTAGTTTTTTTTTTTTTTTCTGGGGATATTCAGTTTTTTTGCATGGGCCACAACTGGCTGTCAAAAGTCCCCTGGCAGATTCTCCAAAAAGAGTTGTTCCAACTGGCTGAATAAAAAGAAAAGTTTACCTCTATGAGATGAATCCAGACAACACAAAGTGTTTCACAGACAGCTAGCTTCTTTCTATTTTTTATCTGGGGATATTCCATATTTTCCCATGGGCCACAGTGGGCTCCCAAATGTCCTTTCACTGATTCTTCTAAAGAGTGTTTTCAACCTACTGAATATAAAGAAATATTTAACTCTGTGAGATGAATCCACACATCACAAAGCAGTATCACAGGTAGCTTTTTTCTAGTTTTATTTGGGGATAATTTTTTTCATGAGCATCAATGGACTCCCAATTATGCCTTAGCAGATTCTACAAAAACAGTGTTTCCATCCAGCAGAAATAAAAAAAGGGTTAAACTCCGTGAGATGAACCCACACATCACAAAGCAGTTTTATGGACAGCATTTTTCTAGTTTTTATCAAGAGATATTCTGTTTTTCCCCATGGGCCTCAATGGGCTCCCAAATATCACCTTGAAGATTCTTCCTAAAGAGTTTTTTCAACTGCTGAATTAAAAGAAACGTTTAACTCTGTGAGATGAATGCATATGACACTGAGCAGTTTCACACATAGTTTCTATATAGTTTTTTCCTGGGGACATTCTGTTTTTTCCCCATAGCCCACAATGAGGTCCAAAATGTCCCTTCACCTATTCTCCAAAAAGAGTGTTTCAACCTGTTGTAACAAAAGGAAGGTTTAAGTTTGTCAGATGAATCCACACATCACAAAGCAGTTTCACAGAGAGCTTCTTTCTAATTTTACTTGGGGATATTCGTTTTTTTCTGATATGCCTCAATGGGCTCACAAATATGCCCTGGCAGATTCTCCAAAAAGAGTATTTCCAAGATACTGAATCAAAAGAAAGATTTCACTTTGTGAGGTGAATCCATGCATCACAAAGCAGTTTCACGGATATATTCTAGTTTTTACCCTGAGATATTTAGTTTTTTCCCCATGGGCCTCAATGGTTTCCAAAATTTATCTTTGTAAATTTTCCAAGAGGAGTGTTTCCAACCTGCTGAATCAAAAGAAAGGTTTAACTCTGTGAGATGAATCCATACATCTCAAAGGCATTTCACAGATAGCATCTTTCTAGTTTTTGTCTGGAAATATTCAGTTTCTTTGATAGAGCATCAATAGGTTCCAAAATGTCCCTTCTCAGATTCTACATGCTGAATAAAAGGAAAGGTTTATTCATTTGAGATGAATCCGCAATCACAAAGCAGTTTTACAGTAACCTTCTTCCTAGTTTTTGTCTGTGGATATTCTGTTTTTCCTCATGGGCCTCACTTGGCTCCCAAATGTCCCTTTGCATATTCATCAAAAAGAGTGTTTCTAACCTGCTGAATAGGAAAAAAACGTTCAAACCTTTGAGATGAATCCACAAATTGCAAAGAAGTTTTACACATAGCCTGTTTCTAGTTTTAATCTAAGAATATTTGAAATTTTCCATGGGCCTCAATGGGTTCTTGAATGTCCCTTTGGAGATTCTCCAAAAAAAGTGTCTTGAACCTGCTGAATCAAAAGAAAGATTTAACTCTGTGAGATAAATCCATACATCACAAACCAGTTTTACAGATAGCTTATTTGTGGGTTTTACAGGAAATATTCAGTTTTTTTGCATGGGTCCCACTGGGCTTCCAAATGTCCCTTTGCAGTTTCTCCAAAAAGGGTGTTTCCAATCTACTGAATCAAAAGAAAGGGTTAACACTGTGAGATGAATCTACACATCACAAAGCAGTTTCACAGAGAGCATCTTTCTAGTTTTTACTGTGAAATATTTAATTTTTCCCCATAGGCCTCAATGGGCTCCCAAATTTCCCTTCACAGATTCTCCAAAAAAAGTGTTTCCAAAGTGCTGTATCAAAAGAGAAATATAACACTATGAGATGAATCCACAGCTCACAAAGCAGTTTCACATATAGCTTCTTTCTAGTATTTTTCTGGGGATATTGAATTTTCCCCCCTGGGCCTTGATGAACTGCCAAATAAATGTCTCTTCAGGCATTCTTAAAGAAGAGTCTTTCCCACCTGGTAAATCAAAAAAAAAAAAAAAACATTGAACTCTGTGAGATAAATCGGGACTTCCCAAAGCTGTTTCACAGATAGCTACTTTCTAGGTTTTACATGCAGTTATTCAGTTTTTCCTCATGGGCCTCAATGGGCTACCAAATGTCCAGTTGCAGATTCACCAAAAAGAGTGTTTCTAACCTGCTGCATCAAAACAAGGTTCAAAGCTTTTAGATGAATCCACACATTGCAAAGCATTTTTCCGGATAGCTTGTTTCTAGTTTTGATCTAAATGTATTCCGTTTTTTTTCCCATGGGCCTCAATGGGATCCAAAATGTCCCTTTGCAGATTCTCCAAAAAAAAGTGTTTCCAACCTGATGAATCAAAAGTAATGTTTAACTCTGTGAGTTTAATCCTCACTTCAAAAAGCAATTTCACAGATTTTTTTCTGTTTTTTACACAAGTTTACTGGGTTTTTCCCTGTGGGCCTCAATGGGTTCCCAACAGTCCCTTCACAGATTCTCCAAAAAGAGTTTTTCCAACCTGCTGAATCAAAAGAAAGGTTTAATTCTCTGAGATGAATCCATACATTGCAAAGCAGTTTCACAGATAGCTTCTTTCTAGTTTTTACTTGAGATTTTTGTTTTTTTCCCAGTGGGCCTCAATGAACTCTCAAATGTCCCTTCCAGATTTTCCAAAGAGTATTGAAGCCTGCTGAATCAAAAGAAAAATATAACTCTGTGAGATGAATCCACCCAGCACAAAGCAGTTTCACAGATAGCTTCTTATTTGTACATGGGGATATTTCTTTTTTCCCATGGGCCACAATGGGCTACCAAATGTTTGTTGGTAGATTGTCCAAAAAGAGTGTTTGCAACCTGCTGAAACAAAAGAAATATTCAACACTGTGAGATGAACCCACACATCACAAAGCAGTTTAACCGATATATTGTTTCTAGTTTTTGCCTGGAGATATTCAGTTTTTCTCCATGTGCCTCAAGGGGCATCAAAATGTCCTTTGCAGATGCTCAAAAAAGATTGTTTCCAACTTGCTGTATTAAAGGAAAGTTTTATCTCTGTAAGATGAATCCACACATCAGAAATCAGTTTCACATATACTTTTTTTTCTGATTTTTACCTGGGAATATTTGGTTTTCCCCCAAAGGCCTCAATGGGGTCCCAAATATAAATTCACAGATTCTCCAAAAGGAGTGTTTCCAACCTACTGAATCAAAACAAAGATTTAGCTCTGTGAGATTAATCGATACATCACAAATCAGTTGGCCAATCCAATTGGATAGACATGGTATAAAATACTTAAAATTTCCAGATTTGATCCAAATTTAATTGTAGTTCCTTTAAACTGGTTTAAAGTTCAAGCCACCTTTCAACATTCCATTCTGTGGAAAATTCACTTGGTTGATTTCATTGGTATTATTGACAATCATTATCCAAAGAACAAATTGTTTGATTTTATAAAACTTACGTCTTCAGTGGTCCCTTGATTAAGCAAAAATCAGCCCATTCCTGGGGCCATCACAGTGTTCACTAATGGCTCCAGCAATGCAAATGCTGGTTATATAGGTCCTACAGACAAGCTTATTTCTACCCCTTATACCACTACTCGAGAGGCAGAGTTAATTGCTGTAATTGTTGTCTTATAGGATTTCCCCAAGCCTTTAAATATTGTCTCTGATTCCATTTAACGTGGGAAAGAGGATATGCTTGTGTTTCACCAGGAGATCATCAAACGAAAACCACAGGGAAAAGACGTCAATGTCAGAGACCACACTTAGATGTGGTAAGATCTGTGTCAACTCCTTAGAAGCTGGCACACTAAATCACAATGGGTCTGATTCAATCCCCCCAATGACAACGGAGACCCATCTAACTAATTACACTTCGAATTACCTTTATTTTTCTCCTTACAAACCTAAAAATCTTACCATTTCTGTTGGCCTAAAAATAACATCCCTCTGTTCTTTTCTTCCTCCTTCAGCACTAAATCTTGCTTACAGTAGGTTTTACTGAATCATTCTCCCCCTTATACTTTCTGTCTCACTAGTTTCCTCACACACTGATTTACCTGCTACACAAAATTATTCTTACTGGGCTTATGTGCCTTTTCCTCCACTTGTTTGACCTCTCACCTGGACGGATGCTCCTGCAGAAATCTACACTAATGATAGTGTGTGGATGACTGCAGCTACAGATGACAATTGCTCCACTCAACCAGGGGAAGAAGGCACTGTATTTAATGTTATCATGGGTTATAAATACCCACCTCTGTGCCTCCAACATGCACCTGATTGTATCCATCTAGAAACTCAATTCTGGGCTACTTGTCTTCCAGAGAGATCAGCCACAGAGGAACTGGGACATTTGGTCTCTGGCCTCTCCCTTTCTTCTTTAAAGGAAATGAAAGAGGGAGTAATGGGAGATACCCCATACTTTCAATATAAACCTGCAGGAAAACCATGCCCTAAAAATTTTGATGGCTCATGTAAAACCTTAATTTTGGAAGACAGTGTTAACTCGCATGCAGTAACATTTAAAATGACTCATATGGTTTAGTAATAGACTGGGCACCAAAGGGTTATTTAAAATCTGTTGCTCCTCTGGTGGAAGGGAATGCCTGGAGGCTGCTTATTTTATTTCTTATCTGGAGAACGAGAATCATCATTTTACTTTACATAGGAGGTTGAGCTCATTCTTTCCCTTGAAATGGGAAGATGAAAGCATTACCCCACCCCATTGAGGCAGCATATAATATTCCCCATCCTGAGCTCAGAATACCCAGAACTTTGAAAATTGGCGATTGCCATGTCTGGACTGTGAGCATGGAAAGGGGAAACTATTCTGTCTGTTGTCCCCACTACCATCCCTCTCTCTCAGTATTGACTTAGATCCAGACAGTATGTTTTACTTACCTCTAACCCGACTGTTCCCATACAGAGATATGTTAAGCCTCCTTACATGCTGTTAGTGGGAAATATCAAAATTTGAACGAACAATCAAACTGTTCAATGCATCATCTGTCATTATACACTTGCATTAACCCCCATTTTCACTCCACGAAAAGTGTATTGTGGTTAGAACTCAAGAAGGAATCTGTATTCCAATAATTTTGCCCAGACCTTGGGAATCTTCCCCCTCAATACATTTAATTAATGAATTGTTACAACGAATTCTAAAAAGATCTAAGAGATTTGTTTTCACGTTAATCACAGTAATCATGGGCCTAATTAGTCACTGCACTGGTGACCACTGCCGGAATGGTGTTACATCAATCTATTCAAACAGCTGATTTTTTTAATGATTGGCAAGCCAATTCCACCCAAATGTGGAATTCTCAACAAGGCATTGATCAAAAATTGGCTAATCAAATTAATGATTTAAGACAGTCTGTTATTTGCTTGGAGATCAGGTAGTGAGTCTCGAACATCACACGCAATTGCAGTGCAATTGGAACAGTTCTGATTTCTGTACTACTCTGTATTCCTACAATGAGATAGATCATTCATGAGAAGTGGTCAAAGGACACCTTCTAGGTCAGGAAGATAATTTATCACTGGACATAAGTAAATTAAAGAAACAAATTTTTGAAATCTCTCAATCTCATTTGTCCATTGTGCCTGCAGCTGGGGCATTAGATCAGGTGGCAGAAAATCTTTCCGGGCTAAACCTCACAACTTGAATTAAGTCTGTGGGGGCTTCACTGTAGTAAATTTTGGAATTATGTTTTTCTGTTTAATAAGCTTGTCTTTAGTGTGCTGGAACAGTCAAAGACTCCTGCCTCAAAATTGAGAGAACAAACAAGCCTTTAACACCATGGCACATTTATATAAAAGAAAGGGAGAGATGCTGCGGGAAGTCAGGGACCCCAGTTGGAGGGACCGGCTGAAACCATGGCAGAAGAACATAAATTGTGAAGATTTCATGGACATTTATTATTTCCCCAAATTAATACTTTTATAATTTCTTATGTCTGTCTTTAGGGCAACCTCTGAACATAAATTGTGAAGATTTCATGGACATTTATCACTTCCCCAATCAATACTCTTGTGATTTCCTATGCCTGTCTTTACTTTAATCTTTTAACCCTGTCATCTTTCTAAGCTGAGGAGGTACATTGCCTCAGGACACTGTGATGATTGCATTAACTGCACAAATTGTTTGTAGAGCATGTGTGTTTAAACAATATGAAATCTGGGCACTTTGTAAAAAGAACAGGATAACAGTGATGTTCAGGGAACAAGGGAGAAAACCATTAGGTCTGACGGACTGGGAGCTGGGTGGAACAGCCATATTTCTCCTCTTACAAAAGTGAATAGGAGAAATATTGCTGAGTTATTTTTCTCAGCAAGCAACAGC
This sequence comes from Homo sapiens, assembly GCF_000001405.40. Lineage (NCBI taxonomy): Eukaryota > Metazoa > Chordata > Mammalia > Primates > Hominidae > Homo > Homo sapiens. The sequence continues at coordinate 17,687,609 of NC_000024.10, forward strand.
CCTGAGAAAGGGAATGCATTCCCAGGGATATGTCTCTAAAATGGCCGGTCTGGGAGTTTCTGTCTTATAGGATTGCAGGTAATGGATGAAATAAGCCCTGGCCTCCCATTGTGCTCCCAGGCCTATTAAAATGAGGAAGTTACTGCCTAGTAAATTTTAGTCAGACTGGTTGTCTGCTCTCAAACACTGTCTCCTGATAAGATGTTATCAATGACAATGTATGCTTAGTGGGACATGAAACTCCATTAGCAATTTTGATTTCACCACAGTCCTGTGATCTCACTCTGCCCCCATTTGCCTTGCCATATTTTATTTCCTTGTGAAGTATGTGATATCTATGACCCAAACCCTTTCATGCTCTCTCTCCCCTTTGAAAATCACTAATAAAACTTGCAGGTTTTGTGGCTTCGGGTACATCACAGAACCTGCTGACATATGATGTCTCCCCCGGACACCCATCTTTAAAATTTCTCTCTTCTGTACTCTTTCCCTTTATTTCTCAGGCCAGACTACACTTGGGGAAAATAGAAAAAAATCTACATTGAAACATTGGGGGCTGGTTTCCCCTTATAATAGATAGCTTCCATCTTGTTTTTATCTTGGGCTATCAGGTTTTTCCACATGGAACTCAATTGGCTCCCAAATGTCACTTTGCAAATTCTTCAAAAAGATTTTTCCAACCGTCTGTATAAAAGAATGGTTTAACTATGTAAAGTGAATTCATACAACACAAAAACAGTTTCAAAAAATAGTTTCTTTCTACTTTTTATTCGGGTATATTCTGTTTTCCCATGTGGGCTTCAATGTGCTCCCAAATATCCCTTCACAGATTCTCCAAGGAGAGATTTTCCAACCTGCTGAATCAAAAGAAAGGTTTGACTCTGTCAGTTGAATTCACACATCATAAAGCAGTTTCACAGATAGTTTTTATTGATTTTTATCTGGTAATATTCTGTTTTTCCTTATGGGTTTCCATGGCCTCCCCAGTTTCCCTTTGCAGATTGTTCAAAAAGAGTGTTTCCAACCTGCTGAATAAAAAGAAAAGTTTAACTCTGGGACATGAATCCAAACATCACAAAGCATTTTCACAGATAGCTTCTTTTTAGGTTTTGCCTAGGGATACTCCTTTTTTTCCTTCATTGGCTTCAATGGACCAAAATATATTGTTCCAGATTGTCCAAAAGGAGTGCTCCAAACGTGCGGAATCAAACGAAAGGATTAACTCTGTGAGATGAATCCACACATCACAAAGCAGTTTCACAGATAGATTCCACTGTTTTTCTGGGGATATTCAGTTATTCAACAGCTCAGTGGACTCCAAAAAGTCCCTTCACAAATTCTCCAAAAAGAGTTTTTCCAATCTGCTGAATCCAAAGAAAGATTTAACTCTGTGAGACAAATCCATACATCACAAAGCAATTTCACAGATAGCTTCTTTCTAGATTTTACCTGAAGATATTCGTTTATTTTTTCCATGGGCCTCAATTAACTTCAAAATATTTCTTCATAGATCCTTTAAAAAGAGTATTTCAAACCTGCTGAATAAAAGAAAGGGTTAACTCTGTGAGATGAATCCACACAACACAAAGCAGTTTCACAGATATGTTCTTTCTAGTTTTTACCTAGGTATACCATATTTTTCCCCACAGGCCTCAATGGGCTCCAAAATGTCCCCTTGCAGATTCTCAGAAAATGTGTTTCCAACCTGCAGTATCAAAAGAAAGGTTTAATTATTTGAGGTGAATCTACATACCACAGAACAGTTTCACAGATAGCTTCTTTCTAGTTTTTATCTGGGGTTATTCGAATTTTCCTCATTGCCATTGGTGGGCTCCCCATTGTCCTATCACACATTCTCCAAAAGTGTTCAACCCTATGAGAGGAATCCAGGCATCACAAAGTAGTTTCACAGATAGCTTCTTACTTATTTTCTTTTTTTTTAAATGTCTAACCCCATCACAATTTTATTATTATTATTATTGTTATTATACTTTAAGTTTTAAGGTACATGTGTACAATGTGCAGGTTTGTTACATATGTATACATGTGTCATGTTGGTGTGCTGTACCCATTAACTCATCATTTAGCATTAGGTATATCTCCTAATGCTATCCCTCCCCCCTCCCCCTACCGCACAACAGTCCCCAGTGTGTGATGTTCCCCTTCCTGTGTCCATGTGTTCTCATTGTTCAATTCCTACTTATGAGTGAGAACATGTGCTGTTGGGTTTTTTGTCCTTGCAATAGATTGCTGAGAATGAGTAATGGGATGGCTGGGCAAATGGTATTTCTAGATCTAGATCCCTGAGGAATCGCCACACTGACTTCCACAATGGTTGAACTAGTTTACAGTGCCACAAACAATCTAAAAGTGTTTCTATTTCTCCACATCCTCTCCAGCACCTGTTGTTTCCCGACTTTTTAATAATCACCATTCTAACTGGTGTAAGATGGTATCTCATTGTGGTTTTGATTTGCATTTCTTGGATGGCCAGTGATGATGAGCATATTTTCATGTGTTTTCTTGGCTGCCTAAATGTCTTCTTTTGAGAACTGTCTGTTCATATCCTCTGCCCACTTTTGGATAGGGTTGTTTTTTTTTTTTTCTTGTAAATTTGTTTGATTTCATTGTAGATTCTGGATATTAGCCCTTTGTGAGATGAGTAGGTTGCAAAAATTTTCTCGTATTCTGTATGTTGCCTGTTCACTCTGATGGTAGTGTCTTTTGCTGTGCAGAAGTTCTTTAGTTTCATTAGATCCCATTTGTCAATTTTGGCTTTTGTTTCCATTACTTTTGGTGTTTTAGACATGAAGTCCTTGTCCATGCCTATATCCTGAAAGATAATGCCTAGGTTTTCTTCTAGGGTTTTTATGGTTTTAAGTCTAACATGTAAGTCTTTAATCCATCTTGAATTAATTTTTGTATAAGGTGTAAAGAAGGGATCCAGTTTCAGCTTTCTACATATGGCTAGCCAGTTTTCACAGCACCATTTATTAAATAGGGAATCCTTTCCCCATGGCTTCTTTTTGTCAGGTTTGTCAAAGATCAGATAGTTGTAGATATGTGGCATTATTACTGAAAGCTCTGTTCTGTTGCATTGGTCTATATCTCTGTTTTGTACCAGTACCAAGCTGTTTTGGTTACTGTAGCCTTGTAGTATAGTTTGAAGTCAGGTAGTGTGATGCCTCCAGCTTTGTTCTTTTCACTGAGGATTGTCTTGGCAATGTGGGCTCCTTTTTGGTTCTGTATGAAATTTAAAGTAGTTTTTTCCAATTCTGTGAAGAAAGTCACTGGTAGCTTGATGGGGATGGCATTGAATCTATAAATTACCTTGGGCAGTATGGCCATTTTCATGATATTGATTCTTCCTACCCATGAGCATGGAATGTTCTTCCATTTGTTTGTATCCTCTTTTATTTCATTGAGCAGTGGTTTGTATTTCTCCTTGAAGAGGTTCTTCACATCCCTTGTAAGTTGGATTCCTAGGTATTTTATTATCTTTGAAGAAATTGTGAATGGGAGTTCATTCATGGTTGGCTCTCTGTTTTTCTGTTATTGGTGTATAATAATTCTTGTGATATTTGCTCATTGATTTTGTATCATGATATGTTGCGGAAGCTGCCTATCAGCTTAAGGAGACTTTGGGCTGAGACGATGGGGTTTTCTAAATATACAATCATGCCATCTGCTAAAAGGGAGAATTTGACTTCCTCTTTTCCTAATTGAATACCCTTTGCCTTCTTCTCCTACCTGATTTTCCTGGCCAGAACTTCCAACACTATGTGGAATAGGATTGGTGAGAGAGGTCATCTCTATCTTTTGCCAGCTTTCAAAGGGATTGTTTCCAATTTTTGTCCATTCAGTATGATTTTGGCTGTCAGTTTGTCATAGATAGCTTTTATTATTTTGAAAGACATCCCATCAATACCTAATTTATTGAGAGTTTTTTTTATTATTATTATACTTTAAGTTTTAGGGTACATGTGCACATTGTGCAGGTTAGTTACATATGTATACATGTGCCATGCTGGTGCGCTGCACCCACTAACTCGTCTTCTAGCATTAGTTATACCTCCCAATGCTATCCCTCCCCCCTCCCCCCACCCCACCACAGTCCCCAGAGTGTGATATTCCCCTTCCTGCAAATCAAAACCACTATGAGATACCATCTCACACCAGTTAGAATGGCAATCATTAAAAAGTCAGGAAACAACAGGTGCTGGAGAGGATGTGGAGAAATAGGAATACTTTTACACTGTTGGTGGGACTGTAAACTAATTCAACCATTGTGGAAGTCAGTGTGGCGATTCCTCATGGATCTAGATCTAGAAATACCATTTGACCCAGCCATCCCATTACTGGGTATATACCCAAAGGAATATAAATCATGCTGCTATAAAGACACAGGCACACGTATGTTTATTGCAACATTATTCACAATAGCAAAGACTTGGAACCAACCCAAATGTCCAACAATGATACACTGGATTAAGAAAATGTGGCACATATACACCATGGAATACTATGCAGCCATAAAAAGTGATGAGTTCATGTCCTTTGTAGGGACATGGATGAAATTGGAAATCATCATTCTCAGTAAACTATCGCAAGAACAAAAAACCAAACACCGCATATTCTCACTCATAGGTGGGAATTGAACAATGATATTGAGAGTTTTTAACAAGAAGCGTTGTTGAATTTTGTCAAAGGCCTTCTCTGCATCTATTAAGATAATCATGTGTTGTTTGTCTTTGGTTCTGTTTACATGCTGGATTATGTTTATTGATTTTCATATGATGAACCAGCCTTGCATCCGAGAGATGAAGCCCACTTCATCATGGTGGATAAGCTTTTTGATGTATTGCTGGATCCAGTTTGCCATATTTTATTGAGGATTTTTGCAACAATGTTCATCAAGGATATGGGTCTAAAATTCTCTTTTTTTGTTGTGTCTCTGCCAGGCTTTGGTATCAGGATGATGCTGGCCTCATAAAATGAGTTAGGGAGGATTCCTTCTTTTTCTATTGATTGGAATAGTTTCAGAAGGAATGGTACCAGCTCCTCCTTGTACCTCTGTAGAATTCGTCTGTGAATCCATCTGGTCCTGGGCTTCTTTTTTGTTGGTAAGCTATTTATTATTGCCACAATTTCAGAGTCTGTTATTGATCTATTCAGAGATTCAATTTTTTCCTGGTTTAGTCTTGGGAGAGTGGATGTGTCGAGGAATTTATCCATTTCTTCTAGATTTTCCAGTTCATTAGCATTAGAGGTGTTTATAGTATTCTCTGATGGTAGTTTGTATTTCTGTGGGATCGGTGGTGATATCCTCTTTGTCATTTTTTATTGTTTCTATTATATTCTTCTCTCTTTTCTTCTTTATTTGTCTTGCTAGTGGTCTGTCAATTTTGTTGATCTTTTCAGAAAACCAGCTCCTGGATTCATTGATTTTTTGTAGAGTTTTTTGTGTCTCTATTTCCTTCAGTTCTGCTGTGATCTTAGTTTTTTCTTGCCTTCTGCTAGCCTTTGAATATGTTTGCTCTTGCTTCTCTGGTTCTTTTAATTGTGATGTTAGGATATCAATTTTATATCTTTCCTGCTTTCTCCTGTGGGCATTTAGTGTTACAAATTTCCCGCTACGCACTGCTCTGAATGTGTCCCAGAGATTCTGGTATGTTGTTTCTTTGTTCTCATTGGTTTCAAATAACATCTTTATTTCTGCCTTCACTTCGTTATGTACCCAGTAGTCATTCCAGAGCAGGTTGTTCAGTTTCCATGTAAATGAGCGGATTTGAGTGAGTTTCTTAATCCTGAGTTCTAGTTTGATTGCACTGTGGTCTGAGAGACAATTTGTTATAATTTCTATTCTTTTACATTTGCTGAGGAGTGCTTTACTTCCAAGTATGTGGTCAATTTTGGAAAAAGAGTGGTGTGGTGCTAAAAAGAATGTGCATTCTGTTGATTTGGGGTGGAGAGTTCTGTAGATGTCTATTAGGTTCACTGTGTGCAGAGCTGAGTTCAATTCCTGGATATCCTTTTTAGCTTTCTGTCTTGTTGATCTGTCTAATGTTGAAGTGGAGTGTTAACATCTCCCATTATTGTTGTGTGGAAGTCTAAGTCTCATTATAGGTCACTAAGGACTTGCTTTATGAATCTGGGTGCTCCCATATTGGGTGCATATACATTTAGGGTAGTTAGGTCTTCTTGTTGAATTGATCCCTTTAGCATTATGTAATGGCCTTCTTTGCCTCTTTTGATGTTGTTTCATTTAAAGTCTGTTTTATCAGAGACTAGGATTGCAACCCCTGCTTTTTTTGTTTTCCATTTGCTTGGTAGATCTTCCTCCATCCCTTTGTTTTGAGCCTATGTGTGTCTCTGCCTGTGAGATGGGTTTCCTGAATACAGCACACTGATGGGTCTTGATTCTTTATCCAATTTACCAGTCTGTGCCTTTTAATTTGAGCATTTAACCCATTTGCATTTTAGGTTAGTATTGTTATGTGTGAATTTTATCCTGTCATTATGATATTAACTAGTTAGTTGATGGAGTTTCTTCCTAACCTTGATGGTCTTTATAATTTGCATGTTTTTGCAGTGGCTGCTACTGGTCGTTCCTTTCCACATTTAATGCTTCCTTCAGGACCTCTTTTAGGGCAGACATGGTGGTGACAAAATCTCTCAGCATTTGCTTGTCTGTAAAGTACTTTATTTCTTCTTCACTTATGAAGCATAGTTTGGCTTGATATGAAATTCTGGGTAGAAAATTCTTTTCTTTAAGAATATTGAATATTGGCCCCCACTCTCTTCTGGCTTGTAGAGTTTCTGCTGAGAGATGAGCTGTTAGTCTGATGGGTTTCCGTTTGTGGGTAACCCGACCTTTCTCTCTGGCTGCCCTTTACATTTTTTCCTTCTTTTCAACTTTGGTGAATCTGACAATTATATGTCTTGGAGTTGCTCTTCTTGATGAGTATCTTTGTGGCATTCTCTGTATTTCCTGAATTTGAATGTTGGCCTGAATTGTTAGATTGGGGAAGTTGTCCAGGATAATATCCTGCAGAATGTTTTCCAACTTGGTTCCATTCTCCCTGTCACTTTCAGGTACACCAATTAGACATAGATTTGGTCTTTTCACATAGTCCCATATTTTTGGAAATTTTGTTCATTTCTTTTTATTCTTTTTTCTCTAAACTGATCTTCACACTTCATTTCATCTTCCATTGCTGATACCCTTTCTTCCAGTTGATTGCATCAGTTACTGAGGTTTGTGCATTCAGCACGTTGTTCTCGCGCCATGTTTTTCAACTCCATCAGGTTCTCTAAGGACTTTCTTCATTGGTTATTCTAGTTATCCATTGATCTAATTTTTTTTCAAAGTTTTTAACTTCTTTGCCATTGGTTCAAACTTCCTCCTTTAGCTCAGGGTAGTTTGACCTTCTGAAGTCTTCCTCTCACAATTCGTGAAAGTCATTCTCTGTCCATCTTTGTTCCATTGCTGGTGAGGAGCTGCATTCCTTTGAAGGACGAGAGGTGCTCTGATTTTTAGAGTTTCCCGTTTTTCTGCTCTGTTTTTTCCCCATCTTTGTGGTTTTATCTACCTTTAGTCTTTGATGATGGTGACGTACAGATGGGTTTCTGGTGTGGATGTCCTTTCTGTTTGTTAGTTTTCATTCTAGCCATCAGGACCCTCAGCTGCAGGTCTGTTGGAGTTTACTCAAGGTCCACTCCAGACCCTGTTTGCCTGGGTGTCAGCAGTGGTGGCTGCAAAACAGTGGATATTGGTGAACCGCAAATGCTGCTGCCTAATCATTCCTCTGGATGTTTTGGCTCAGAGGCGTACCCGGCCCGGTAAGGTGTCAGTCTGCCTGTACTGATGGGTGCCTCCCAGTTAGGCTACTCAGGAGTCAGTGACCCACTTGAGGAGGCAGTTTGCCCATTCTCATATCTCCAGCTGTGTGCTGGGAGAACCACTAGTCTTCCAAACTCTCAGACAGGGACATTTAAGTCTGCAGAGGTTATTGCTGTCTTTTGTTTGTCTGTGCCCTGCCCCCAGAGGTGGAGCCTACAGAAGCAGGCAGGCCTCCTTGAGCTGTGGTGGGCTCCACCCAGTTCAAGCTTCCCAGCCACTTTGTTTACCTACTCAAGCCTGAGCAATGGCGGGTGTCCCTCCCCCAGCCTCACTGCCACCTTGCATTTTGATCTCAGACTGCTGTTCTAGCAATGAGTGAGGCTCAGTGGGCATAGAACCCTCTGAGCCATGTGTGGGACATAATCTCCTGGCGTGCCATTTCTGAAGCCCATTGGAAAAGCACAGTATTAATGTGGGAGTGACCTGATTTTCGAGGTGCCGTCTGTTGCCCATTTCTTTGACTAGGAAAGGGAATTCCCTGACCTCTTGAGCTTCCTGGGTGAGGTGATGCCTCACCCTGCTTCAGCTCATGCACAGTGTGCTCCACCCACTGTCCTGCACCCACTGTCTGGCACTCCACAGTGAGATGAACCCAGTACCTCAGTTAGAAATGCAGAAATCACCCATCTTCTGCATTGGTCATGGTGGAAGCTGTAGAGTGGAGCTGTTCCTATTTGGCCATCTTGGCTGCACCCCTCTTTCTTATTTTCATCAGGGGATATTTGCTTTCTCCTCATAGGCCACAATGGGCCCTGAATGTACCTTCACAGATTTTCCAAAAAGAGTTCTGTCAACCTGATGAATCAAATGAAAGGTTTAACTCTTTCATTAATCTTTACATCACAAAGCAGTTACACAGACAGCTTCTTTCAGTTTTTATGTAGGGGTATTCAATTTTTCCTTTAGGCCTGAATGGGCTCCCAAAAGTCCCTTTGCTGATTCTACAAATAGAATGTTTCCAACCTGCTGAATCAAAGGAAGGATTTACCTCTGAGATGAATCCACACATCATAGAGCACTTTCCCAGATACCTACTTTCTAGTTTTTACCTGGGCATATTCGTCTTCATCAGCCAGGAGTTACATAGACAGCTTCTTTCTAGTTTTTATCTGGGCATATTTTTTTTTCCATTGGGCCTCAAAGGGGCTCCCAAATGTCCCTTCACAGATTATCCAAAAAGATTGTTTTTAACCTGCTGACTCAAAAGAATGGTGTAAACCTTTGAGATGAATCCAGAAATCATTGAGCAGTTTGACAAATAGCTTCTTTCTAGCTTTTACCTGGGGCTATTACGTTGTTCTCCATGGTTCTCAACGGTCTCTCAAATGTCCACTGTCAGATTTTCCAAAAACCGCGTTTCCAACCTGCTGAATCAAAAGAAAGGCTTAACTCAGTGAGATGAAAGCGCAAATCCCAAAGTAGTTTCCCAGATATCATCTTTCTAGTTTTTACCTGTGGATATTAGGATTTTCCCAATAGGTCTCAATGGGGGTCCAAAATGTCCCTTTGCAGATTCTCCAAAAAGAGTGTTTCCAACCTATTGAATCAAAAGAAAGGCTTAACTCAGTGAGACGAAAACACAAATCACAAAGCAGTTTCCCAGATATCGTCTTTCTAGTTTTTAACTGAGGATATTAGAATTTTCCTGAAAGGCCTTAATGGGACCCAAAATGTCTCTTTGCAGATACTGCTGAATCAAAGGAAATGTTTAACTCTGTGAGATTATTCCACACATCACAAAGCAGTTTCACAGACAGCCTCTTCCTAGTTTTTATCTAGAATTTTTTTTTTCATGGGCCTCAATGGGCTCCCAAATATCCCTTCACATGTTCTCCAAAAAGAGTGTTTCCAACCTGCTGTATCAAAAGAAAGATTTAACTCAGTGAGATGAATCCACACATGACAAGGCAGTGCCACAGATGTCTTCTTTCTGGTTTTTACCTGGGGTTATTCTGTTTATCCCCATAGGCTGCAATGGGCTCCCAAATGTCCCTTTGCAGATTCTCCTAATAGGGTGTTTACGATCTGTTGAATCAAAATAAATGTTTAAATCTGTGAGATGAATCTATACATCACAAAGCAGATTCAGAGATAGCTTCTTTCTAGTTTTTACCTAAGGCTATTCAGTTTTTCCCCATGGGCCTCAGTGGGATCCAAAATATTCCTTTGCACATTCTCCAAAAAAGAGTGTTTCCAACCTCCTGAATCAAAAAAAAAAGTTTTAACTTGGTGACATGAATCCACACATGACAAAGCAGTTTCATAGATAGCTTCTCTCTAGTTCTTACTTGGGGATATTCGGTTTTCTTTCATGGGCTTCAATGGGGTCAAAAATGTCCCCAGGCAGAATCTCCAAAAGAGTGTTTCCAATCTGCCGAATCAAAAGAAAGGTATACCTCTGTGAGATGAATCCGTATCACAAAGCAGTTTCCCAGATAGCTATTATCTAGTTTTTAACTGGGGATATTAGTTTTTTTTTCCCCCCCATGGGCCTCAATTTTATCCAAAATGGCCTTTCACAGTTTATCCAATAAACGTGTTTCCAACTGGCTGTCAAAAGAGAGGTTTAATTCTGTGAGATGAATCCACACATCACCAAGCAGTTTCACAGATAGTTTTTTTCTAGTTGTTATCATGAAATATTCTGTTTTCACCATGGGCCTCAATGTGTTACCAGATATCCTTTTGCAGATTCTCCAAAAATAGTGCTTGCAATATGCTGAATCAACAGAAAACTTTATCTCTGTGAGATGAATTTACAGATGACAAAGGAGTTTCACAGATAGTTTGCTTTTTGTTTTACCCTGTGATACTCAGTTTTTGCCCATAGGCCTCAATGAGCTTCCAAATGTCCTTTCAAATATTGTCAAGAAAGAGCTTTCAACCTGCTGAATAACAGAAAGGTTTAACTCTGAGATAAATCCACACATAAAAAGCAGTTTCACAGATAGCTTCTTTCTGGTTTTTACCTGGCTATATTCGTTTTTTTGTTTTTTATGGGCCTCAGTGGGCTCTCTGATGTCCCTTCACAGATTATCTAAAATAGTGTTTCCAACCTGCTAAACCAAAGAAAGGTTTAACTCTGTGGGATGAATCCACACATCCCAAAACAGTTTTAGAGATAGCGTCTTTCTAGTTTTTATCTGTATTTGTTTTTCCCCATGGGCCTCAAAGGCCCTCAACTGCCCTTGGCAGATTCTCCAAAAAGAGTGTTTCCAACCTGGTGAATCAAAAGAAATGTTTAATTCTGTGTAATGAATCCACACATCAAAAAGCATTTTCACAGATAGCTTCATTCTAGTTTTTATTATGGGATATTCAGGTTTTCCCCATGGGCCTGAATGGATTCCAAATTGTCCATTCACAGATTCTCCAAAAAGAGCGATTCCAACTTGTGGGATCAAAAGAAAGCTTTAACTCTGTTAGATGAATTTACATGTCACAAAGCAATTTCACAGATACTTTGTTTCCCTTATTTACATAGGGATACTTTTTTCCCCATGGGCCTTAATGGACTCTAAAATGTCCTTTCACAGATTCTCAAAAAAGACAGTTTTCAAACTGTTGAATCAAAAGGAAAGTTTAACTCCATGAGCTAAATCTGCACATCACAAAGCAGTTTCACAGATAGCTTCTTCCTAGTTTTTATCTGGAAATTTTCCATTGATTTTAATTTGGGATCTATGGTCTCCCAATTATCCCATTGATTCTCCAAAAAGAGTATTTCCATCCTACTGAATGCAGAGAAAGGTTTAACTTGGTGAGATGAATCCACACATCACAAGACAGTGCCACAGATAGCTTCTTTCTACTTTTTACCTCGGGATATTCAATTTTATGGCCATATGATGCAATGGGCTCCGAAATGTCCCTTTGTAGATTCTCCAAAAACAGTGTTCCCAACCTGCTGAATCAAAAGAAAGTTTTAACACTTTGAGATGAATCTACACATCCCAAAGCAGTTTCACCGATAGGTAGTCTTTACTTCTTTATCTGTGGATATTTGTTTTTTTCCCCTGCGCCTCATTGCATTTCCAAATATCTCTTCACACATTCTACAAAAACAGGTTTCCAACATGATCAATTAAAAGAAAGGTTTTTGTCTGTGAGATGAATCTACACATCACAAAGCAGTTTTACAGATACTTTCTTTCTAGTTTTTACCTACGGATATTTGGTTTTTCCCCATGGACCTCATTGGTATCCAAAATACCCCTTCACAGATATTCCAGAAAAAGTGTTTCCAAATGCTTGAATCAAAAAAAAAAAAAAAAAAAAAAGGTTTAACTCTGTGAGATAAATCCATGCATCACAAATAAGTTTCACAGATTCTTTCTAGTTTTTATCTGGGGATATTAGTTGTTTTTCCTTGGACCTCACTAGGCTCCCAAATATGCCTTTGCAGATTCTCCAAAAAGAGTGTTTCCAACCTGCTGAATCAAAAGAAAGATTTAACTCTGTTAGATGAATCCACACATCACAAAGCTGTTTCACAGGTGTCTTCCTTATAGTTTTTGCCTTGGGATATTCTGTTTTTTTCCTTATAGGTCTCAATGGGCTCCCAAATGTCTCTTCACAGATTCTCCAAAAGAAGTGTCTCCAACCAGCTGAATCAAAAGAAATGTTTAATCCTGCAAGATGAATTCACACTCACAAAGCCATTTCAAAGATAGCTTCTTTTTAATTTTTATCAGGGCATATTCTGTTTTTCCCCATAGTCTCAAAGGGCTCCCAAATATCCCTTCACAGATTCTCCCAAAAGAGTGTTTCCAACCAGTTGAATAAAAAGGAAGGTTTAACTTTGTGAGATAAATCCACACATCACAAATCCATTTCACAGATAGAGTCTTTCTTGTTTTTACCTGGGAATACTCTGTTTTTCCCCACAGTCATCAATGAGCTCCAAAATGTCCCTTTGCAGATTCTACAAAAAGTGTTGCAACCTGCTGTATCAAAAGAAAAATTTACTTCTGTGAGGTGAATCCACACATCACAAAGTAATTTCACAGATAGCTTCATTCTAGTTTTTAACTGAAAATACTTGGTTTTTCTGCATAGTCCAGTTGGAGCACAGAAATGGCCCTTCACAGATTCTCCAAAAAGAATGTTTCCACCTGATGAATAAAAAGAAAAGTATAATTCTGTGAGAAGAATCTACCCATCACAAAGCATTTTCACAGATAGCTTCCGTCTGGTTTTTGTCTTGGGATATTCGTTCTTTTCCAATAATTGTCCATGGGATCCCAAATGTCATTTTGTAGATTTTTCAAAAAGAGTATTTTCAATCTCCTGAATAAAAAGAAAGGTTTATCTCTGTGACATGAATCCAGATATCACAAAGAAGTTTCACGGATACCTTCTTTCTAGTTTTATCTGGGGATATTTGGTTTCACCCCATAGACCTCAAGGGTCTCCAAAATGTCCCTTTGTAGATTATGCATAAAGAGTGTTTCAAAACCTGTGGAATCAGGAGAAAAGTTTAACACTGAGAGATGAAAATATATATCACAAAAAGTTCCTCAGATAGCTTCTTTGTTGTTTTTATCTGGGTATATGTGGTTATTCCCCTTTGGCCTGAAAGGGCTCCCAAATATTCAATCGCATATTTTCTGAAAAGAGTGCTTTCAACTTGCTGAATCAAAAGAAATGTTTGCCTTTGTAAGATGAATCCACATATCACAAAAAAGTTTGACAGACTATCTTCTTTCTAGTTTTTATCTGACGATATTCAGTTTTGCCCCACAGACCTCCAGGAGCTCCCAAATGTCCCTTTGCAGATTCTACAAAAAGACTGTTTCCAACCTGCTGAACTGAAAGAAAGGTTCAACTCTGTGAGATGAATGCGCACATCTCAAATCATTTTCACAGATAGTTTGTTTTTAGTTTTTATATGAATATATTTGGGTTTTCCTCGACTGCATCAATTGGCTCATAAATGTGCCTTTGCAGATCCTCCAAAAGCAGTGTTTTCCACCTGCTGAATCAAAAGAAAAAATTAATTCTGTGAGATGAATCCATACATCAAAAAGCACAAATAGCTTTCTTCTAGTTTTTATCTGTGGATATTTGTTCTTTCCCAGTAATTCTCAATGGGCTCCAAAGTGTTCCTTTGCAGATCCTACAAAAAGGGTGTTCCCAATCTGCTGAAGGAAAAGAAAAAAAATACTGTTTTAAGATGAATCTACATGTCTGAAAGTTTCACAGATAGGTTCTTTCTAGTTTTACCTGGGGATATTCGATTTGTCCCCATAGACCTCAATGGGTGTTCAAATGTCCCTTTGCAGATTCTCCAAAAAGAGTGTTGTAAACGAGCTAAATGAAAAGAAAGATTTAACTCTGTTCAATGAATCCACACATCACAAAGCAGTTTTACAAATACTTTATTTCTAGGTTTTATCTGGGGCTATTCTCTTTCTCCCCCAGGCCTCAATGAGCTCCCAAATGTCTGTTCACAGACTCTACACAGAGTGTTTCCAACCTGCTGAATCAAAAGAATGTTTTAAATCTGTGAAATGAATCCACACATCACAAAGCAGTTTCACAGATGGCTTCTTTGTAGTTTTTATCTGAAGATATTCTGTTTTTTTATATTGATCCTCAATGGGCTCTGAAATTTATCCTCATAGACTATACAAAAAGAGTATTTTCAACATGCTGAATCAAAAGAAATATTTAACTCTGTCAGGTGAGTCCACACATCATGAAGCACTTTCACAGAGACCTTCTTTCTAGTATTTTTCTGGGATATTCTGCCTTTCTACATAATCGTCAATGGGTGCCAAATGTCCCTTTGCAGATACCGCAAAAAGAGTGTTTCCAAACTGCTGAATTGTAAGAAAGGTTTAACTCTGTGAGACGAATCGATACATCACAAAGCTGTTTCACACATAGCTGCTTTTTAATCTTTATCTGGGGATATTCTCTTTCTGCCTTTAGACATCAAAAGACTTCCAAATATCCCTTCACAGATTCTCCAAAAATAGTAATTCCAACCTGCTGAATAAGAAAACGTTAACTCTGTGAGACGTATCCCCACATCACAAAGAAGTATCACACAGAGCTTCTTTGTAGTTTTTATCTGGGTATATTCTTTTTTTCCCTATAGGCCTCAATGGGCTCCAAAATATCCCTTTGCAGATTCTACAAAGAAAATGTTTCCAACCTGCTGAATAAGAAGAAAAATTTAACTCTGTGAGATTAATCAAAGCAGTTACTCTGATACCTTCTTTCTAGTTTCTTATCTGGGGATTTTCCGTTTTACCCGTAGGCCTTAATGGGCTCCAAAATGTCCCTTTGCCAATTACCCAAAAAGACTGTTCACAATCTGCTGAATCAAAGGAAAGTTTTAATGCTGTGAGCTGAATGCAAACATCACAAAGCTGTTTCACAGAGTTTCTTTCTAGTTTTTATCTGGGGATATTCAGTATTTCCCCATAGGCCTCAATGGGTTACAAATTGTCACTTCATAGATTTTCAAAAAGAGTGTTTCCAACTTGCCAAATCAAAAGAAAGATTGAGTATTGTGAGATGAATCCACACATCATGAAGCCGTTTCAGGAATATATTTTTTCTAGTTTTTATCTGCGTATATTCCATTTTTCCCCACAGTCCCCAGTGTGCTCTGAAATGTCCCATCACATATTCTCCAAAATGAGTGTTTATAACCAGCTGAATCAAAAGAATGGCTTAACACTGTGAGATGAATCCACACATCACAAAGAAGTTTCACAGGTAGATTCCTTCTAGGTTTTATCTGGGGATATTCAGTTTTGTTCCATAGGCCTCCATGGGCTTCCAAATGTCCCTTCACAGATTCTCCAAAAACAGTGTTTCCAACCTGCTGAATGAAAAGAAAGGTTCAAGTTGGTGAGAAGAATCCATGGATCACAAAGCAGTTTCACAGATAACTTCTTGTAAATTTTTAACTGTGTGTATTTGATTTTTCCCTGGTAGCATCACTGGGCTCCCAAATTCACAGATTCTCCAAAACGAGTGTTTCCCTCCTGCTGAAAGAAAATAATTAATTCTGTGAGATGAATCCACACATCAAAAGGCAATTTCACAGATAGCCTCCTTCAAGTTTTTATCTGGGAATATCCAGTTTTTTCTCCATAGGCATAAGCAAGCCCTCAAACATCCTTTTGCACATTTTAAAAAAAAAAAGATGATTCCAAACTGCTGAATCAAAAGAAAAATTTCCTTCTGTAACATGAATCCACATGTCACAAACAGTTTCACAGATAGCTTCTTTCTAGTTTATCTAAGGATATTCAATTTTTTTTCCCATAGGCTTCTAGGGGAGTTAAAATGACCATTCATAGATTCTGGAAAAGGAGTGTTTTCAACCTACTGAATAAACCAAAGCTTTTAATCTGTAAGATGAATCCGCACATCACAAAGCATCTTCACAGAGCTTTATTCTAGTTTTTATCTGGGTTTATTCAGGTTTTCCCCTTATGCTGCAATTGGCTCCCAGGTTTCTCTTTGCAGATTCTACAGAAAGAGTGTTTCCAAACTGCTGAATCATAAGAAAGCTTTTTCTCTTTGAGAGGACTCCACACATCACAAAGCAGTTTCATATATAGCTTTTGTCTAATTTTTATTTGGGTATATTCATTTTTTCTCAATAGGCCTCAATGGGCTCCCAAATGTTTCTCTGCAGGTTTTCTAAAAACAGTGTTTACACTTTGATGAATCAAAGGAAAGCTTTAAGTCTGTGAGAGGAATCCACACATCAGAAAGAGGTTTAAGAGATAGCTTCTTTTGACTTTTTATTTGGGTATATTCAGTTTTTCTGCATAGGCCTCAATAGGCTTCCAAATGTCCCTAAACAGATTCTTAATTAGAGTCTATCCAACCTGCTAGACCGAAAGAAATGTTTAACTCTATGAGATAAATCCATACATCACAAGGCAGTTTCACAGACTGCTTCTTTCTAGTTTTCATCTTGGGATATTTGGTTCTTTCCAATAGACCTCAATGTCTCCCAAATGTCCTTTGCAGGCTTCTCCAAAATAAGTGTTTCCAACCTGCTGAATCAAAAGAAAGGTTTAAACCTATGAGGTGAATCCACACATCACAAAGCAGTTTCACACATAGCTTCTTTCTAATTTTTATTCAGGGCTATCTTGTTTTTTTCACCATAGGCCTGAATGGTCCTCCAAATGTCACTTCACAGACTGTCTAAGAAGTGTTTACAGCCTGCTGAATAAAAAAAATAGATTTAACACTGCAAGATGAATCCACACGTCAAAAAGCAGTTTCACACATAGCTTCTTTCTAGTTTTTATCTGGAGATATTTGTTTGTTTGTTTGTTTGTTTCCATTGGCCTTAACGGACTCCCAAATGTCCCTTTGAAGATTCTCCAAAAAGAGTGTTTTCCACCTGCTGAATCAAAAGAAAAGTTTACTTCTGTGAGATGAGCCCACATACCTCAAAGCAGTTTCACAAATAGCTTCTTTCTAGTTCTTATCTGGGGATTCTCTTTTGCCACATAGGCAACAATGAGCTGCAAAATGTCCCTTTGCAGATTTTCCAAAAAGAGTGTTTCCAACCTGCTGAATCAAAAGAAAAGTTTAACTCTGTAAGTTGAATCCACACATCACAAAGCAGTTTCATAGATAGCATCTTTCTAGTTTTTCTCTAGGGTTATTCTGTTTTTTTCCCCATAGGCCTCAATGAGCTCCAAAATGTTACTACACAGATTCTTTTAAAAGATTTTTTTCCTTAGCAGAAAAAACCTGAATTTGAGAAAAATATGCAGAGAATCATAAAAATAAGCACAACTTATATAACACAGACAGAACAACAGTAAAAAAAAAAAGCCTACTTTAAAAAACAAAATGGAAATATAATTACTAAAAATAAAAGGCCTGGCATGGTGGCTCATGCCTGCAATCCCAGTGCTTTGGGAGGCTGAGATGGGTGGATCACGAGGTCAGCAGATCACCCTGGCTAATAGTGAAACCCCATCCCTACTAAAAATACAAAAACAAAATAGCCGGGTGTGATGGTGGGCACCTGTAGTCCCAGCTACTCAGGAAGCTGAGGCAGGAGAATGGCATGAACCCAGGAGGCAGAGCTTGCAGTTAGTTGAGACTACATCACTGCACTCCAGCCTGGGTGACAGAACGAGACTCCATCTCAAAAAAAAAAAAAAAAAAAAAATTCTCATTATTCAAAGACTGAATTGCATTTCCGTGTCACACAAATGTGATTATATCTACCATGGTTTGAAAACAAACAAACAAAAAGTAGTAAATATTATTAACTAAAATTTCAAGTTACTAGATAGCAAGCACAGTAAACATGCCAGTCATAGTATCTCACATATTCTACCCGTATCATCAAAATGCAGTCCTGATAAAAATCTCATGAAAGTACACTAATTTCAGGAAGAATAACAGTATTTACTATCAGACCATTAAAAAAATTATAATTAAAACTTACCTCACAATTTTGTTCCTCATCTTTGAACAATCATCATCTTTATCACTAACTGTTTTTTCAATTGTAGAAATACTGTTTCTGATGACTAGGATTATATATAGTTGCTGGATCACAGAATTTATGTGAAAAGTAGCACCAGCTTCTCTGAGTCCCACCAATTTTTTGGTGGGCAGGATCCAACAGAGGGCAGATATTCCTGTTCACTGAGTGCTTCACAAGCTAAGAAAAAATAATGCTTATGCAACAAAAATAATGATTTTACCCATTGTTCTCTTAATCAGGCTGTGAAATTTATTCTATGAGGCTAACACAGCCATTTTGAAAGAGTACTTTAAACTTTTACATCAGCAATGTGAGCCACCATAAAGACTATTGCATGCAGACTTTTTAAGTCCACATTTTTAACGGCATTGTTTTTGCAACAATTTTCTTAGAAAGAGTCATACACGATGATATAATATTAAATTCTCATGTGTTAAACAGAGACTTAGCATTAATCGTTATGACTTTACATATTAAAAAACTTTTGCACTTAAAATAAGTGTATACAATACACTTCCATCAGAACTTTATATAAATAGAACATTAGCGTTTTCTCAGTTTTAATGGAGCACTTCATTTAAATTATTGTTCTGACTCATAAAAACTATAACCTTCACATAAATATCACTTTCTTCCTCAGCTGATAGTGATAATTGCTTTATATATCTTCACAGTTTTATTGTGAGAAGAAGTCAATTAGATGGTGTCTTTAAAATACCTGTGAAAATTGTAAATGCTACTTTTTGTAAAACAGAATACAACTTACACATCACTCCATCTTACAGGTGGATTGCATAAATTAGAACATATTGAACTTCAAGTTATGTAGCTTCAAAACAGAATTAAACAGATCTTCATGTATTGACAGGTGTGTGACTAAGTACAAAACAAGGTTAACCATATTGTATATTGCTTATGCTCATTTCCATAAAAAAAAAATAGCTAAGCATTTGAAGATGCGCATATACCTAAAAGAAAATCTCTGGACCAGAAATATATTATTGGTGACAAGTTCATAGTTTTTACTGCATGTCCTCTTATATATTTGAAAATATATATTAATCACAAGAAAACAGTGGCTAAATAGTTTAAACAAATACTATTTTTTGTTTGTTTAAAAAACTCTTTTGAAAATATATATTTACTATTCCAATACAATAGTTAAACAAAAAAAAGTGTTTTCAAAAAGGAAATTCTTCTCTCTACGTAGATCCTACAGAACACATAAACATCTGAAATTTTGAGTAGTGAGTTTAGCTAGAAACTCCTACAATGTATTAAAAAATATACTCACAGAGAAAAAATATAAAGAAATATAATTTCACATTTCCAATGAAATATCTGTACAGAATGCTTTGTTAATTATATTCTTAACTCTCAGGTTTCTCTTGAAATAAACTAAATTTCAGGTTATCGTTTGTTAACTTACTTACATTGGTTCCCACTCTGAATTGCAGTTTTGTGTAAGATTTCAACATTGCTACCCATTTTGTTTAATTAATATGGACATTTAAAAGTAATAAAATGCACTCAAATGTTCTCTTCTCACATTATGATTTTTAAAAAAACACCACCCGGAATATAAGTAAAATAAATTAAGCAACTATAATGTTTGGGTTATGAAAATCTTTTTAAAGAATACGTTTTAAATATAAACTTTTTGTAGCATTACATTTGGTTTCTTGTTATTCTAAAGGGTTAATTTTTTTTTTTCACATATGACTAAATAAAACCCACTGTGGTAAAGTACCAAAACCAAGTATAGAAGAGAAGTTAAGAAATACATGCTTATTAAAAAATTAATGTTCTCTTACTTAAATGGCTTTAATTATATACCTGATGACTACAAAATAGTAAACTAGTTGACCAAAAACAAACAAACAAAAAAAATGAGTTAATTTTTCTAAAGGAAATAATAGAATTTTAAACAAAAGTGTGATTAATGAACAAAACTGCTTTATAATTTAAAATACTCACAGTTTTTGCTTTGTCTACGTAATATGTTTCAGTCAAACAGTGTAGCATCAATGTGAAATTTTTTACACAGCCAATAGCTGCTGCTGCAAGTAGCTCAAAACCAGAGTTTATGGTAATGGGTGACTTACAGACTAGAACAGCCTTCTCTGTTAGCAGTTCTTTGCTTGTCATATATTGCAGGTGAACTTTAGGTGCAGGGAAGATGAAAAAAATTAATTTCTCATATGTTAGAAAAAATAATCACATATTATTAGTAGAAAAGTTAGGTTATAAAAACTTCCTTTTCAAAGAAAATACCTTTAAGTTCATTTCACATAATTGAACATCTCAATGTATCTTGAAGCGATTTTGAGTTTTCTTACAAAAGAAAATCCTGGAGGGCAGCCAAGATGGCTGAAAAGGAACAGCTCCGGTCTACAGCTCCCAGCATGAGTCATGGAGAAGACGGGTGATTTCTGCATTTCCATCTGAGGTACCCAGTTCATCTCACTAGGGAGTGCCAGATAGTGGGCGCACGTCAGTGGGTACAGTGCACCATGAACGAGCTGAAGCAGGGCGAGGCATTGCCTCACTCAGGAATTGCAAGGGGTCAGGGAGTTCCCTTTCCTAGTCAAAGAAAGGGGTGACAGACGGCACCTGGAAAATCGGGTTACTGCCACCCTAATACTGCACTTTTCCAGTGGGCTTAAAAAATGGCACACCAGGAGATTATATCCCACACCTGGCTCAGAGGATCCTACGCCCACAGAGTCTCGCTGATTGCTAGCACAGCAGTCTGAGATCAAACTGCAAGGCTGCAGCAAGCCTGGTGGAGGGGCGCCCGCCATTGCTGAAGCTTGCTTAGGTAAACAAAGCAGCTGGGAAGCTCAAACTGGTTGGAGCCCACCACAGCTCAAGGAGGCCTGCCTGCCTCTGTACGCTCCACCTCTGGGGGCAGCGCACAGACAAACATAAAGACAGCAGTAATCTCTGCAGACTTAAATGTCCCTTTCTGAGAGCTTTGAAGAGAGCAATGGTTCTCCCAGCACGCAGCTGGAGATCTGAGAATGGGCAGACTGCCTCCTCAAGTGGGTCTCTGACCCCTGATCCCCAAGCAGCCTAACTGGGAGGCACCCCTCAGTAGGGGCAGACTGACACCTCACATGGCCAGGTACTCCTCTGAGAAAAAACTTCTAGAGGAACGATCAGACAGCAGCATTCGCGGTTCACGAAAATCTGCTGTTCTGCAGCCACCGCTGCTGATACCCAGGCAAACAGGGTCTGGAGTGAACCTCTAGCAAATTCCAACAGACCTGCAGCTGAGGGTCCTGTCTGTTAGAAGGAAAACTAACAAACAGAAAGGATATCCACATCAAAAACCCATCTGCACATCACCATCATCAAAGACCAAAGGTAGATAAAACCACAAACATGGGGAAAAAACAGAGCAGAAAAACTGGAAACTCTAAAAAGCAGAGCACCTCTCCTCCTCCAAAGGAATGCAGTTCCTCACCAGCAATGGAACAAAGCTGGATGGAGAATGACTTTGACGAGTTGAGAGAAGAAGGCTTCAGACAATCAAACTACTCCAAGCTACAGGAGGAAATTCAAACCAAAGGCAAAGAAGTTAAAAACTTTGAAAAAAATTTAGACGAATCTATAACTAGAATAACCAACATGGAGAAGTGCTTAAAGGAGCTGATGAAGCTGAAAGCCAAGGCTTGAGAACTACATGAAGAATGCAGAAGCCTCAGGAGCCAATGTGATCAACTGGAAGAAAGGGTATCAGTGATGGAAGATGAAATGAATGAAATGAAGGGAGAAGGGAAGTTTAGAGAAAAAATAATAAAAAGAAATGAACAAAGCCTCCAAGAAATATGGGACTACGTGAAAAGACCAAATCTACAACTGATTGGTGTACCTGAAAATGACAGGGAGAATGGAACCAAGTTGGAAAACACTATGCAGGATATTATCCAGGAGAACTTCCCCAATCTAGCAAGGCAGGCCAACATTCAGATTCAGGAAATACAGAGAACACCACAAAGATACTCCTCGAGAAGAGCAACTCCAAGACACATAATTGTCAGATTCATCAAAGTTGAAATGAAGGAAAAAATATTAAGGGCAGCCAGAGAGAAAGGTCAGATTACCCACAAAGGGAAGCTCATCAGACTAACAGCGGATCTCTCGGCAGAAACTCTACAAGCCAGAAGAGGGTGGGGGCCAATATTCAACATTCTTAAAGAAAAGAATTTTCAACCCAGAATTTCATAACCAGACAAACTAAGTTTCATAAGTGAAGGAGAAATAAAATACTTTACAGACAAGCAAATGCTGAGAGATTTTGTCACCACAAGGCCTGCCTTGTAGGGCTCCTGAAGGAAGCACTAAACATGGAAAGGAACAACCGGTACCAGCCACAGCAAAATCATGCCAAATTGTAAAGACCATTAGGCTAGGAAGAAACTGCATCAACTAATGAGCAACACAACCAGCTCACATCATAATGACAGGATCAAATTCACACATAACAATATTAACTTTAAACATAAGTGGACGAAATGATCCAATTAAAAGACACAGACTGGCAAATTGGATAAAGAGTCAAAACCCATCAGTGTGCTGTATTCAGGAAACCCATCTCACGTGCAGAGATACACATAGGCTCAAAATAAAAGGATGGAGGAAGATCTATCAAGCAAATGGAAAACAAAACAAGGCAGGGGTTGCAATCCTAGTCTCTGATAAAACAGACTTTAAACCAACAAAGATCAAAAGAGACAAAGAACACCATTACATAATGGTAAAGAGATCAATTCAACAAGAAGAGCTGCCTATCCTAAATATATATGCTCCCAATACAGGAGCACCAAGATTCATAAAGCAAGTCCTCAGTGACCTACAAAGAGACTGAGACCCCCACACAATAATAATGGGAGACTTTAACACCCCACTGTCAACATTAGACAGATCAATGAGACAGAAAGTTAACAAGGATATCCAGGAATTGAACTCAGCTCTGCACCAAGTGGACCTAATAGATATCGACAGAAGTCTCCACCCCAAGTCAACAGAATATACATTTTTTCAGCACCACACCACACCTATTCCAAAATTGAATAGTTGGAAGTAGACCTCTCCTCAGCAAATGTAAAAGAACAAAAATTATAACGAACTGTCTCTCAGACCACAGTGCAATCAAACTAGAACTCAGGATTAAGAAACTCACTGAAAACGGCTCAACTACATGGAAATAGAACAACCTGCTTCTGAATGACTACTGGGTACATAATGAAATGAAGGCAGAAATAAAGATGTTCTTTGAAACTAACGAGAACAAAGACACAAAATACCAGAATCTCTGGGACACATTCAAAGCAGAGTGTAGAGGGAAATTTATAGCACTAAATGCCCACAAGAGAAAGCAGGAAAGATCCAAAATTGACACCCTAACATCACAATTAAAAGAACTAGAAAAGCAAGAGCAAACACATTCAAAAGCTAGCAGAAGGCAAGAAATAACTAAGATCAGAGCAGAACTGAAGGAAATAGAGACACAAAAAACCCTTCAAAAAATTAATGAATCCAGGAGCTGGTTTTTTGAAAAGATCAACAAAATTGATAGACCATTAGCAAGACTAATAAAGAAGAAAAGACAGAAGAATCAAATAGACACAATAAAAAATGATAAAGGCTATATCACCACTGATCCCATAGAAATACAAACTACCATCAGAGAATACTACAAACACCTCTATGCAAATAAACTAGAAAATCTAGAAGAAATGGATAAATTCCTTGACACATACACCCTCACAAGACTAAACCAGGAAGAAGTTGAATCTCTGAATAGACCAACAACAGGCTCTGAAATTGTGGCAATAATCAATAGCTTACCAACCATAAAGAGTCCAGGACTAGATGGATTCACAGTCGAATTCTACTAGAGGTACAAGGAGGAACTGGTATCATTCCTTCTGAAAATATTCCAACCAATAGAAAAAGAGGGAATCCTCCCTAACTCATTTTATGAGGCCAGCATCATCCTGGTACCAAAGCCAGGCAGAGACACAACCAAAAAAGAGAATTTTAGACCAATATCCTTGATGAACATTGATGCAAAAATCCTCAATAAAATACTGGCAAAGTGAATCCAGCAGCACGTCAAAAAGCTTATCCATCATGATCAAGTGGGCTTCATCCCTGGGATGCAAGACTGGTTCAATATACACAAATCAATAAATGTAATCCAGATATAATCAGAACCAAAGACAAAAACCACATGATTATCTCAATAGTTGCAGAAAAGGCCTTTGAAAAAATTCAACAATGTTTCATGCTAAAAACTCTCAATAAATTAGGTATTGATGTGACATATTTCAAAATAATAAGAGCTATCTATGACAAACCCACAGCCAGTATCATACTGAATGGGCAAAAACTGGAAGCATTCCCTTTGAAAACTGGCACAAGACAGGAATGCCCTCTCTCACCACTCCTATTCAACATAGCGTTGGAAGTTCTGGCCAGGGCAATTAGGCAGGAGAAGGAAGTAAAGGGTATTCAATTAGGAAAAGAGGTAGTCAAATTGTCCCTGTTTGCACATGACATGATTGTATATCTAGAAAACCCCATTGTCTCAGCCCAAAATTTCCTTAATCAGATAAACAACTTCAGCAAAGTCCCAGGATACAAAATCAATGTACAAAAATCACAAGCATTCTTATACACCAATAACAGACAAACAGAGAGCCAAATCATGAATGAACTCCCATTCACAATTGCTTCAAAGAGATTAAAATACCTAGGAATCCAACTTACAAGGGATGTGAAGGACCTCTTCAAGGAGAACTACAAACCATTGCTCAATGAAATAATAGAATACAAAGAAATGGAAAAACATTCCATAGTCACGGGTAGGAAGAATCAATATCGTGAAAATGGCCATACTGCCCAAGGTAATTTATTGATTCAATGCCATTCCCATTGAACTACCAATGACTTTCTTCACAGAGTTGGAAAAAACTACTTTAAAGTTCATTTGGAAGCAAAGAAGAGCCTGCATCGCCAAGTCAATCATAAGCCAAAAGAACAAAGCTGGAGGCATCACGCTACCTGACTTCGAACTATACGACAAAGCTACAGTAACCAAAAGAGCACGGTACTGGTACCAAAACAGAGATATAGATCAATGGAACAGAACAAAGCCCTCAGATATAATGCCGCATATCTACAACTATCTGATCTTTGACAAACCTGAGAAAAACAAGCAATGGGGAGAGGATTCCCTAGTAATAAATGGTGCTGGGAAAACTGGCTATCATATGTAGAAAACTGAAATTGGATCCCTTCCTTACACCTTATACAAAAATTAATTCAAAATGGAATAAAGACTTAAACATTACACCTAAAACCATAAAAACCCTAGAAGAAAACCTAGGCATTACCATTCAGGACATAGGCATGAGCAAGGACTTCATGTCTAAAACACCAAAAGCAATGGCAACAAAAGCCAAAACTGACAAATGGGATCTAATTAAACTAAATAGCTTCTGCACAGCAAAAGAAACTACCATCAGAGTGAACAGGCAACCTACAAAATGAGAGAAAATTTTCACAACCTATTCATCTGACAAATGGCTAATATCCAGAATCTACAATGAACTCAAACAAATTTACAAGAAAAAAACAAACAACCCCATCAAAAAGTGGGCGAAGGACATGAACAGACACTTCTCAAAACAAGACATTTATGCAGCCAAAAATCACATGAGAAAATGCTCACCATCACTGGCCATCAGAGAAATGCACATCAAAACCACCATGAGATACCATCTCATACCAGTTAGAATGGCAATCATTAAAAAGTCAGGAAACAACAGGTGCTGGAGAGGATGTGGAGAAATATGAAAACTTTTACACTGTTGGTGGGACTGTAAACTAGTTCAACCATTGTGGAAGTCAGTGTGGCGATTCCTCATGGATCTAGATCTAGAAATACCATTTGACCCAGCCATCCCATTACTGGGTATATACCCAAAGGAATATAAATCATGCTGCTATAAAGACACATGCACATGTATGTTTATTGTGGCACTATTCACAATAGCAAAGACTTGGAACCAACCCAAATGTCCAACAACGATAGACTGGATTAAGAAAATGTGGCACATATACACCATGGAATACTATGCAGTCATAAAAAATAATGAGTTCATGTCCTTTGTAGGGACATGAATGAAATGGGAAATCAGCATTCTCAGTAAACTATCGCAAGGACAAAAAAGCAAACACTGCATGTTCTCACTCATAGGTTGGAATTGAACAATGAGAACACATGGACACAGGAAGGAGAACATCACACTCTGGGGAATGTTGTGGGGTGGGGGCAGTGGGGAGGGATAGCATTAGGAGATATATCTAATGTTAAATGACGAGTTAATAGGTGCAGCATACCAGCATGGCACATGTATATATATGTAACTAACCTGCACAATGTGCACATGTACCCTAAAGCTTAAATTATAATAATAATAAAAGAAAAGAAAAGAAAATCCTGAGGAAAATAACACAAGTACAATCAACTAATGTAATTAATTATCCAAATTAGTTTTTTAAAGAAATTTCTAATCATGTTTACACACAGCAAATTAACATTCTAAATATACCTACTATTTTAATTACAGATTAATAAAAATAAATTCATTTTCAAGTATAAGAAAATACATTAAAATGATACCATTTGCTTTAATTATGAGACATATAAAGAAACTCATCAAAAATATAATATAGAAAATAAGGTTTTGCAAGAGGGATTTTTTTGAATTAGAATTTCAATCAGGGGCCAAGCATGGTGATTCACACATGTAATTCCAGTACTTTTGGAGGCCAAGGCAGGCAGAGTACTTGAGGTCTGGAGCTTGAGACAAGTGTGGCCAATATGCTAAAAATCCATCAGGTGTGGTGGTGTGCATCTGTATTCTCAGCTATTCAAGAAGCTGAGGAAGAATAAATACTTGAACCTGGGAGGCAGGGGGTTGCAGTGTCCTACGATTGCACCACTGCACTCCAGCCAAAGAGATAGTGTGAGATTTCATTCTAAAAATAAAAGAAAAGAAATTCAATCAGCTAAAAATTGAGATATACTATTTATTTGCTTTTCAATGCAGTTTGTGACGGTGCTGATTTGTAATTACAAAATGTTTTAAATAATGTGTGGCACACGTTTTAAAGCTACTATAACCTCACATCTGGAAAAAAAAAAGCTTTTTATTTATATTTAATTAATTTAATATTGTTTTATATTAAGTTCCACGGTACCTGCAGGACACCCTGGTATATTTCACAAATGACAGAATGTTAGGATAGCAGCAAGTTAGAGAAAATATCAGGATTTTAGAATAGTCAAAAATTAGAGAAAAATGACATCTCATATAAAATTTATGCAAAATTTTTTTAAGACGGAGGTTTGCTCTTGTCATACAGGCTGGAGTGCAATGGTGTGATCTCAGCTCACTGCAACTTCCACCTCCCAGATTTAAGTGATTTTCCTGCCTCAGTCTCCTGAGTAGTTGGGATTACAGCTGTCCACCACCACACCCAGCTGATTTTTCTTTGTGTGTGTGTGTGTGTGTGTGTAATTTTAGTGAAGACGAGGTTTTACCCTATTGACCAGGTTGGTCTAAAACTCCTAAACTCAGGTGATCCTCCTACCTCAGTCTCCAAAGTTTCTGGGATTACAGGTGTGAACCACCTCTCCTGGCCTCTGCAAAATTTTAAAAAGTGGCTTTTAATTTCTTCTTCAGAACTCTCTAGAATAGTAAATGCCAACAATTTAGATTCCATGAGACACAAATATGTTAGGGTATTTCAACCACAGAAAATGGTTTTTAGTATTGCATGTAGCAGAAAATGCCAGAAATGCTGCTCATCATATTACAATCCCGAGCAAAAGTGAGTCTCAAACAGAAATTATATTAAGTACACAACATCAAAGCCCAGGAATTAGAAATACTCTTTCATAAGTAAGCTTCATAATCTACTAGGAGAATGCTGATCTGAACTCCAATGCCATGCTGCACATCATGGTGGGTTCCTGTAATTCCAGCTCTGTGGGAAGCAGAGGCAGGAGGTACAATGAGCTGAGAAAATGCCATTGCACTCCAGCTTGGATGACAAAAGTGAAACTCCATCCTAAAATAATGCAGTGTACATAAGACCAATCACGTTGTTCAATACAAATAATAATTTTTCAAATTTGATTCTGTAAAAATTTTGAAAGATAATCATTTGCAAATGAGGTTAAAAAATACCAAAATATAGGACGCTGAATAATCATTATTTCATGAACCGAAAAAAGTAAGCCATTTAAACATAACCAGCTATGCTTCTATTGCTATGGGATTTTACGGGAGTCACTTTGCCAGATGAAAACCTCTGTGACCAGTGGTGCCTTTCCCTGAGCTTTAATCAGGCCTGCAAAGTTGTTCTACCCACACTACCTGACATGCTGCACTCAGCTGGTGTTAACAGCCAGGAGTTATCACCTGCCAAGGGCAAACATGGATGAGTGGTGAGTGGTGTATGAGCAAGTGTGGACTCCAGCTGCTAAACATGATCAGTCATGCCAGCTGTATCAGACCAGGAAGTTTTAGGTGCCAAGATAACTGCTAGATCATTGAAAAACTGCAGCTGGACCAGGCCTACTGCAAGCAGCTTCCACAGCTGATACTGGGGAATGTAGTGATACCCAGAATCTTGCAGATGCCGGAAAAAGTAAAGCCCCAAAGGGTGTGATGGCTCTCCCTGGCTTTGAGAGCTCCTAGGTCTGTGAACACTGAAAGGCCACAGCTCTTGTTTTATTTTTGTCTTACCACAATGTGATAAGCAAGGGGAAACTTTTATCCCTGTTTGTGTTCCAGGTCATTCAGCTCTGCCATTCAGATAATCTCAAATTATGTTTCTGCTTCCAGGAAGAATGTGGTTCATGCTGCCATCAGCCCTTTCACTTGTTTCTGTAGAGATAATCCCTGTGCTGGTTATGGCAACAGTCATGACCTCTCCTAGAAGATGCTTGAGTTTTCATTCTACTCATCACGTAGAATTCTCTGACCCTGGCTATAATCCTTGAAATCTTGGTTTCCATTTGGCTTGGTTATTGTAAAATCTTAGCAAAGTTTATGTCATAAGACATTTAATATTTGTCTTATGACAATCATTATGCCTAGTGTGTATGCATAATGAATTGCACTAATGCACGTATATGTATCTGTATTCTGTATGACTTCCAGTTGTATTCAAGATTAGTTCTGTCCCAAAAGCCTTTGAGTGTTCTCCATGATATCCCAAAAACAGAGTGTGCCTAGGGTTTTATTTGGCTATATTAGTGTTTTACAGAAATATTTAAAATTAATGGGAAAGAAAGGTGGAGAAAAAAGGAAATAGATAGTTTACTTTCTTTTTTTTTTTTTTTTTTTTTTTTTTTGGAGATGGAGTCTCACTCTCTCACCCAGGCTGGAGCGCTGTGGCACCACCTCCTGGATTCATGCCATTCTCCTGCCTCAGCCTCCTGAGTAGCTGGGATTACAGGCACCCGCCACCATGCCCAGCTAATTTTTTTTTTTTGTATTTTTAGTAGAGATGGGGTTTCACCGTGTTAGCCAGGATGGTCTTGATGTCCTGACCTTGTGATCGGTCCACCTTGGCTTCCTAAAGTGCTGGGATTATAGCCACCGCACCTGACCTACAGTTTACTTTCTAATTCTTGATTAACTGAACTGACTTCACTTTACTAACAGTTACCCTAACTTGAATCAAATGAACTTTACAAGAGCTTCTTAAAATCCTTCTGATTTACAGAAACCAAAGATTGAGTTAAGTAACCTTGAAAATATAAAATCAATGTTTTCTAAAAAGTGTGCTTCTTTTTACAATTTTCTGGAGAGATAGTTCAATACTGTTAATTGCTGAAAGGTGCCTGAGACTAGATTTTAAGATATTCAACAGCATTTCTAGCCTCTTGGCACTAGAGGCTAGTAATAATCTTACCAATTCCACTTCCAGTCATGAACTTGGCTTAGAGTAAAACTAATGTAAAATCTACTGACCTATGGAAATCCTAGACAATCACATCGACTGTGTGTTTCCCCTATAATCTCATTGTCTACAGTCATTTTCCTTCCATAGTCTGTTCCATCCACAGTGACCTGGTTGTTTTTCAAACAATTTATGCAGGCTTCTGCCAGAGATCATCACACTTGTAAATCTTGCTGCATGCCTACATAATTATTCCCTTATTGTTTTATTTAGATAGGTACTTGAAAGTCACTTTGTAAACAAATAATTGTATACATGTTTTACATAAAACCAAGTTGTAATTCATAATACTGAATATTGTCCTTGCCTTTTATATGAAATTGATAACATCAATTAATAAAAAGCAAACAACAAACTTCATACTGTAACCACTAAAACAAAAACCTAACAATTAGAAACACCAATTAGAAGTGTAAAATTCAATTTAAGCATTTTAAACAATATTTTCATGGGACAAATAATAGATCTCCTAAATAAAAATAAACTCTGACATTACAAAACAATCAGTGCTTCCCACATAAAAATGAGGGCAAAACTGCAGGGCTGGCAGCAGATTCAAACCATTCAAAGAAACATCAAACCAATCAAAAACTGTCTGAACCCTGTAAATCAGTGGTTTGTATCAATCAAGAAACCATCAAAAGAGACAATTTTAAAGTAGTAAATATTTTTTTGGATTGCCATACTACCTCCCAGGCACAGATGAAGGCTTCGAAATTGAAATCTGCATTTTCCATTTCAGGCCCTGGTTCCTAATTCTGGGAGGAGTGAAGAAGCACTTGTGTGCTAATTTATTGCGTTTGTTGTAGTCTTTCTAGAAGAAAAATAAAGAATTGATGAAACGTATTTATTTCTGTTTTGTCAAACTCAGAAGTCACTCTTGGTTGAAAATACCAGGAATTGGTCACAAACAAAATGTTAAGTTGTTGAAAGCAATAATACAGTTATTTCATACAATAGACAATACAACAGATTTGTTAATACAGATCAAGTTTTTAAAAAAATAATAGTTTTTATATTGCTGTTATTCGTAATGCTAATGGAATGCATTCTAAGCTATCAATAACTAAAAAAAAACACCTTAGAGAAATCAAGAAAATCTATATCTTGTAAAAATAATACTCAAGCAAAAAATGTCTAGATATAGAAAATCTAAAAGAATGTGTGATTAACCATTCCCTAAAAAAAAATGCTATTACTATTGCAATCCTGGCAAAGTTAGCTATTACTATTACAGATCTCATAAGCAGCTATTACATAAAAATTTACAAATTTACATTAATGGACACTCAGGGTGTACAGATATAATCTGACTCAATTTATATTGAGAAAGATAGAAAAGTACAGGAGCAGCATATATTTATAGTGTTGAAATTAAAATTTTGATTATTCAAACAAGTTAATATTATTCAAAGAAGATTATATTATGTTTAGAATATAATTAAAATCCCAAATATAACTAATAATGACATGAAAATAATAAAAAAGGTTTAAAAAGTTAACTTTTTTTAATGGACAAAGGATTAATTGAGGATCAAATAAGAAAAATAACATAAAAAAAGTAAATAAATGTCACAGTAAGTAATTTTTTTGCTTGTAATAACTGTAAATGTGAGCTCTTACATAAAAACACACAGACCGGCACAAATGCACCTTTAAAAGAAAAATTCACAAACGTGATGTCTATGCACGTCTTACTTTAGGTTCAAAGAAACAGAGATTGAAACTAAAATAATACAGGTTCTTGGGAAAGCATGACAAATTATTTTCAAACTTAGAAAAAAAATTCTGAGCCAGGTTCAGTGTCTCTCAGGAAAAAAAAAAATTTGGAGATGAAAATAAAACAACTGACATTAAAATTCATGGCCGGGCATGGTGCCTCACTCCTGTAATCCCAGCACTTTGGAGGCTGAGTTGGGTGAATCAAGAGGTCAGGAGATTGAAACCATCCTGGCTAACATGGTGAAACCCCAACTCTACTAAACACACACACACACACACACAAATTCACTAGAGGCCTGCAATCCCAGCACTTCGGGAGGCCTAGGTGGCAGATCATAAGGTCAAGAAGTCATGACTATGCTGAGGAACATGATGAAACCCCATCTGTACTAAAAATACACAAATTAGCTGGGCGTGGTGACACATATCTGTAGTCCCAGCTACTCAAGAGGCTGAGGCAGGAGAATCATTTGAACCCAGGATGCAGAGGTTGGAGTGAGCCAAGTTTGTGCCACTGCACTCCAGCCTGATGACAGAGCAAGACTCCATCCCAAATAAATAAATAAATAAATAATTACTACAGACATTTAAAAGGAGACTTGAGCATATAGAACAAAATGTCAGCAAATTGAATAAAAGAGGCAATTGAAATTATTAAGTCAAGAGGAGAAAAAAATAAAGAAATATGAAAACATCTAGAAACCAGTGTGACACCATCAAGCAGACCTACTTATGCCTCTTAGAAATTCAAGGAGAAGAGACAAAGAAATAGGGAGACTAAAAAAAAGTGGTCAAAAATGTTACAAATTTAAGGTAATAAATATCTAAGAAACTCCACAAACTCCAAGTAAAATAAACTCAAAGAAACACACTCAAACATACATGATAGTTAAACGGTCTAAAACAAAGACAAAGAGAATCTTGAAAGCAGCGAGAGAAATCTTGACTAGTATTGTACAAAAAACCCTCATAAATAATAGGGGAATGTCTAAAAATTCAGAGTAGCCTCATATATTCCAAGTGCAGTAAGAAAAAACTTTCAAAGAGAAATGTTATGTTTAAACAAAGTGTCCATCAAAAGTGAGTGAGAAGTTATGAAATTCCCAAATAAAAGCCACATTCTTTTGCCAGTAGACAACCATTTAAGAAATGCCTTATGGATTATTCCGGGGTAAAATGAAAGGACACTGAACAGAAATATTAATAAACAAAGAATAAAGTACAGATAAATATATGAACAACTACAAAAGATAAAAAAAAATGTGTACCTTCACAATATGTTCTCCACATAATTTAATACACTATTTTATTTTAAAAAACTCACTAGCTTGTGTTTTTGAGATAGAATGCATATTGTTATCATTTTGAGAACTCAGTAATTGAAATAAAGCAGGCCATGCTATAAAGGAGTAAGAGTTTTTTATGTTAACTGAGAATAAACTAATGTGATTTCAGTGTTTTACTTTTAGAATGTTCAATATAATCACTGGAGCAACTACAAAGCAAAGAGTTATAGCCAGGTAGAAAGCTCTCTGCACTACACCAGAAAGTAGGAGTACCTGAGGCTACCTTGTCAGACACCTTGGCATGATAAACAGAACCCTGAGCTGTCCCAACATGGAATAAGTGAGGAGATACTAAGGCAAATAGCATAGCTGCTTCTTCACACAACTTTTACTACACCAGTGGCCACAAAGCGGAACAGGCTCATCCATACCCAGGGCTGGTGCAGAAATGGAGGCAGAAAGCAGTGACTATGTGGAGACTCAACAGAAAGAAAAATGACACAATAATGGCTCCAATTCTATCTCTTCCTTCATGGCATCCCAGGAGTTTGAGATTGAAACTGTTGTTGACGAAAGACAAGACAAAAATGGGAAGGCAGAGTATTTCATTCAGTGGAAAGGCTGTGACAAACAGGATAACACTTGGGGAGTGGAGCAGCACTTCATAAACTGTGAAAAATGTATTTATGACTTTAACAGATGACAGATTAAAAAACAGAAAAAGAAGGACACGGACTGGAAACAAGCAGAACATTGTCAAGCAAGGCCATAAAAGGAACTTCCAGATCTACCAACTCCAACTTTTTTAAGAACCTTCCTAAAACGCTAGTGACTTGCAAACACACATCCAAAAACTGCCAGTTGTTTGCTACCAACCACAACGCTAGGAGAAACACAGCTTCACCTCTCTTCGACCCAAGGAATATGGAGCTAAGAAATTAAACTATCAAGACACTTGCACTTTTAACAGCAAGAACACAGTGGATTTCAATAACTCGGGAAACTGGATCCTATTTTGCTGGATCAGCAGGACACCATGGTGCTCAAGGTGGCAGCTGAGAACCCCTTCAGGGCTGTATTATGTCCTGGTGCAGAACAGACTGGAGGAGAAAACAGGTGCAAGATACACCCACTAATGTCTCAGGGGTCTGGCTTGGTTACTGCTTCCATGGTTACAGGCCTAGCCAGCAAAGAAGGTACATTGGTATAAGCAATTCCACGAACAGCCAACAGAACAAAAAACTTGCATATATTTGTTCCAAGTGTGAGAGGGGGGCAAAGAAAGATTATTGATGATGAAAAAGACCAGCCTTTTGTCAAAAGCATGTATTTTACCATAAGGCTAACAGAAAATGCCAGTAGACTCGGAGACATTTCGGTGAGGGAAAATGATGGCTTTACCCAGAAACTATCAACAAGATTGACAGAGAATAACTCACTAAATATAGAAGTAATGAAAAAAATCAAGAATGTTCTGCATAGGGCTGCTGCAGATGACAGGAAGTTTATGCTGCCCACTCCAGCTGGTTGTGTCCTTTGCTGAGGTCTTGATTTTGTGTGTATTTAAGAAATGACAGAAACAGAGCAAGCATTGAAATAGTGGATACCATAAAGAACACTGTGAATAATTTCATTCAGTTTGAGAAGCCAATTGTATCAGCCAATAGCCCAGCCATTTGACTAGCTGCATCCATACTGCCTCTTTGTGATTTGGTTAAAAGGCTTGGTTTTAAACCCCTTCTGTGACTTTTGGACCGACCCCAGGTGGCTTGTTTACCATTAAATTTCACAAGATGATGGATGAAGCATCGGCCAAGGTAATGTTGATTGGTGGGAGAAAGCTGAAAGCATGGGAGGCATGTGCCACAGACCTGGTCTCTCAGGTGTCTTGAACTGTAACTTTTCCCCCAAGTGGTTATGATACAAATTAAGGGATTTGCTTCATATAATTCAGTTGTGCTAGAGAAAAATAATGCCCTTATTTACTGTAACATTAAGATGAAGTTGAAAGAGGCCAATGAGAGAGAGTGATGTGCCAAAAAAATCTGAATCTGAGCACAAGGAATAGAATCTATGTTCAAGTATATGCAAAGGAAAATTGATAAGTTTTAATAGTCAGTCTGTCTGCTCAGGACACAAAAACTGAGCTGAGCAAAATACATCATTAGCTGCAAGATTGATTAATTTATTTTAATAGCCCTAAACAATATCACGCATTCCTGCTATGGGTGAGCCAGGCACAGAGTAGAGAGAGATCTTTGAATGAGCAACTGTTGAGTCCAGCCACTTGCCACCTCCAAGCATGTCAGCTGTGATAAGGTGAGAAGTTCCAGGTACCAGATCAGGAGCCAGGTCCCTACTTATTTTTGGCTGGATCAGGCATACCATAACCTGTTTCCTCCAGAGGCACTCAGGAATGCCATGGCATCCAGAAGCTTAGAAATTCCAGAAACTGCAAAGACCCAAAGATTGTGTTACAGACCTGGCTTAGAAAAGGTTTCAGCCTGGGTTCTTTAAGGGCTGAACCTCTTCTATCTTTTTTTTTCCTGTAATCAACAATATTGTAAGTGTGGGTTTCTGTGTTTCAGCCTTGTGCACCATTAAGTGGGTCGTGAGTTCTTGATGCATATCCAGGGAGAATGAGGTATTTGGACAACAGGAGAATAATCAAGGTAAATAGATGCTTTATTGGATGAAGGTACAGCTCTCAAGAGAGAAAATGGGTAACTGCATTTCAAAAACAGGACATATCTACATCTGTGCAAGACTCAGTGAAGACAGGAGCGAGAGTGAACAGTTTCAGTGGAAAAGCAGGTTTTTAAAACATCTCTGAAGGCCTCAGTGGAGAGAAGCTTCAGAGTGGGTAGCTTCTATCTGCAGGAAGTTTGTTGAGATGTATCTGCAGCTTTAAGTTTGGAGGAGACTTATCTATTTGCAGCCATGCAATCCCAAGAAGTGTACAACCCACAGCAGAGAAGTGGCATATAGTTGGTAGCTCCACTTTAAGTCAAGTTATTTCAAAATCTGATGCTGGGCATGGTGGCTCACTTGTGTGTTCCCAGCACTTCGGGAGGCCAAGGCCGATGAATCACTTGAGGTTCAAATTCAAGGCCAGCCTGACAAACATAGAGAAACCCCATCTCTAATAAAAATACAAAATTAGTTAAGTGTGATGGTGTATGCCTTTAATCCCAGCTACTCAGGAGCTGAGGCAAGACAATCACTTGAAAGTGGGAAGTGGAGGTTGTGGTAAGGCGAGTTCACACCATAGTACTCCAGTCATGGCAACAAGAGCGAAACGCTGTCTCCAAAAACAAATAAATAAATAAATAAATACATAAAATGAATAAACAAATAAATAAATAAATAATCTAAATTCGTATG
This sequence comes from Homo sapiens, assembly GCF_000001405.40. Lineage (NCBI taxonomy): Eukaryota > Metazoa > Chordata > Mammalia > Primates > Hominidae > Homo > Homo sapiens. Next base: position 17,724,450 of record NC_000024.10, read on the forward strand.
GAGTACATATGAGCTTCAGAAGGCAGAAAGAGTGTGCTGATTCTTCCATGGGTTGAGATGGGTGAAAAAGACATCTAACCCTAAATATATCCCCTAATACTAATGCTGAAACACTAACAATAACCCTGAAGCCCTAACCCTAATCCTCATATAAACCCAACCTGAACCATTAACAAAACATATCGCTAGCCATAAATGTAACCCTACCCCAACCCATAACGCTGTACATATCCCTACACCAACCCCTAACCCTAAACCTACCCCTAACCCTAAATCTACCCTAAACCCTAACACTCACCAAAACCCTAACCTAAATACTAAACCAAACCTAACTCTAACACTAATTTTAGACAATGAACCCTAACCCCTAACTCTAACTCTAATCCCTAAAGCTAACTTCGTACCTCATCCTAAATGCAACCTTGACTGTAACCATAATACTAAAATGTGAACCTTAAAAATGTAAGCTAACACCTAACCAATATCCCTAATCAAATCTACCCTAACCCTAATTCTAACCATACATTGACCATACCCCTAATCTTAAAACCCTGACACTAACACTACTCCTAACTCTAACCCACAACCTCAAATGCAACTGCAACCATAGCTCTAACACTGAAACCTAAACTCTAACTATAATCCTATACAATAAGCCCAATCCCAAATTTAACCCTAAACCTAACCCCACTGTAACACTAAATCTAAACCCTGACACCAGGCCAAACCCTAACCCCTTCTCCTAACCCTAAGCTGACCCTAAGCCTAATTGCTAAACAATAACCCTAAAAATAAAACTGAACCTTAAACACTAACTGTAAGGCTAAACTGAAACCCTAACCAGGACATGAACCCTAAATGCTAAACCAAATCTTTATTCTTATCCTAACACTAACCCTAAACCCAAACCCTAACACTAATGCACTAACCCTCTTACCTTAACCCTCACTGTCACCTCAACTTTCACCTTTGGCACTAATCCTAATCCTCACCATGATGTTAACCCAGAACCTAACCCTACACTAACCCCAATCTCTAACTGTAAGCCTATTTCTTACTCTAAACCTAAACATAACCTGATCTTAAAATTAACAGCTAATTCTGATTCTAACCCTAGCCTTAAACATAACACCAACTACCCCTGTCCCTAATCCTAATCCTAACCATAACCCTAATCCTACCACAACACTAACCTCTAATCCAACCCCAGACCTAACCCTCAATCTAAACTTATTTCTGCAATTGTAAACCCCTATCCCTAATCCCAAACTTCTATCCCATTCTTAATGTCATCCTATCACCCTTCAAAAGAATTTTAAATATATTGTCTGTGACTCTCATCTCTAACCCCTAATGCCCATAAGAGTATACTAAACCTTAACTATTATTAACTCCAATTGAAAATTGAATTAAGCAGATGATACAACTGGGACAAAACTCTAAATGTTAATAAATATGATAATTAGATACATTATAATGTTTAACAAAATAATAGTACATGAAATTTGCTACATGGGGAAGACATTATGCACCTCAATAATTATGTTCATTTTTTAGAAAATTTAGGGTTTGTTTGTTTGTCTTTAACATTCTGAAGCCATCGTTTTTCAATGTACCATGTAAACTAAATGATGGGAAAACAGTACATGTTTATCTCAACTGTTACAGAAAATACTTAAAGTTAGTCAACATATTTAATGTTAACAACATCCAATAAACTGTGTTTCAAATTTCTTTCATATGATAAAACATCTTTATGCAAAACCTGTAACAATCAGCATCTGAATTGTTGGGAACAAAAACTTTAAGATGAGGAGCACAGCACTGATGCACACTTTCATCATTGTATTTGATACAGTACTAGAAGTTCCATCCAAAATAATTGGAAGAGAAAAATATATACGAAGCTATTGATATGTGGAAAAATAAAAGTAAAACTATCTACTCATGGATCTCATGATCTCATATACAGAAAATAAGAAAACAACAAGAAATAATAAAATCTAGTAAACAAATTAAACAAACATACAGTATAAAATATCGATACACTAAAATCTATTTCTACACACTAGCAATAAACCATATGAAAATGAAATTAACACAATAATTTTGTTTGTAAAAACAACAAGCTGTGTGTCATCCAACTTCCCTGGAATGCACAGCATCATGCAGCTAGGGGTGAAGGGTGGCCTTGGGGTGGAGTCTGCATTGCTATATTGGGACCTGTGCTGCACTCTCCGTGGGGCTAACCAGAAACTACTCATGTTCTGGGGGAGTCGAAGTAGAAACATGTAAGTACCTAATGGATGGCGAGTAGAAAATCTAGTCATTTTGAAAGCCCTAATGCCACCATGTCAAATGGATATCTTCAGAGTCATAAATTTATGGTAAAAAGAGAACATGCATGAACATCAGCAACAAAGAAAGTCATACTGAGTGGCCCAGGTCATTTTGCTGAGAAGAAAAGCATTGAGGTTAATTTGGAGGCATCCCTTCACAAGTGCTGCCAAAAGCACGGACATATTTTAACAAAATGTTTCACTACGCCTACAGCTCCATAGAAATTTCTAAATTCCCATTTCACCTGAAACTGCAGTAGAACTGTTGATGACTGTAAACTTTCAAGATTGTATATAAATACAATTAATTGATAGGATAAAATAAATTATAATAAACTGTTAATTTTTTTCAGTGTTTAAGATCTGTAGTTCAGTTTTTTTTTTTTTTTATAAATAGCACATTCCCTGTGTGAAGGGGCCTATAAAATTAATTGCAAAGAAGATTCTCTTCTGTTTTTTGCATAACAGAATTGAAATTTTTTTGCATCGTGAAAAAACTAAGGACATTTTCCCAAACAGAGAAATAAACAAATATGCCAATTCACAGGTGATTTTGCCTTATCCCTTGAATGTGACTTTAAAATGAGTAATGTCAACACAGAAAATGATGAAAATTAGGCACAAATAAAAAATTGCATTATATACATGTTCATAACTTAGCCTAAAGATTGATTTTTATCTAACCCTAACATAAATGTTTTATTGATGCCTATAATCTCAGCACTTCTTGAGGCCAAGGCAGGCAGACCACTTGAGTTCAGACATTTGAGACATGTCCAGGCAACATGGCAAACCTTTGTCTCTACCAAAAAATACAAAAAGTTAGCCAGAGATGATAGCTGAGTCTAAGGTGGAGGATCAGTTCAGCTTGGCAGTTAGAGGCTGCAGCGAGCCAGGATGGCAATTCCGCACTTCAGGCTGGGAAAAAGAATGAGACCCTGTCTCCAGAAAAAAAAAAAAAAAAAAAAAAAAAAGAAGAAGAAGAAGAAAAGGAATAAGAGTTGAAATTTTTTATGTCCTGTGATAAACCTCAGTATTGTGTAACATTGTCTTTTCATTTTGTTTACTGCTACAATTTAAGAACTTTACTTAAAAACAATTTGGGAAGGTTACTAGGTACAATATTTGAAGAAGCAACAGAACTATACCCCGATGGTCAATGAGTCAACTATATGACTTACAAGCAAAGCATCCCTGACAACTTTAAAAAGAGAAAGAATAAAAGATCTGGCAAAGTGTGGTGGCTTAGGATTTTTAGTGTTCGATTTTTTTTTTAATTTAAGAAATCCCTTTTTACTCTTAGATTAATTATAATTTATAACAATTTAATAGGTTATAGTTTTTTAAATAGAAGTGAAACACTTGTAAAAAAAAATAACTCTCACGTCCCCCCACCCACCACAGTCATCTGAATGGACCCCTCCTTTTGACCAAAGGCATTCCAAAAGTGGTTCAGTTCCCGACAAGAAAGAGGGACACACATGATTCATTACACGCTCCTCCCTTTTGAACTTTAGAAAAAGTTGACCATCATTAACAGCAATGCATACCTTAAGTCTGATAAGGAATATTTACCTTCTATTCTCTCAAGCCTGCTACATGGAGGCTTCATCATCATGATAAAACTTTGGTCTCTACAGTCCTTACTATTTATTGTAACCCAGTCATCCCTATCTGTTGATTTTATGTTTTTAGATAATAACTTAACTCTTTCAGCCAACTGCCAATGAAAACATATTTAAATCTACCTGTAACTTGAAAGTGCAGCCCCATCGCTATTTTCAAGTTGTCCATCCTTTCTTGACCAAACTAATGTACATCTTACATGTGTTTGACTGATGTCTCATGTCTCCTGAAAATGCATAAATATAGACTGTGCACACACCACCTGGGGCACATGTTCTCAAGATCTCCTGAGTATGGCTGTGTCATGGACCATTTGTCACTGATATTTGGCTCAGAATTCTTCAATTAATTTTATGTTTTAATATCAAAGGTTGATACTGTTAGTATATCTCAGCTAATGTAGGATGTCAACCTTTATAAAGTAGACATTTTCATCACCATTACAAATCCACTCTCAATTAAACTGTGATTGTCTCAGGAAAAGAAAAAATGTTGTTAACCGGGCATATACCATATATTTAAACTTAAATAATAATTCAGCTTCTAATATGCCTACTTAAAATTTTTTCTATATTGTTTCAACTACTTTAGTTCTCTAAGAAAAATGAGTCATTAAAGCATGAAAAAAGTGTTGTTGGAGGTTGTGATGTCTCCCCTGACCTCAGCCTGTCATAGTAGTTCCACTCAGCACCTCTCCTTTCTCTGTAACAGAATCTCCGCCAGAAACAAGCTCAGATCATCTGCAAACCACACTTTGGTAGCTGTGACAATGCGTGGTCACTGCCTCGCTCAAGGGACACTTTCGTAAAGTCAGAATTGGAGGCCAGGGCTGGGAAGTAAGGCTCAGAGCAGTGACCCTCCTCAGTTCTGGGTGCTGCAGACAGGGGGTCTTTTCCTCACCTGTCCACCAGATGTCTGAATGCCATGTCCTCTCCTGGGAGGGTCCTGAGGAGACGTCTTTATTCTCACCTGGTCGTAGCACCAGATGTCTTGTAGCAACGGCCACTCCTGGACATGTCCAGAAGAGAAAGAGACTTCATCTTCATGGTGGACGCGACCCCAGGTGGGCCAAAGCTGCGGCCACTCTTGGGCGGGTCCTGAGATGAAGGAGGCTTAGTCTTCACTACGAACGTGCCTCAGGTGTCCCCAGGTACCCTGAAACCACGGCCTCTCTCCGGTGTGTCTTGAGGAGAAGGAAGTGCTATCCGAGGCACTGTGAGGACACCCTGCTCCTCAGAGAGTTTGTTTGCGGGCTCTGCATGCTCAGTGCGTAGGCTCCGTGCACCCTCTGGTGGTAGCCTGGGAAAATTTCTGAAATTCGGGGTGGGTTAATCCAGGCGACAGTCTCAGGAAGTGGAAGTGAAATAGAGCCAACCTTCCCAAACCTTGAATGGGGATTAAAAAGAAGCAAAGGAGACGATCAATAGATAAAACTCAACTGATTTTTTGTCTATCAGCAATCATGAATAGAAATCATTGGAATTTGAAATATTAAAACACCACTTACAATACTACCCAAAAAATTGAGTCCTTTAAGTATAAATGTAACAAAATATGCAGAATTCATTCAGTAAACAATAAGTCACCTTTGAGAGAAATCAACAGAAATATTAGTAAATGCAGAGAGTCCTGGCATGTTGGCAGACGCCTGTAATCCCAGCACTTTGGGAGGCTGCCACAGGCAGATCACTTGAGCCAATGAGTCGGAGACCAGCCTGGGGAACAGGGTGAAACTCCAACGCTACCAAAAATACAAAAAAAAATAAGCTGAGCTTGGTGGGCACGCCTGTGTTCCCAGCTACTTGGGTCATTGAAGTGGGAGAATCTCAGTGAGTTGAGATGGTGCTACTGCACTCCAACATGGGTGACACAACTCTTTTTCAATAAATAAATAAATAAATAAATAAATAAAGAGACGTTTCTTGTTCTGGAGAAGTACATTTATGGTTATTTCAGACATATCCCAATCAAATTCCAGGTAAATATATCAACAAACTCTTCCTAAACCTAGAATAGATGAAATAAGACTAAAGAAGAACAAAGCTAAAGGAATTACACATCTGGATATGAATATTTACACTAAAGCTAATGTAATAAAGAAGAGTGTGGCATTCATAATTTAACAGACCAGCAGATAAGTGGAAGAGAATAGCCCCCAAACTGTCCCAAGTCAACTGATTTTGTCAAAAATGCGAAGAATATTCTTTGGAAAAGATAAAGCTGTTTCACAAGTGTCAAGAAAACTGCTGGAAACTATATGGAAACAAATGAACATAGACAAAAATTTTATAGTTAAAAAATTAGTCAAAAATACCCATACTTTAAATCTTTTCACTGCAAAGTTGTAATTGGAAAGTATCTTCATGGGCCTGGTTTTGGTAATTATTTATTAGCAAGTCCATGAAAGAAAAAAATGGATAATATGAACTTTATTAAAAGATGAAATGTCTTATCTGTAAAACACCCTGTTACTTTTGAAGGTCAAAGCGGACAGATCACCTGAGGACAGGAGTTGCAGGTCAGCATCGTATACATGGTGAAGTCACGTCTGTACTAAAAATAAAAAAATTTAACTGGGATTTCTGGTGTATGCCGGTAATCCTAGATGCTTAGGAGTCTGAGCAAGGAGAATCCTTTGAACTTGGGAGGTGGGGATTGCGGTGAGGCTGGTTCGGGTCATTGCACTCCAGGCTGGGTGACAAAATGAGACATCACCTCAAAAAAAAATAAGTGAAATCCGGTAAAGAGAACCAAAAAGCCAGCCACAGATAGAAAAATTTAGCAAACTAATCTGAAAAGCGACTTGTATGTACAATATACGAGGATACCCTAAAACTCAAAAAGATAAGCAACCCAATTTCAAGGTAAAACCTGAGTAGATACATCACTAAGGAAGATACAGAGATGGAAAACAGGCAGGCACACCAAACACTGTTTGCGGAAAGCCTGCTGATTCTGCTGAAGGCTGAGACTCCAAGCCATCCATGGGGAGCAGCAGTGGCTGCCAGAGGGGCAGTGGCTCCAAATACCGCCCCCACCTACCCCACTTCCGCCCTTCTTCCAGGGTCCAAGGGTCCCCAAGGCCTTGGGCATGCTCTCCTAGAAAGAGCCTGAAGCTGGATACTTTGTTTCTCGGCTTTTCTTAAAGTTCTGGAGGCTGCCAGATATCCTTAGGTTGGAAGTTTTATTTTGATCCTGAGCACCTTGCGGTACTGACAAGCATTAGGAGAGTTGGTTTTTAATCTACACTTGTCTTCATCAACAGATAAAAAAATTGGCTCCAATTGCTTTCTAGTAAATTCTTTTAAAATGTTTGGTACAACATATTTTTATTTTGCTTTCCTAGAGACACAAAGCACAAAGTATTAAGTAAAAGCCATATATGGAATAATCATAAATTCATGGATACTATTTAGTTGGTCATTTAACTTGACTATTTTTTATTATAATTTAACTTCTAGGATACATGTGCAGAACAGGCAGATTTGTTACATTGGTGTACATGTGCCACCGTGGTTTGCTGCACCCATCAACCCATCATCTAAGTTTTAAGCCCTGCATGCATTAGGTATTTGTCCTGATGATCTCCTTCCGCTTACCCCCTACTCCCTGACAGGCCCCATTGTGTCCTCATTGTTCCATTCCCACTTATGCATGAGAATAGGTAGTGTTTGCTTTTCTGTTCCTGTGTTAGCTTGCTGAGAATAATTGTTTCCAGCTCCATTCATGTCCCTGAAAAGGACATGAACTTATTCTTTTTCATGGCTGCATAGTATCCCATGGTATATATGTTCCACATTTTCTTTATCCAATCCATAATTGATGGGTATTTGGGTTTGTTCCATGTCTTTTTTGTGTCTGAATAGTGCTGCAGTAAATGTAAATGTGCATGTTTCCTTATGTAGAATGATTTATAATCCTCTGGAGGCACACCACATAATGGGATTGCTGGGTCAAATGGTATTTCTGGTTACAGATCTTTGAAGAATCACCATACTGTCTTCCACAATGATTTAACTAATTTGTACTAACACCAGCAGTATAGAGCATTCCTCTTTCTCCACATCTTCACCAGAACCTGTTGTTTCCTGACTTTTTAATGGTCACCATTCTGACCGGTGTGAGATTGTATCTCATTGTGGTTTTGATGTGCATTTCTCTAATGACCAGTGATGCTAAGCTTTTTTTTATATATGTTTGTTTGCTGATTAAATATCTTCCTTTGGGAAATGTCTGTTCATATCCTTTGCCCACTTTTTGATGGGATTTGTTTTTTATTTTGTTGTAAGTTTTTTTAAATTTCTTGTAGGTTTTTGATATTAGACTTTTTTCAGATAGATAGGTTGAAAAAATGTTCTCACATTTTGTATGTTGCCTGTTCACTCTGATGATATTTTCTTTTGCTGTGGGGAGCTCTTTAGATTAATTAGGTCCCATTTGTCAATTTTGGACGGTGTTGCAATTGTTTTTTGGTCTTTTTGCCATGAAGTTTTTGTCCATGCCTATATCCTGAATGGTATTGTGTAGATTTTCTTCTAGGGTGTTTAGGGTTTTAGGTTTTACGTTTAAGTCTTTTAGTCATCTTGAGTTAATTATGTGGTGTGAGAAAGGGATCTAGTTTCAGGTTTCTCCATATGGCTAGCCAGTTTTCCCATACCAGGGAATTCTTCCCCAGTTGCTTGTTTATTCAGGCTTGTCAAAGATCAGATCATTGTAGATGTGTGAATTACTTTAAGCAGCATGGTCACTTTCATGATATTGATTCTTCTTATTCATGAACATGATATTTTTGTGTCCTCTCTTTGAGCACTGGTTTGTAGTTCTCCATAAAGAAGTCCTTCATATTTCTTGTAATTTTTATTCTTAGTTATTTTTTTCTTTGGAGAAATTGTGAATTTGAGGTCAGTCATGATTTGATTCTCTGTTTTTCTATTATTGGTGTATAGAAATACTTGTGATTTTTGCACATTGATTTTGTAGCCTGAGATTGCTGGAGTTGCTTATAAGCTTAAGCAAACTCATACAAAAGACAAGTTTCTTGTCTACTGCTAAGTAGTTTTAGAGGTGAGATACTGGGGTATTCTAAATATACAACTATGTCCTCTAAAAACAGGGAAAATTTGATTTCCTTTATTTTTATTTGAATACCCTTTATTTGCTTCTCTTGTCTGATTGCCCTGGGTGGAACTTTCCACTCTATGTTGAATACGAGTGGTGAGAGAAGCCATCCTTGTCTTGTGCCTTGTGTTCTGTGTTTTCAAAGAAAATGTTTCCAGCTTTTGCCCATTCAGTATAATATTGCCTATGGGTTTGTCACAAATAATTCTCGTTAGTTTCTGATACATTCCATCGATACCTGGTATATTGAGTGTTTTTAGTGGGAAGGGATGTTGAATTTTATCTAAGGCCTTTTCTGCAACGAGAGAGAAAATTATGTGGTTTTTGTCTTTGGTTCTCTTTATGTGATGAATTACGTTTGTTGATTTGTATATGTTAAAACCAGCCTTGCTCGTTGGAGCTGATCTGATCGTGATGGATAAGCTTTTTGATGTGTTGCTGGATTCAGTTTGCCAGTATTTTATTGTGAATATTCACATTGATGGTCATCGGGAATACTGGCCTATTTTTTTTTTTTTTTTTTTTTTTGGTTTCTGACAGGTTTTGGTATTAAGATGATGCTGGCCTCATAAAATAAGTTCAGGAGGAGTCCCTCTCTTTCTATTGTTTGGAATAGTTTCAGAAGTAAATGACACCAGCTTTTCTTTGTACCTCTGGTAGAAGTAGTCTGTGAATCTGTCTGGTCTGGGCATTTTTTGGTTGGTAGGCTATTACTGCCTCAACTTTAGAATCTGTTGGTCTCTTCAGGGATTCTACTTTTTCCTGGTTTAGTCTTGCAGAAGTGTATGTGTCCAGGAATTTACTTATTTCTTATAGATTTTTTGCTTTATTTACATAGAGGTGTTTACAGTATTCTCTGATGGTAGTTTGTATTTATGTGGGATCAGTTTTTACATCCCCATTATCCTTTTTTAATATGTCTAATTGATTCTTTTCTTTTTTTTCTTTATTAGTCTGGCTAGCAGTGTATCTATTTTGTTAATCTTTACAAAAAACAAACAAACAAACAAAAATGCTCCTGGATTCATGAGGGATTTTCCTGACTCTATCACCTTCAGTTACGTTCTTATCTCAGTTATTTCTTTTTTTGTCTCAGTTTTTGGATATGTTTGTTCTTGCTTCTCCAGCTCTTTTGCTTTCTTTCTTCCTTTTTTTAATTTTTTTTTTTTTTTTTGAGAAGGTGTCTTGCTCTGTCATGCACACTGGAGTGGAGTGGTGCTACCTCAGCTCACTGTGGTTTTTATCTTTTCTGTTCAAGAGATTATCTCAACTCAGCTTCCTACGTATCCTGGATTACAGGTGTGAGCCCCCATGCCAGGCTTTCTTTTTCTTTGTATTTTCTGTGGAGATGGAGTTTCATCATGTTTGTTGGCTAGGCTAGTCTTGAACTCTTGAACTCAGGTGACCTGCCTGGCACAACTTCCCAAAGTGCTGAAATATCAGGCATGAGCCACTATGTCTGTCCCTCTAGTTTTTTTCATTGTGATTTTATGGTGTTGATTTTAGATCTTTCCCACTTTTGATGTGGGCATTTAGTGCTATAAATTTCTCTCTTAACACTGCGTTAGCTGTGTCCTAGAGATTGTGGTAGGTTGTGTCTTTGTTCTCATTGATTTTAAACGGCTTCTTTCTTTGTTTCTTAATTTTGTTATTTATCCAGTGGTCAATCAGGAGCAGGTTTTACAGTTCCCATGTAATTTTGCAGTTTTGAATAAGTTTCTTAATCCTGAGTTCTAATTTTATTCCACTCTGGTGCGAGAGACTGTTTGTTTTGATTTCCATTCTTTTGCATTTGCTGAGGAGTGTTTTGCCTCCAGTTATGTGGTCAATTTTACAATAAGTGCTACGTGGTGATGAGAAGAATGTATATTCTGTTGATTTGGGGTGGAGACGTCTGTAGATGTCTATTAGCTCTGCTTGGTCAAGGGCTGAGTTCACGTCCTGAGTATTCTTGTTAAAGTTCTGTCTCATTTATCAGCGTAATATTGATAGTAGGGTGTTAAAGTCTCCTGTTATAATTGTGTGTGAATCTAAGTCTGTGTAAGTCTCTAAGAACTTGCTTTTTAATCTGAGTGCTCCTGTATTAGGTTCATATACATTTAGGATTGTTAGCTGTGCTGGTTGCACTGATTCCTTACCATTACGCAACTCCCTACTTTGTCTTTTATGATCTATGTTGGCTTAAAGTTTGCCTTAGGATAGACTACGATTTCAAGCCCTGCTTTTTTTTTTTTTTTTTTTTTTTTTTTTGGTAACTTTCCATTTGCTTGGTAAATATTCCTCCATCCTTTTATTTTGAGCCTATGTGTGTCTTCACCCATGAGATGGTTCTCCTCAATATAGCATACCGAAGGGTCTTGACTCTTTATCCAATTTGCCAATCTGTGTACTTTAATTGGCAAATTTATTTCATTTACATTTAGGGTTAATATTCTTATGTGTCAATTTGATCCTGGCATGGGAATGTTAGCTGGTTGTTTTGGATATTAGTTGATCCACTTTCTTCATAGAGTTGTTGGTCTTTATATTTTGCTATTTTTTTCAGTGGTGAGTACCGATTTTCTTTTGTTTTGTTTTTTGTTTTTTGAGACAGAGTTTCACTCTGTTGGCCAGGCTGGAGTGCAGTAGCGTGACCTTGGCTCACTGCAAGCTCCGCCTCCTGGGTTTCTGCCATTCTGCCTCAGCCTCCCGTGAGTCTGAGTAGCTGGGACTACAGGCACCCACCAACACAGCCGGCTATTTTTTTTGTATTTTTAGTAGTGACAGGGTTTCACTGTGCTAGCCAGGATGGTCTCCATCTTCTGACCTCATGATCTGCCCACCTACGCCTCCCGAAATGCTGAGATTACATGCGTGAGCCACTGCACCAGGTGAGTACCGGTATTTTCTTTCCATATTTAGTGCTTTCTTTAGGAGCTCTTCTAAGGCAGGCATGGTGGTGACAAAACCATCTACATTTTGTTATCTGTAACAATTTTATTTTTATTTTGCTCATAAAGCTTAGTTTGGATTAATATAAAATTCTAGGTTGAAATTGTTTTCTTTAGGGTTGTTTTATATTGACTCCACTCTCTTCTGGCTTGTAGGGTTTCTGCAGAGAGATCCTCTGTTAGTCTGATGGGCTTCCCTTTGTAGATAACCTGACCTGTCTGTCTGGCTGTCCTTAACATTTTTTCTTTTTGTTCAACCTTGGAGAATCTGACAGTCATATGTCTGTTGCTCTTCTCAGCGAGTATCTTAGTGGTGTTATCTGTACTTCCTGAATTTGAATGTTGGCCTGTCTTGTTCCATTGGGAAGTTCTCCTGGATGATGTCTTGAAGTGTGTTTTCAAACTTGGTTCCATTTTTCCCATCACTTTCAGGTACACCAATCAATTATAGGTTTGGTCTTTTGACATACTCCCATATTTCTTGGAGGCTTTGTTTGTTGCTTTTCATTCATTTTTCTCTAATCTTGTCTTCATGCTTTATCTCATTAAGTCGATCTTCCATCTTTGATAATCTTTCTTCCTCTTCATTGATTCATCTATTAATACTTGTTTTTGCTTCACAATGTTTCTTGCACTGTGTTTTTCAGCTCTATGCGGTCATATACGTTCTTCTGTAAACTGGTTATTTTAGTTAGCAGCTCCTGTAACGTTTTATCAAGGCTTTTACCTTACTTGCATTGGTTTAGAACATACTCCTTTAGCTTAGAGAATTTTGTTATTACTGACCTTCTGAAGCCTACTTCTGCCAACTCATCAACCTCATTCTCCATCCACCTTTGTGCCCTTGCTGGAGAGGAGTTGCGATCATTTGGAGTTGAAGAGGCATTCTAATTTTTTGAATTTTCAGCTGTTTTGTGCTGGCTATTCCTCATTTTTCGTGGATTTATCTACCTGGGATCTTTGATACTGAATGTCTTTGGACTGGGATTTTGTGTGAGAGTCCTTTTTGTTGATGTTGATGTTGATGTCACTGTTTCCTGTTTGTTAGTTTTTCTTCTAACAGTCAGGCATCTCTTCTGCAGGTCTGCTACAGTTTGCTGGTCTACTTCAGTTGCTGTTTGCCTGGGTATCACCATATGAAGTTGCACAACAGCAATGATTGGAAGTTTTGACTCAGAGTGATACCTGGCTGGTGCCAGCTAGAGCTTTTCTCTATGAAGTGTCTGTTGACCCCTGCGGGAAAGGGTCTCCTAGTCAGGAGGCACAGGTGTCAGGGGCAAACTTGAAAAGCCAGTCTGCCCTGAGCAGAGCTTGAGCACTGTCCTGGGAGATACACTGCTCTCTTCAGTGCAAGCAGGCAGGAGTCTTTAAGTCTGCTGAAGTTGCACTCACAGCCATCCCTTTTCTCAGGTGTTCTGTCCCAGGGAGTTGGGAGTTTTACATATAAGTCTCTGACTCAGGCTGCTGCCTTTCTTTCAGAGATGCCCTACCCAGTGAGGAGGAATCTAGAGAGCCAATGTGGCCACACCTGCTTTGCATGCTTCTGTGAGTTCCATGCAGCCCAAATTTCCTGGCAGTTTTCTTAACACTCTGAGGGGAAAACCTTACGCTCAAGTCTCAGTAATTGTGGTCGAACCTCTCCCCACCGAGCTTTATCATTCTAGGTTGACTTCAGGCTTCTATGTAGGTAGTGAGAACTTGAAGCCAGTGGATCTCAGCTTGCTGTGCTCCATGGAAGTGGGGCCTGCTCAGTGGGACCACTTGGCTCCCTGGCTTCAGCCCCTTTCCAGGGGGGTGACTGGTTTTGTCTCACTGGTGTTCCAGGTGCCACTAGGGTATGAAAATTATTTTGCAGCTAGCTCAGCCTCTGTGAAAGCAGCCACCCAGTTTTGTGCTTGAAACCCAGTTCTGTGGTTGTACAGGCACACTAGGGAATCTCCTGGTCTGTGCGTCGTAAGAACCATGGGGAAACTGCAGGTTATGGGCTTGATAGCACAGCCCCTGATTGCTTTCCATGGTTAAAGAAGGAAGTTTTCAGCCCCTTACACTTCCTGAGTGAGGCAACACTCACCCTACTTCTGCTTGCCTTTTGTGGGCTGCACTCAATGTCTAACCACGTCCAGTGAGATGAACTGGGTAATTCAGGTGGAAATGCAGAAATCAACTGTCCTTTGTGTTTGTCTCACTGGGAGCTGCAGATCAGAGCTGTTACTTTTCTACCATATTGCCAGATGCCGACCAGTTTTTATTCTTATTTACAGTGTGCACTGTTGAAATTACCAGAAGTTTCACTTGTAATGTCTAAAAGCAAAAAGGAAAAGAACAGTGAGAAATGTTTTAATAAATTAATCTCTGTATTCAAATGTCAATCAAAAGCAGTGCCATGTCGCAAAAGGTGAAGGAAAATGAGCAGACCAAAAACAAGTGAATTGACATTTTGGTTCACTTTTGAAAAAGCAGGTTTAAGAAGGTAAACCTCCAGATTTCTAATCTGTATCAAGTATTAAGCATTGCAAAGTATGTACTGAAATTTTTTCAATTTTCACAGAAACTAATTTGTACTCTAGAAATTCCTGTTATTGCTTTGATATCTGTTGGGGTTCAGTCAAGATGGTGGGGAAAATTAGCAGATACAAACCTTCTTGCAAGGCCTAGGGAGTTGACATAAGCTCCAGTAATAAACTTGGCTGAAAATGGCCTTTTCCCTTTAGTTAAGTAAGTTAGAGTAGAAACACACTAAAGTGGGGTGTTTATCTAACTAGCTTGCTTACTCATACGGTCCTAAGATTAATGGTTGACTTAGTACAGTGCTAAATTGCTTTCTAATTGGGAATTCCACACTGTCAATTACCCTTTAGTGGTGTTGACTTGAGCCTTGGTCAATTATTCTTTACCAAATAAATGTGAGTCTCACTAGCTGGTTGGGGCCACAGTCAAAGCTCTGCAGTGAGCAGAGACCACACCACTGCACTCCAGCCTGTGCCACAGAGCAAGACTCCATTTCAAGAAAATAAAAGGCTCCTACTCACTCTGGGACAGAAGGATCTTGTTTTGTTCCACGTGGAACTATTTCAGGATCAGTTCTCAGGAAGCCTTTATTGTATGTGGTAAAAGTAATATAACATAAAATTTACCAATCTAAACATTTGTGCATGTATCTAAATATTTGTAAGTATGTTTATGTTATTGTGCAACCCTCACCACCGCTTCACATTCTCACCAGCAATGCACAAGTGTTCCATTTGCTGCAGAAACTCTCCAACTTTCCATTTTTCAAAAACAAAAAACAAAAAAGACATTCTAGTGGGTATAAAGTGGTAATCCCTCTCCTGCCCCACTCATGCCTGTTTAGATAACTGTAAGACACCGTCTGGCCATTTCCAGCTCCAGGTCACTTTTTCTATGCTGCCTATCCAGACACCCAGTGATCAGTGATGTCTCCTCAGGGTTTACAAGGTCTTCTGCATCTTGCTCTATTGTAATCCAGACCTCAGCATATAATATCCATGTGTCATTCCACTTAAGTAAAGGGAAATTAACATTTTCTGAGCACCGCCACGTGCAGGTGACTTGCTCAGGTGAACTCACAGTGACTCTGCCAGGTATGGGTAATCCCACATGTAGAGAAAAGGGCCAAGATCAGGTGATTGAGTGACTCACTTTCAATCACACCACTTCCAAGTAACTTCAGGTTCCAGCCCCCAGCCAGGTCTCCAGTTGTCATTTAGAAAAAGTTTGTGAGTCACTTGAATGTATGTCCAGGCCACACCCAGTCTTCTTTCTATCAATCGAGATGAGCTCCAGGGACAATGGGTGACAAGACACAACCAGTCATCTTTCTTCCATTCAGAGCCATTGTAGGTACTTGATACTCATCAGGAACAGTCTCTTATCCCAAAACCTTCTCATACATAGGATGTTTTGAGGGCAATGTGTTACACATGGGTCACAGAAGGCAACTTTAGTGAGGGAATCAAAGCCAGCATATAGAGAAGGAGCTGGTGATTCCAAGTGTAAAGGAAGGGTGGTATGCTAAGAAGTTATTGCCCTTGAGGATGAAGGAGACAAGAGGTTAGTATGACTAAATCAGACGGAGCAAGACAGAAAGCAGGGAATGGACAAAACACTTAGCACAAGGCACAGTGGTTCCTTAGCAAGGTCGATGCAGACCTACCATGACATGATGTGGCCACTGCCCTCCTAGGAATGAATGATGAGAAATGAAGGCGAGTTTACAGGCTATATACATAAATAAATATTCATGACATCCTTATACACAATGTTCCCAAACCAGGAACCCCAAATGCCCATACACAAAAGAAGGGTGAACAAGCTGTGGCACATCCACACCATGGTGTGTGGCTCGGCATAAAAAGGAATGGACTGTTGATGCAATCAGAACAGAGTGACTCTGAAAGTAGTTCTGCCGAATAAAAGAACCCAGATCAGAACGATGCACAAAGATCCAAGTACATACTGTATTTACATGTAATTCTATAAAATACCACTAAATTTTAGTGAAAGAAGCAGATCTGTGGTACTAGATTGGCCAGGGAGAGATCATTATTGCCAGGAGGAAGGTACGTTTTCATGACCTTCATAGCACTTCTGGCCTTGTGGTGAATGAAATACTCACATGGAGAAAACCATCAGTTCTCCTTTCTGCACATGTGCAGTTTACCATATGCTGATCACACGTCAATGAAGCTGTTTTTAAATAAGGAATCACGATCCGCAGCTCAGAATATGAATGGGCAGGAGGCCTGAGAAGGCAGATTCTTTTCTTTTCCTAATCTATGAGGCTGTATAATGAGAATTAAGTTGGCCCTGAGCTCAGACACAGAACAGGCCTGAGGGAAAGGCTCACACAGTCCTTCCTTCTGCACAGAAGAGTGACCACCTAACACAGTACCCAGTTGCCCCTGAGGACCTTTATAGTTCAAAGTGATCTTCCTGTCCTTGTGTCTATTTTCTGGTATTTCCTCTTTCATGCGGAAGCTTATGTGCCCTATGCTGTAGAGGACATCATCTTCCAGTTCTAATATGAACATTCTGGTTCCATCACAGTAGAGAAATGGGTTGCATTGTCTCTCTTCAAGACAAAGAGAAGGGAAAAGCCATGAGCACAATGTCCAAAGTTGTGTGTTCAGGTGGCAAGTGGAGGAAGAGCATCACCATGCCAAGGCAGCAGAAGGACAACTGAAGGTGAAAGTTTCTGCAGAGGAAACAAGGAAGCTTAGGGATTCCCAGTGGAAATCTTTCTTCCCATGTGTAGAACCCTGATTTGAAGGCCAGTTCCTCTTGTCCCAATGTGAAATGAACCTGTGACCATCCTCATTTCAGCCTTATTACTAATTGCACAGGCAAACATGAGTGTTCGACGGTTTTAAAAAATGCAAAAAAAAAAAAAAAAAAAAAAAAAAAAGTCAAGTAAGGTAAAACAGACAACTCACCTCCAGAGAAATGAGTCTTTAAGTTCCTTTTTCCTTCTGGCCCCATGACCTCTGCTCAAGCAGAGTTCAGAATGCATGCTCCCTATAGTCTCGGAGAAGTAGAAAATATTGCATCCATAGAAAGTAACAAAATTTAGGAAGATAATAAGAAAATTTAGAGATTAGGAAAAACAGTTTGAAATTCTCTTAAAATGTGTAAGTCTGAAAAAAAATGGAAGACAGAATCTAAAAATTATTTCAAAACCATACACAATTAAAAAAATAAACCACAAGAAAAGTGGTTAGCTCTCTGGGAGATTAGTCCCAGATTTGCAGTAGTGAAATAGCATTTGACATGTAAAAACCCAGGGAGGCAGTTATGAAAGCCCTTGGAATGACAGCTCAATCCCAGGCCTAGAGAGATATTGGTTGGGTGGGAACAGGAAAAAGGAAGGCATCCAGCAGTGACTTTTCAGATGGGAGGTTAGAAATGAGGGAAGATATTAAGGATGTGATAAAAGGAGACAATTTAATTTTAAATAGAAAGAAGAAAAGGCAATAGAAACTCCAAGAAAATAGAAAGCTAAAGAAAAAATATGTGTATACCCATAGAATACCAAGACATGTATGGGAATTCACAGTACTAATATACTTCCTACAAGAGGAAAGTCACAAGATTCTATTGTATTGGATCAACAAGATGTATATCTAAATATTTATACTCTACAGTTACTTACAACGTCAATGATAACTAAGAAAGAAACTAAAATCATCATATTCCTACCATTGGCTGAGGGTGGAGGAAAGGTGGGAGTCTAAGAAACTCAGTCTTCCTCTGTTGTACCTGGTTGTTAACAGGTAGTTCAGGGGACTAGGGTGAGGTGCACATGGTGGCAGCTCCTTCTGTGTAACTCTTGCCTCACCTCTGTATTTTTCAGTCATGTGCATATATTTTTTATTTTCAAAATAAAATATATGAGAAATAATATATGGTATCAGAGACTCTAGGAATAGTCTCTGTTCCAGCTGTCCTGGTTCCAAGTCTAATGAAGCACCACAGATTCCAGCAGAAAATCCTGGCTCTACCCACACTTCCACTCCCTCAAATGAGACCCAAGTAATCACCAGATACAGCTGAAAAACTCAAGATCTGTCCAAAGCAGATCCACATGTAGACATCACCAAGGGTATCAATAGACACAACCACAGAGGTGTCTGCAGTGTGCATCATGAAGTCCAGCCCCTAACTTTAGACCAACTTCCCAGTCTGGAAGGAAATTTCCTTAGAGGATGCCAGTGCTAGTGGCATCAGCCACGACTCAGGTGCAGCCATGGAGTGGTCCAGCATGTTACTGTAAGCAGCCAGAGGGCAGAGGAAAGGAGCAAGAAAGATGAGAGGGAGGGTGGCAACATCATGGGTGGGCCCCTACTGGTATATCTCACTACCCTACAGTGGCCTGGGGGACACAAAGAACACGATATTTTGATGGGCAGAGGCTCTCTCAGGCCAGAGCAGTAGGACTTGGAAAGAAACTGAAGCCAAGCTGAGGAATGAGGTTTCCTGTTTCAATTTGACCACTCGTGGCTGTGGATCCCAGGATATCACAAATTGCAATGCCTTTCCCATTTTCTCTGTGGCTGCAAACACTTGGGTCAGGCTCTCATTGACCTGGCGCCCTTGAGGCACTTAATAAAGCCTATTACTTGAAACTGATAATACATTAGCACTTTATTTACTATGACTTTCAATGAAGTATTGTTCTCCAGTATTGAAAATAGGAAAACGATTAACAAGAGCTTGATAGTTACGTGAATAAACAATGGTTGATCCTAAAGAACAATTAGGCAGCACTTGATAATAAACAGTTGGTATTTCATGTATGCTCACTGTGTCTCAATGGTACTCTTAGGCTTTTGATAACCACCCCCACTTAATCTTTGCAACAATCCCCATGGCAGGTCCTGGCACCATCCCTATTTTAGAGGTGAGAAGTCACGTGAACCCACCAAGGGTCACACACTTGGGCAGTGCAGGATCTAAATATAAGCAGGCAAAAGAGGTGCCAAGAAAGATGATAATATCCTAATGGTAGGTGGAAAGGAGGAGAAAAAGTACACACGATGTGAAGGCCAGACAAGACATAGGCCAGCCCCAAATGTAGACCAGATCCACAGCTGGCCAGCCTTCACTTTTCTTATCTTAAAGGATCCTCCTCATCAAAGGAAGATCACAGAGTGCAGGGAGTGTGCTCAAAAAAGTACTGATATGAAGCAGAAACATGAGAAAAGAGAAACCAAAAAAAAAGCTAAAAATAAACACACCAGAATTACAGCTGGGTTTGTCTTTAGGTGACAGGCCCACAAGTGTCTTTTTCTAAGTCTGTTTTCTCCATTCTCCAAAATAGACATAAATTCAGGTGATGAGTCAGGCTGCAGGAGTAAGCATACGATCAGAGAAAACTGCTCCCCAAACCTGGCCCCTGGCCTGGGCTCCTGGCTGGTGGCTTCCCCTTCCCTGGGGTCTGTCCTTATCCCAGAGACAGAGCCCTGTCATCTCGACACCCATTCCATGCCCTAGTCACCCATAAAGAGTAGAGGGGAACTGAACAGGCGAAATGGTCTCGTGGCCCATGGGATGACAGTACCTGGCAGTCAGTGCCATTCAAATTGTCTTGTCTCCAGGAAAGTCCAAGCCCAAGTCCTTGAGTGTTGTCTTGGGACTGTGGAGGCCCATTTTATTCATGTCCCTCTAAAAGAGATCAGATGGAAGAAGAAGTTTTGTGGGACTCTGAGGCCCAGCCTTCTTCCCAGCAGGTAAAGCAGGCCTGCTGTCTGGAAAATGCTGTCACCACAGGGCCACCCCAATATTCTTTGTTTATCTCTTATCCTGTCTTTGGTCCAAACCAAATACCCATAATTACTAACTGGAAAAGAGAGTTTCTGGGGTGCCAGTTGAGTTGGTCACCCCTGTGTGAGAAACCCATGGGGAGCCATGGGCAGCCTCTGAGTAGAAAAGTCTCCTTATTGCCTTCACGTATTTATGCCCCGAGTGCATAACTGCTCAGCAGTATTCCACAGGTTGCTCAGGGAGATAACACTCCCTTGAAGCAATGGAGTATAATCAAACATCTTGGCTCCTCCTGAAACCAGCTCCCACCCGTTTCAGTCCCGATAAGTTACAGATCTTAAGTAGGTTAGACACACACTTTTGCTCAAGGAAATTCACAGAAACCGCCAGTGCCAAACATCTTACTGAATGGCTCAGGAGTTCTCCTTCTCTGATTAATCCTTTTCCTCATCCATTTCTCCCCCTCCCAGCTGCCCTGAGAACAAAGAGCTTGTAAACCAATAAATTGGGTGAAGCCCAAGAGCAATGGGCCATGAGCAAGCCTTCAATGCTCTGGTCCTCTAGATGCACCTTTTAAATGTTTATTCTCTCTCTTTCTAATTCCTTTGTCTCCTCCAGACTCAGGGTACCCACTGGGTGGTGTGGGACTGGTTTCCCCAACACTAACCTCGGACATTCCAAATATTGATGCTTGTATTGTCTCTCGAATCAACTCAACAAGCCCTCCTCTGGTAACACAATAGCCTTTTCTCTAGCAAAGAACTGAACCTACCATACAGTGACCCTGAAATGCAGACAGGCAGACACAACCCTGCTTGGGCCTGTCCTGAGCCTCAGATCTCTGGTTTCAATGATCTCACAGCCAGCTGATTGAAAGGGACGGGGAAGTGTGTGGAGGAAGCACTCTCCACACGACTGCACTCCAGCCTGGGTGACAGAATGAGTCTCCGTCTCAAAAAAAAAAAAAAATACCTTTAAAAATGCATCCTATTTTTTCCTGGGGGTGTTCCAAAATGGCCAAATAGGAACAGCTCTGTTCTGCAGCTCCCAGCATGATCAAGGCAGATCAGTGATTTTGGCATTTCCCACAGAGGTACCTGGTTCGTCTCTTTGGGACTGGTTGGACAGTGGGTGCAGCCCACAGAGGGTGAGCTGAAGTAGAGCTGGGCATCACCTCTACTGGGAATTGCAAGGGGTTGGTTGATTTCCCTTTCCTAGCCAAGGGAAGCCATGACAGACTACCTGGAAAAAATGGGGGTACTCCTGTGCAAATACTGCACTTTTCCCAAGGTCACAGCATCTGGCAGAACAAGTCATTCTCTCCCATGCCTGGTTTGGTGGGTCCCATGCCCCCAGAGCCTTGCTCATTGCTAATGCAGCAGTTTGAATTCAACCCCAAAGGTGGCAGCCTGGCTGGTAGAGGGGTGTCCCCCGTTGCTAAGTCTTGAGTAGGTAAACAAAGCACCCAGGAAGCTCAAACTGGGCAAAGCCCACCACAGCTCAACAAGGCCTACTGCCTCTAGACTCCACCACTGTGGGCAGGGCATAGCTGAACAAAAGGCAGCAGACAACTTTGGCAGACTTAAACATCCCTGTCTGACAGCTCTGAAGAGAGTAGTGGTTATACTAGCATGCCATTTGAGCTCTGAGAATGGAGAGACTCCCTCCTCACATGGGTCCCTGACCCTTGTGTAGCCTATCTGGGAGATACCTCCCGATAGGGGCTGACCTCATATAGGCAACTGCCCCTCTGGGACGAAGCTTCCAGAGGAAGGATGAGGCAGCAATATTTGCTGTTCTGCAATATTTACTCTTCGGCATCTGCATCCTCTGCTCATGACAACCAGGCAGAGAGAATCTGGAGTGGAACTCCACCAAATTACAAAAGACCTGCAGCTGAGGGACCTCACTGTTAGAAGGAAAACTAACAAACAGAAAGGAATAGCTTCAACATCAAAAAAAAGTTCATTTACACCAAAACCCTATGTGTAGGTCAACCACATCAAAGACCCAAGGTAGATAAAAGCACAAAGGTGGGGAGAAACCAGAGTAGAAAAGCTGAATATTCTAAAAATTGAGCACATCTTCTCCTTCAAATGATCACAGCTCCTCACAATCAATGGAACAAAACTGGATGGAGAATGACTTTGATGAGTTGACAGAGGTAGGCTTCAGAAGGTCGGCGATAACGAATCTCTTTGAGCTAAAGTCACATGTTCGAACCCATCACATGGAAGCTAAAAACCTCAAAAAGTGATTAAATGAATGGCTAACTAGAATAAACAGTGTAGAGAAGACCTTAAATGACCTGATGGAGGTGAAAAGCACGGCATGAGAACTTTGTGACACATGCACAAGCTTCAATAGCCGATATGATCAAATGGAAGTAAGGGTGTCAGTGATTGAAGGTCGTATTAATAAAATAAAGTGAGAAGACAGGGTTAGAGAAAAAAAGAGTAAAAAGAAACAAACAAGGCCTCTGAGAAATATGGGACTAAGTGAAAAGACCAAATCTACATTTGACTGGAGTACCTGAAAGTGATGGAAAGAATGGAACCAAGTTGGAAAACATTCTTTGGGATATTATCCAGGATAACTTCCCCAACTTAGCAAGGCAGACCAACATTCAAATTCAGGAAATATAGATAACATTGCAAAGATACTCTTTGAGAAGAGCAACCCCAAGACACATAACTGTCAGGTTCACCAAGGTTGAAATGAAGAAAAAAGTGTTAAGGGCAGCCAGAAAGGTTGAATTACCCACAAAGGGAAGCCTATCAGACCAACAGTGGATCTCTTAGCATAAACCATACAAGCCAGAAGAGAGTGGGGCCAATATTCAACATTCTTTAAGAAAAGAATTTCAACCTAGAATTTCATAACCAGCCAAACTAATCTTTATAAGTGAAGGAGAAATAAAATCCTTTAGAGTCAAACAAATGCTGAGAGATTTTGTCACCACCAGGCCTGCCTTTAAAGAGCTCCTGAAGGAAGTACTATACATGGAAAGAAACAACCAGTACCAGCCACTGCAAAAACATGAAAAATTGTAAAGACCTTCAATGCTATGAAGAGACTGCATCAATTAACGGGCAAACTATCCAGCGAACATCACAATGACAGAATCATATTCACACATAACAATATTAACCTTAAATGTAAATGGGCTAAATGCCCCAATTAAAGGACACAGACTGGCAAATTGGATAAAGAGTTGAGACCTATCAGTGTTCTGTATTCAGGAGACCCATCTCTCATTCAAAGACTCACATAGGCTCAAAATAAAGGGATGGAAAAAGATCTATCAAACAAATGGAAAGAAAAAAAAAAAGCAGGGGTTGCTATCCTAGTCTGTGATAAAACAGACTTTAAACCAATAAAGATCAAAAGAGAAAAAGAAGGCCATTACGTATGGTAAAGGGATCAATTCACGAAGAAGAGCCAAGTATTCTAAATATATATGCACCCAATACAGGAGCACCCAGATTCATAAAGCAAGTCCTTATAGACCTACAAAGAGACTTACACTGCCACACAATAATAATGGGAGACATTAACACTGCACTGTCAATATTAGACAGATCAATGAGGCAGAAAGTTAACAGGGATATCCAGGATCTGAACTCAGCTCAGCAACAAACAGGTCTAATAGACATCTATGGAACTCTCTACCCCAAATCAACAGCATTATGCATTATGAATCAATATGCATTCTTCTCAGCACCACATCACACTTATTCTAAAATTGACCACATAATTGGAAATAAGGCACTACTCAGCCAATGTAAAAGAACAGAAATCACAACAAACTGTCTCGCAGACCACACTGCAATCAAATTACAACCCAGCAGTAAGAAACTCACTCAAAAGTAGACAACTACATGGAAACTGAACCACTTGCTCCTGAATGACTGCTGGATAAATAACGAAATCAAGGCAGAAAAACAGATGTTCTTTGAGGCCAAGGCGAACAAAGACACAATGTACCATAATCTCTGGACGCATTTAAAGCAGTGTGTAGAGGGATATTTATAGCACTAAAAGCCCACAAGAGAAAGCAGGAAAGATCTAAAATTGACACCCTAACATCACAATGAAAAGAAATGGAGAAGCAAGAGTAAACAAATTCAAAAGCTCGCAGAAGGCAAAAAATAACAAAGATCAGAACAGAACTGAAAGAGATAGAGACACAAAAAAACCTTTCAAAAAAAATCAATGAATCCAGGAACTGGGTTTTTTTTTTTTTTTTTTTTTTTTTTTAAGATCAACAAAATTGATAGATCTCTAGCAAGACTAATAAGGAAGAAAAGAGAGAAGAATCAAATAAATAGAAGCAATAAAAATGATAAAGGGGATATCACCACCAGCCCCACAGACATACAAACTACCATCAGAGAATACCATAAACACCTCTATGCAAATAAACTAGCAAATATAGAATAAATGGATAAATTCCTGGACACATACACCCTACAAAAGCTAAACCAGGAAGGATTTGGTTTTCTGAATAGAACAAACACTAGTTCTGAAATTGAGGCAATAATTAATAGCCTACCAGTCAAAAAAAGTCCAGGACCAGAAGGATTCACAGCGGAATTCTACTGGAGGTACAAAGAGGAGCTGGTATCATTCCTTCTGAAATTATTCCAATCAATAAAAAAAAGAAATAATCTTCCCTAACTCATTTTATAAGGCCACCATCATCCTGATACTAAGGCCTGGCAAAGACACAACAAAAAAAGATAATTTTAGACCAATAGCCCTGATGAACATCGAGGTGAAAATCCTGAGTACAATACTGGTAAACTGAATCAAGCAGCACATCAAAAAGCTTATCCACCACTATCACATCATCTTCATCCCTGAGATGCAAATGTGGTTCAACTTATGCAAGTCAATAAATTTAATCAATCACATAAACAGAAGCAATGACAAAAGCCACATGATTATCTCAATAGATACAAAATGTCCTCTGACAAAATTCAATAGTCCTTCATGCGAAAAACTCTCAATAAACTAGGCATTCATGGAATGTATCTCAAAATAATAAAAGCTACTTATGACAAACGCTCAGCCAGTATCATACTGAGTGGGCAAATACTGGAAGCATTCCCTTTGAAAACCAGCACAAAACAAGGATGCCCTCTCTCACCACTCTTATTCAACATAGTGTTGGAAGTTCTACCCAGGGCAATCAGGGAAGAGAAAGAAATAAAGAGTATTCAATTAGGAAATGAGGAAGTCAAATTGTCCCTGTTTTCTGATGACATGATTGTATATTGAGAAAACCCCATTGTCTCAGCCCAAAATCTACTTAACCTGATAAGAAACTTCAGCAAAATCTCAGCATAGAAAATCAGTGTGCAAAAAATCACAAGCATTCCTATACACAAATAACAGCCAAATAATGAGTGAATTCCCATTCAGAATTGCTTCAAAGAGAATAAAATACCTAGGAATCCAACTTACAGGGGATGTGAGGGACCTCTTCAGGGACAACTAAAAAACACTGCTCAACAAATAAAAAAGGACGCAAACAAATGGGAGAATATTCTATGATCATGGATAGGAAGAATCAATATCTTGAAAATGGCCATAGTGCCCAAAGTAATTTATACATGCAATGCTATTCCGATCAAGCTACCAATGACTTTCTTCAGAGAACTGGAAAAAAACTACTTTAAAGTTTATATGGAACCAAAAAAGAGGCTGCATTGCCGATACAATCCTAAGCAAAAACAACAAACCTGGAGGCATCATGCTACCTGACTTGAAACTATACTACAAGGCTATAGTAAACAAAACAGCATGGTACTGGTACCAAAACAGATATATTGACCAATGGAACAGAAGACAAGCCTCAGAAATAACACCATGCATCTGCAATCATCTCATTTTTGACAAAACTGACAAAAAGAAGAAATGGGGAAAGGATTCCCTATTTAGCAAATGGTGCTGGGAAAAGTGGCTAGCCATTTGTAGAAAGCTGAAACTGGATCCCTTTCTTACATGTGGCATAAAAATTAATTCAAAATGGATTAAACACTTAAATATTAAACTTAAAACCATAAAAACCCTACAAGAAAACCTAGGCAATGCCATTCAGAACACAGGCTTGGGCAAGCACTTTATGACTAAAACACCAAAAGCAACGGCAATAAAAGTGAAAATAGACAAACAGGATCTAATGAAACTGAAGAGCTTCTGCACAGTGAAAGAAACTACCATCAGAGTAAATGGGCAACCTACAGAATGGGAGAAAATTTTTGCAATCTACCCATCTGACAAAGAACTAATATCCAGAATCAACAAAGAACACAAACAAATTTACATGAAAAAAAAGTCATCAAAAGGTGGGCAAAGGATAAGAACAGACACTTCTCAAAAGAAGACATCTATGCTGCCAACAGATGCAGGGAAAAATGCTCATCATCATTGGTCATCACGGAAATGCAAATGAAAACCAAAATGAGATACCATCTCATGCCACTTAGAATGGCGATCATTAAAGAGTCAGATGCTATAGTGGATGTGGAGAAATAGGAATGCTTTTACACTGTTGGTGGGAGTGTAAATTAGTTCAACCACTGTAGGAGACAGTGTGGTAATTCCTCAAGGATCTAAAACTAGAATTACCATTTGACCCAGCAATCCCATTACTGGATATATACCCAAAGGATTATAAATCATGCTACTGTAAAGACACATGCATACGTTTGTTTATTATGGCACTATTTACAATAGCAAAGAGTTGGAAACAACCCAAATGTCCATCAATGAGAGACTGGATTAAGAAAATGTGGCAAATATACACCATGGAATACTATGCAGCCATAAAAAAGGATGAGTTTGTGTCCTTTGCAGGGACA
Organism: Homo sapiens; assembly: GCF_000001405.40. Lineage (NCBI taxonomy): Eukaryota > Metazoa > Chordata > Mammalia > Primates > Hominidae > Homo > Homo sapiens. Next base: position 17,751,612 of record NC_000024.10, read on the forward strand.
CGGATGAGCTAGAAGCCATCATTCTCAGCAAACTATCACAAGGACATAAAACCAAACACCACATGTTCTCACTCATAGGTGGGAATTGAACAATGAGATTACTTGGACACAGAGCAAAGAAAATCACACACCAGCGCCTGTTGGGGAGTAGGGGGTAGGGATTTGGGGGAGGGATAACATTAGGAGAAATACCTAATGTAAATGATGAGTTGATGGGTACAGCAAACCAACATGGCACATGAATACCTATGTATCAAAACTGTACACTGTACACATGTACCCTAGAACTTTAAATATAATAAACATTTTAAAATAAATAAATAAAAATGCATCCTATTATGTTCATTTCATGTGTACGACATATGCTATGGGATACATATTGATATTTCAAGGCTACTATACTGGAACAAATTAACATATTTCTAATCTCACATAGTTACTGCTATAGTTTGGATATTTGCCTTTACAAACTTTATGCTGAAATTTGATCCCCAGTGTTGGAGGTGAGGTTGAGTGGGAGATGCTCGGGTCATGGGGGTGGATACTTTGTGAAAAGCTTGGTGTCATTCTTGTGATAAGGAGGGAGATCTTTTTTTTATTAGCTTTTGAGAACTCATTAAAAAAAAAAGCCTGGCACCACCCTCCCTTCTGTTGCATATATGTGATTATAAATATTTTTCTTTCTGTGTCTGGTTTATTTCACTTAGCATAGTTTCCTCCAAGCTCCTCCATGGTTTGGCAAATGGCAAGATCTCATTCTTGTTTAGGGCTAAGTAATATTTCTTTGTACTGGACAATAAGGCTTTTTCCATATTTCAGCTATTATTAATAATGCTGCGATGAACATGAGAGTGCAAATATCTCCATGAGTTAGGGATTTCCTTTGGTTATATGTCTAAAGGAAGAGTTGTTGAGACATAAGGTAGTTTTATTTTTAATTTTCCAGAAACCTCCATACCAACTTTTATAACTGCTACCCATTACCAGCAACACTCTACATGAGTTTCATTTTCTGTACATCCTAGCCAACCTTTGTGATCTTTTGAGTTTTTAATAATAGCTTTCCTGATGTGAGTTATGTAACGCCTCAAAGTACCTTTGATTTAAATTTTTTCTGATGATTAATGATTTTGAATGTTTCAAATACCTGTTGCCCATTTTTATATGTTCCTTGGAGAAATGTCAATTCAGAGCTTTTGCTCAGCTTTTAATATGTTTATTTGTTTTGCTGCTGTTGAGTTGTACAATGTTGGGGAAAACAGTCGCACAACACCCGGCAGGTACTTTGAGTCTGGGGGAGACAAAGGAGTTAGAAAGAGAGAGAATAAGCACTTAAAAGGCGGGTCCAGGGGGCCCGAGCATCGGAGGGTTGCTCATGGCCCACAGTTGTCAGGCTCCACCTAATTAAATGGTTTACAAGCTCTTTGTTCTTAGGGTAGATGGGAGGGGGAGGAAGGAATGAGGAAAAGGATTAATCCGTGAAGGAGAACTGGTGAGTCATTGAATTCTTATAGCACTGGCGGTTTCTGTGAATTCCCTTGAGCAAAGGCGTGTGTCTAAACTACTTAAGATCTCTAATTTATTAGGACTGAAACGGGTGGGAGCAGGTTTCACGAAAAGCCAAGAGGTTTGATTATACTCCACTGCTTCAAGGGAGTTTTATCTCCCTGAGCAACCAGTGGAATGCACTGCGCCGTTGTGCTCTCAGCAATAAAGACATGAAGGCAATACGGAGATTTGCTCCTCAGAAGCCGCCCATGGCTCCCCATGGGTGTCTCACACGGGGCAGATAAAATCAACTGGCACCCCAGAAACTTTCTTTCCCACATACAAGTCCTTCATAAATTTTAGATCTTAACCCATCATCAGATACATAGCTTGAAAATATTTTCCCCAATATTTTGGCTATTGTATTCGGTCGATTGGTTCCTTTACTGTGCAAAAGTTTTTCATTTGATGTAGTCTTGCTCATTTGTTTTTCTTTATGTGGACTGAGTTTTTAATATGATATTCAAAATAATTATTACCGAGGCCATCACTCATGAGCTTTTTTCTATGTTCTCTTCTAGATGTTTTAGAGGTTGCAGTCTTACATTTAGGATTTTCCAACTCATCTTCAGTTGATTTTTGTGTATGATGTAAAATGTGAATCCAATTTTGTTCTTCTGCATGTGGAAATCTAGTTCTCCCAGCACTACTCATAGTAAAGATGATCTTCTTCTCATGTTATCATTTTGCTGCAGATTTCAAAAACTAATTGACTATATATGCTTGGATGTATTTCTCGATTCTCTGTTCTGCTCATTTGGCTATGTTTCTGTGTTCATGCCAATTTCAAATAAGGTGGTGTGGTTCTTCCTACTTCTTTTTTCTTTCTCAACAATGTTTTCACAATTTATGGCTCTCTATATAGCTATACAAGTTTTATATTTTGTTTTCTATTTCTGTGAAGAATGCTATTGAAATTTTGATTGAATAGCATTGAATCTGTGTATTGCTTTTGATGCTATAAATACTTTAACAATATTAATTCTCCCAATCCATAAGCATAGACAATCTTTCCAATTATTTTTGTCTTCTTAAATTGATTTTATCAATGTCTCATAGTTTTCAATGGAGAGATCTGTTACTTTCTGGTTACCTTTTTTTTAAGTATTTAATTTCTTTGATATGCTTATAAGTCAGACGAGTTTCTTGAATTCTTTTTCAGTTAGGTAATTATTTGTACAATGACATTACCAAATCTGTTCATTGGTTCTAACACTTTCTTAAATAGAATATTTGAGCTGTTTTTACATATAGGAGATTGTCATCTGCAAAGAGAGAATACTTTACTTATTGCTATAAAATTTGGCTGCCTTTTATTTTTTATTTTTTGTCATCAGATGTTTATGTTCCCTATTTGATTTGTTTCTGTTTTAATTGTTATTTTATTCATTGTGCTAACTTTGAATTTAATTGTTTTTCCTTCCAGTTTCTTAGATACAATGAGATGTTGCTTATTTGGTATCTTTATTTGTTTAATGTGTGGATTTATTGCTGTAATCTTGCATCATAATGCTGCTTCACTGCACACCATAGGTTTAGGTGTGTTGTGTTTCCACTATTATTTATCTGAAGATATTTATGAATTTTTCTTTTTATATTTCGTTTCATCAATTCATTACTTAAGAGCAGTGTTTTAAAAATGTTCATATAGGCTGAGGGGCGGTGGCTCACGCCTGTAATCTCAGCACTTTGGGAGGCCGAGGCGGGCGGATCATGAGGTCAGGAGATCGAGACCATCCTGACTAACACGGTGAAACCCTGTCTCTACTAAAAATATGAAAAATTAGCTAGGCGTGGTGATGGGCACCTCCAGTGCCAGCTACTTGGGAGGCTGGGGGAGGAGAATGTCATGAACCTGGGAGGCGGAGCTTGCGGTGAGCCGAGATTGTGCCACTGTGCTGCATTCTGGGCAACAGAGCGAGACTCTGTCTCAAAAAAAAAAAAAAAAGTTCAGTATTTGTGACTTTTTTTCAAGATTTCTCCTCTTACTGATCTTTGGTTTGCTACCATGATGGTCTGAAAAAATATTAAATATGCTTTTAGCAATCTTACTTTGTTAAGACTTGTTTATGGCCTAGTATGTGGTCTATTTTAGAGAATCTTCCATGTGTGTTACAGCAAAATATATATTCGGCTGTACACTATGAAAAGTTCTGTATATGTCTGTTGGGTTCATTTAGTTAAAACTAGAATTCCAGTCTGGCATTTTCTTATTAAGTTTCTGTCGAGTTTATCTATTCCTTGTTGTAATTGAGGTACTGAAATTTCCTACAATTATTTTATTGCCATTTTTTTCTTCATTTCTATTTATATTTGCTTTAAATATTTAGGTGCTCCATTGTTGAGTGCAGATGTATATATATAATTGTTATATCCTGTTGATAAATTGATTGCTTTATTATTAAATGATGACCTTCTTGGTCTTATGACAGGTTTTGAATTGAAATCTCTTTTATAGATAGGAGTATAGCCACTCCTAATTTTTTATTACCATTTGCATAGAGGTATCTTCTTCTATTCCTTCACTTTCAGCCTGTTTGTCCTTAAAGATTAGGTGGGTCTCATAGGTAACATGTAGTTGAATCCCATTTTTAAAATCCATTTGGTCACTCCACGTCTTTTAATTGCATAATTTAATTCATTTACATTCTAGATAATTATTGATAAGTTCTTACTACTGTTATCTTGTTAGTTGTTTCTGATTGAGTCATACATCATTTTTTCCTTTCTTCCTCCCATGAATGCTTTTAAATGTTTAGCATTTAAATATTTTCAGTAGTGATAAGCTTTGATTCATTTGTTTTTATCATTAGTGTTGCTGCTGTAGTTTTTGATGGTCATCAAAGGCTCAGAGAAAACATCTTATAGTTAATAATCAACTAGTTTAAGCTGACAACATTTGTCACATAAAAACTCTAGACATTTACCCTCTGTTCCAATTATGTTTTTGACGTCACAATTTATGTCTTCTAATACTGTGTCTTCCTTAAAAACCTATTGTTGACAAGTCTTTTGCCGAATGATTTCAAGCTCCTCCATTTTTTGTTTATTTTCCCTTAGTGCTTTTAGAATTTTCTTTATTTCTCAACCTTTGAGAGTTTGCTTCTTTTTTTTTTTTTTTTTTTTTTTTTTTTTTTGGCAGCACTTTTATTTTTCCTTACACAATGATATGTTGCTGAGGCCTAATGTTCTCACATAACAGTAGAAAACAAAAATTTGTTGTCATTTCTTTAAAGAATCAAGAATTTCATACAAAAAACCTTACATAAATTAAAAGGATGAATACATTTACAGGTGTAAATGCAAACTGCTTCCAACTCAAGGCAAGTGACAGCCTACGGTGTTCTGGCAAAAAACATCAGCTAAGAAAGGAAACTGTGTCCTGTGGTTTGGACTTTCCAGCCCTAACAGACAGGCAGGGCAGACGCAACTGGTTCAGGAGCACTTGCCAGCCTCTAGAGAAATCCCAGCGCAGTCAGCCCTGACACATTAATACCCTGCACAGATCAGAGACTGCTGGCCATGCACACTCACCAAGCCACAGACTTGTCTTCCACAAGCACGTTCTTACCTCAGTCACGAAGTGACCAAGCCACGTGCACTAAAGATTGAACTCAAAGATATGTACACAGTATTAAACGAATACCGAGGGGAACAGTTAACTTGAATACAAGGTCAAAAAATCCAGTGCTGACGTCAGATACAAGCTTCAAGGACAATTTCTTTTCAAAGGCTTATTCCAGTTTCATGAGGTTAGCATGAGGTGTATGCATTTGCCAAGGGCAAATTTATGCTTCTGAATTAACCCATGCAGCAAATGCTACACATCTGCTCGTTCCATTTAGAAGCATTTGTGGTGGACGATGTAGGGGCCTGACTCATCATACTCCTGCTTGCTAATCCATGTCTGCTGGAAGGTGACCAGTGAGTTCAGGATGGAGCAACCGATCCACACTGAGAACTTGCGCTCTGGGGGTGCAATGATCTTAATCTTCATGGTGCTGGGCGCCAAGGCAGTGATCTCCTTCTGCATCCTGTCAGCAATGCCTGGATACATGGTGGTGCCACCGGATAGTACCGTATTGGTGTATAGGTCTTTGCGGATGTCCACGTCACACTTCTTGATGGAGTTGATGGTGGTCTGGTGGATGCGGCAAGATTCCATGCACGGGAAGGAAGGCTGGAACAGCACCTCCGGACACCAGAACCACTCATTGCCAATGGTGATGACCTGGCCATCGGGCAGTTCATAGCTCTTCTCCAGAGAAGAGGAGGATGCAGGGGTGGCCATCTCCTGCTTGAAGTCCAGGGAGACCTAGCACAGCTTCTCCTTGATATCGCGCATGATTTCCCGCTGGGCTGTGTTGGTGAAGCTGTAGCCTCTCTCCTTGAGGATCTTCTTGAGGTACTCAGTCAAGTCCCAGCCAGTCAGGTCCAGATGCAGGATGGCATGGGGAAGGGAGTAGCCCTCGTAGATGGGCACCGTGTGGGTGACCCTGTGTCCACAGTCCATGACAATGCCAGTGGTGCGCCCAAAGGCATAGAGGGACAGCACATCCCGGATGGCCACGTACATGGCCGGGGTATTGAAGGTCTCAAACATAATCTGAGTCATTTTCTCTCTGTTGTCCTTGGGGTTCAGTGGGTCCTCGGTCAGCAGCACTGGCTGCTACTCCGGGGCCCCATGCAGCTCATTGTAGAAGTGGTGCCAGATCTTCTCCATGTTGTCCCAGTTGGTGATGATGCCATGCTTGATGGGGTACTTCAGCGTCAGAATGCTGCGCTTGCTCTGGGCTTCATTGCCCACGTAGGAGTCCTTCTGGCCCATGTCCACCATCACGCCCTGGTGTCCGGGGAACCCAACGGTGGAGGGAAACATGGCTTGGGGAGCATCGTCCCCTGCAAAGCCAGCTTTGCACATGCAAGAGCCATTGTCAATGACGAGCGCAGCGATCTCTTCTTCTACTGCGATGGACAGAGGAGTGGGACAGAGGAGCGGCAGAAGAACAAGGTAGGCGAGCTGGCAGTGGCGACTGAGAGCCAGAGTTTGATTCTTGTTTGTTGTGGGGTAGTTTTATGGGGTATTAATCTTTTTTGTAGTTGCCGATTTTTCTGAACCTGTATATTTATCTCTCTCTCAAATTTTTGAAAGTTGTTATTATTCATTTGAATATGCTGTATATACCTTCCTTTTGCGGAACTCTTTCATGAATATTGCTAAATCTTAGATTTGCTTATTTAAGGTAATTTTGTATATCTGGTAAATGTTCTTTATTCTTTTTGATTGTTTTTCTGTTTTGTTCTTTGTGCATTTCTGAATAACCTATGTTAATTTTCTTTTCTTTTCTTTTTTTCTTTTACTTTTTTGTTTTGTTTTGTTTTGTTTAGACAAAGTCTCTCTGTGTTGCCCAGGCTGGACTTCAATGGCACGACACTGACTCACTGCAACCTCTGCCTCCCAGGTTTGGGTGATTCTCCTCTCTTAGCCTCCTGAATAGCTGGGATTACAGGTGTGCACCACTATGCCCAGGTAATTTTTTGTATTCTTAGTAGAGACAGGGTTTCACCATGATGCCCAGACTGGTCTTAAACTGCCAAACTCAAGTGATCAACCCATCGCAGCCTCCCAAAGTGCTGTGATTACAGGCCTGAGCCTGCACACCTGTTCCTGATAACTCATTTTAGAGCTCACTGATTGTTTATTCTGTTTGATATATTCTTCTATTGAAAGCCTTCTTAATTTTCCACTTTAACCAGTATATTTCTCAGTTCCAGGACTTTTTTTATTGTTAAATAATTTCAGTACATTTTTTAAAGTTTCTTTCAGAAGCGTTATCAGTTCCTTTTCTGTGTTGTTTTAGAGATCTGAATTTCCTGAAAGCTGATATTTTGAATTTTTGATCCAATAATCACTGATAGCCATCTCATTAATTAGCATTGGTCAATGGTTTATGCTTTGTCCATTAAGGGAGGTTATAATTTCCTGTTTGGTATTATTGCTCGTGGTTATACATCTGTATCTTTTTATTGAAGGACTAGTTATTTAGTTTATTGTTTTCTCTGTCTTATTTTACATTTTGTTGTATATAATTGCTTTGAGTTTTCTTTAAGACATAAGTATTGTGGGGTATTGTTTGCTTGATTTTGGCTAGGTCAGTGCCTCTGTTTTGGCAGTAGATGGTGCCTTAAGCCCAGGTTTATTTCAGCTCTAACAAACAAACTTTGAAACACTGCCAGTCTCCTATCTGAGACATTTTGAAGGGGATATCCTGTGTGGGAAGGCTCTCTATAGGTTTGTGATCAAGGAAATTATGCAATATACCTCCTACCTTATGGTAATGCTGTGCAGGCACTCAGGTTTGGCATCTCCTGTGACTGAGCTATCCAGGCTGGAGATGGTAGTCCTTCTTTCTACTTCATCCCTGGTTTTCCTCAGGTTTTTTTTTCTCTTTTCAGGCACTCACAAGACTTCCTTGGGTAAAGACAGGAATAATTCTCCTGCCAGGGAATCCAAAATGATGGGGAAGCTGGCCATCCACTTTAAACTTTATTTTAGTAAGTGTAGTAACCAAGAGTCAGAGGAGTTTTTTTGTTTGTTTGTTTTGTTCACACTTGGTTGTCAGCAGACTAGGGGACAAGTGTCATGAATATAAAAGGCCAACTTTTTTACCCTCTGCCTGGTTTCTTCACTTCTCTGTCACCCTAGGAGCAGGCTCATTCTCACTTTTGAGCTCTGTGTTATTGATGGTGATAATCTCAGCACTGTATACTCAGTTTTGGTTTTTCTGTGGGTGTTCTTGGGGGGTTAGGGTTGGGGGCAATTGATGGGCAGCTTCCTTTACTTTGCCATATTTTTTACAAAAGTACTCTCCTCTAATTTACACTTTTTCTGCTTCCTTGTGTGTACATTTATGTTACAAATTTTACATTTCTTCTTTTTTATCTCTATCTTTACACATATATATTTCTCAACATTGATTTAGCGCATTTCAGAAGCTTTAGTATGTTTTAGTTTTTCTTTTGTTTGTGAAAATTAATTCCTTGCAGATTCTTCAGTTAACCATAGGTTGTTGAAGAGTGTATTTATTATTTTCCAAACAATATACATTTTTCAGTCTTTAGAAAATGAATCTCAGTCAGGCGTGGTGGTCATGCGTATAATCCGAGCACTTTGAGAGACCGGAGTGGGTGTATCACCTGAGGTCAGTAGTTTGAGACTAGCCTCATCAATACAGTGAAACTGTCTCCACTGAAACTACAAAAATTAGCCTAGCACGGTGGTGTGTGCCTGTAGTCCCAGCTACTCAGGAGTATGAGGCAGGAGAATTGCTTGACCATGAAAGGTTGTGGTGAGTTGAGATCACACCACTGAATTCCAGTCTGGGTGACAGAGTGAGACTCCAACTTATTTATCTATTTTTCTTTAAATAAATAAAGAAAAAAGAAATAAAGAAAAAAAAAGAAAACGGGCCTCTAGTTTTATTCCATTGTGGTTGAAGAAAGCATTATATGTGATTTCAATAATGTTAGATATAATTAGAACTTGCTTTGTGGCCTACCACAGAGTCTATTCTGAAGATAGCACAGAGAATAACACATATACACTTTAGAAGAATGTGTAGTCAGCTTGTGGAGTGTTTTGTATATGTCTGAGAGATTTATTTGGTTTATACTGCTTTTGAAGACCTTTGTTTTCTTATTGAACTTGGATTTGGTCATTTTACACATTGTTGAAAGTGGGGTGTTGAAATCTCCAACTATTATTATTATTGCAGAACTGTGTAGCTCCTCAAATCTATTCATTTTTTGCTTCATATATCCTGAGGATCTTTTATTAGGTATATATGAAAGTGTTACATCTTCTTGATCAATTAAACAATTTTGATATTTGTCTAATAATTCTAACTCTATTTTGGTTACCGTTTGCATTATTTTTTCCCCACTTTTAAAACGTTTAAAAAGTTATTCTGCTAGTCTTTGACATTTAACTGGAGTTTATTTGGACTGAAATTAATTGCTGACAAGAATTTATTTTCCTATTTTTGTTCTTTTGTTCTACAAGTTTTGTTATTGTTGTTGTTATATATCATTCCTCCAAAACTGCTCATCTTTGCATTTGTTTTTCTAGGGTACAATTTAGACTCCTTCATTTCTCTTCAGTATATTTGAACAGTTATTTTCTTATTGGCTATTAATGGTATTATAATTAATATCTTAAATTCATAATAATATAGTGTGAATTACAATAACTTAGTATTGACATTATACAAAAATCATTTTCCCATATTGCTCTCCCTACCTTTCTATGTTTTTTTGTCAAAAATTGTTTTTTATACAATATGTACTAACAACCCAGATATGTAATTATTGTTTTATTCTTTGTCATTTCTTTATTTTATTATTGAATTTTATTTTACTTCATTTGAGACAGGGTTTCAGTCACATAGGCTAAATATGGTTCACTACAGCCTCGAGCTCCTGGGCTCAAGGGATCCGTCCACCTCAGCCCCTCATGTACCTAGGACAGAAGTGTATGCCACCACAGCTGGATAATTTTGTTCATTTTCTGTAGAGACAGATTCACACTTTGTTGCCTTGACTGGTCTCATACTCCTCAGCTCAAGGAAATCCCGATCCTTGGTTGGGATTACAGTTGTGAGATACTGTATCTTTCCTCTTGTCATTTAAATCTAGTAGAAAAATAAAGTCACAGAAACCCCATATACAATAATATTGGCTTTCCTATTTCTTGGTGTAATTACTTCATTGATGTTCTTTATTTCTTTATTTGCACATGAGGTGCTATTTTACTTTCATTCCTTACATGTTTTCATCATGTTTTGTAAGGCTGATCTAGTAGTAACGTACTCTCTTTAATTCTGTTTGCTTGGAAATGACTTACTTGCTCATAAATTTAAATTTTGGTTTGGACAGATATTGAGTTTATGATTGACTTAATTTTTTTTTATTTCAGCACTTTGAAGATCTCAACACAGTGACTTATTTCCTCCATAATTTTTAATGAGAAATTGGCTGTTAATGTCATGGATGATAACTTGCATGTGATCAGTTACTTCTGTCTTGCTTCTTTTAAAGTTCTCTATTTATTTGTCTTCTGTCAGTTTCAGTGCATGTGTTTCAGTGTGGATATCTTTGATTTTATTCTTCCTGAAGTATTTTTTTTTTCCTTTGGAGATATTTGGATCAGTAGATTTCCATCTATCAACACATTTGTGAAGTTTCAGCCACTGTTCATTCAAATATTCTTTTTTTCCCCTGTATTTCTCTTTTTTCAGTGAAACTCCCATTATGAATATGTTGATATTCTTGATAGAATCCCATGGCAACCTTAGTTTTGTTCATTATTCTTGTTCCTGTTTTTGTTTCATACACTGAATAATATCAAACAATCCATCTTCAAGTTGCCTCATTACGCTTTTTGCATGCTCACACAAGCTATTCAATCTTTCTAGTTACAGATTATTGATTTCATTTTTTAAATAATGTGTATGTCTTTATTGGTATTTTCAATTTTGAATCACTGTTCTACTGGGTTCCCTTAGGTCTTTGAGAACAGACCTTTGAAGGTCTCAATTCTCTTCTTTTTGAAGAGAATTGAAATATTTCCCTAGTTAGTACCATGCCTGGGCTTTCTGAAATAGCTTCTTTTAATTATGTTTTCTCTGAATGTGCTTTTTTTGCATTTATCTTTGAATGCCTTTTATTTTATTGTTGAATGCTGAACACTTTGCATATTATTCAGCATACTCAGATAACAAATTCTTGACCTCCACAATTGCTTAGCTTGTGGGTTGTGTACTTGTTTAACAACTCCTTACAGCTAGTTTTGTAGTCTGTATTCTTTGTCATGTGTGGCCACTTAACCTGTGTTCTGTCATCCTTTTGGTCATCTACTATCTTTGACACATTAAAAAAAATCATAGGAAAGAAAAGAAAAAAAGGAAAAGAAAGAAAAGAAAAACTATTCAGAATTTGCATATAGACTTTTCAGGAACTCTAGTGTTTAGTCAAAAGTCAGGGAAAAGTGAAAAGTTTTGGGGTCTTCGCCATGCATGCATCCAAAAGTGGACATATTTATATCCTTCTAAATATACCAGTAGGAGTCTGGGTGTGGTGGTTCATATCTGTAATCCCACCAATTTGGAAGGCTTGGAGAACAAATCACTTGAGCCCAGAAGTACGAGACCAGCCTTGACAACATGGAAAGACTCTTCTGTATAAAAAAATACAAAAATAAGCTAGTTTTGGAGGCCCATGCCTGTACTGTGAAATGCTGAGCGGGGAGGATTGGTGGAGTCCAGAGAGGTGAGATGCTCAGGAGGCTGAGGTGGCAAGATCATTTGAACCCAAGGAGGTTGCCGCTGCAGTAGGCCATGATCCTGCCACAGGACTCCACTGTGGGCCACAGGGCAAGTTCTGTCTCTATTTAAAACCCAATCCAATATAAACAGCAACGAACTGTGAGAATTTTTCAAAGCTGATTTTCCACATCACTTTTCTTCACCAGCCACTTCTTTCCAGGCATTTTGTTTGTGTACTACTTGACCTGACTCTTATTCCTTGCTATAGGTGGCTCTGACTAGTATATTTCCTTTCCGCAAATGCCTCCTGGGAGTCAACTTCTGCACCCAAGAAAGCTCTGAGGTGGGCTAAAGAAAAGACTCTGAACTGAAAATCTCCAAGGGAACCTCAGACATTTTAAATCACACAACCGCAATTATTTGAAATAAGTTCTGTATTTCCACACATGCATCAAAATCTGCATCTAGAATTTAATCTTATTCACGGTTTCCATGAAGCCATGGAGTGGGTGATGATGGGAAGTTAAAATGCCACATACTGTCTTGCCCAAACTTAGAGGTCAGGTCTTTCTTCATTAAACGCACCCTTGAGTGACGTTATTAGATTCCAGAGCTCCAAAAATCAAGTCTGAGGTTGTTGTCTCTTCCTTATATCTCTTCACTTTTAACCCAATTAACTTTAATTACAGCGTAAAATAGAAAGTTGATTAAATCTACCTTGCTTTTTAATGTTCGGAGAGGTATTTTTTGAGATGGAGTCTCACTCTCTCACCCAGGCCAGAGTGCAGTGGTGCGATCTTGGCTCCCTGCAGCCTCTGCCTTCCAGGTTCAAGGGATTCTCTTGTCTCAGCTTCCTGAGTAGCTGGGATTACAGGCATGCACCCCCATGCCTAGCTAATGTTCTTATTTTTAGTAGAGAGGGCGTTTCACCATGATGGCCAGGCTTGTCTCAAACTCTTGACCTCAAGTCATCCACCTGCCTCAGCCTCCCAAAGTGCTGGGATTACAGTCATGAGCCATCGTGTCCAGACTGTTTTGTAAGATTTTATTTGACACTGCTTCCATCATTATCATGAAAGCCATTCTGTCTTTCATGTAATAAGTAATAGTTAAGAAATACATGTTTTTGTTAGCAACTTATAAGTGATATGACTTTATTGTTTTCCAAATTATTAAGAGTTCAGTTTTCATTTCACCATAGCATGGTAGTTGTTACAAAAAATTAAGTTCCATCTTGGGTCAGTTTAATCTCACAGTCTCTAACTAAAGTATTTGAGCGTAAAAATTAACTCTCTAAATAGACTACGTAATGTGCAGCTCATGTATTATTATTACATTAGTGGTGTTTTATATAATTAAATGTAAGGATGGTATTTTAGGACATTATCATACTCATCTTGTAGAGTCATACCCTCCTAAGAAGACAGAGTTACACTAGGTAGTTGTAGGCATATCACCATAGAGTTCAAAAGACACTCCTCAGATTTCACTAGGAAATGAGAAGTGAAATGTTACGACTGTTCTGGAAATATGGCCCTAACCAGTAAGGAGAAAGCTTGTGACCTCTACAATAAAAGGAATGATAAATAATAAATTACTTGAGATTTTTCCATGTTTGTTTCCTGTATTGAGTTTTGAATAATAAAAAATGTAAATAATAACTGTAATAATACATTTAAGTAATAAAAACGTTTAAGTAAATTTTAACTATTAAACATTTATATTTATTTATATGAATTAAATGGTCAATGTACATTTCTTTATTCATATAACTTCAACAGGCTCTCAAGTATAGAGAAGAATATGTCAAGTTCACACCTCTAAATGTCTTACAGCTAGGATGGATACAAATGGAAGGAGTGAGTGAAAAAATAACATAAGCTTATCTGCAAATCAACTAAAATATTGTTTCATAAATACTATGTAGACTAAGTATTCAAAAACAATACTGAAATTACAAAGTTGTATTATTTATTATAATATTAAACACTTAGAGAGAGGTTATTATATCTCAGAATTTTAGCTTAAAATGGTGGATATAATAGTAAATAACACTGAAATGGCTCCTCACTTCATAAAGTAACAGTTAATAGTAAAGCAGAAAGGATCAAGAATAGAAAGGAAAAGACAAGAGATGTGTTTTATTCATTGAAAAGTAGAATAATTCTAGACCCTCAATGAAAAATGAATTGAACAAGGTAACACAGAAGAAGGAAGTAAATTAAGATGTTGATACTATCATTTAGGGAACAATAAATGATGACCTCACCTTTAATGCATAAACAGCAACAAGAAAAAAAAAACATTTGTAGGTGGTAGATAATAAAAAAGTTGTTATAGATAAAATATGAAAGAGACGAGGGAAAATAATTGGACGTGGAATATCCCCAGTTTTTATGTTATACAGGTGATGTAGTTTTGGACAAAAAATGATGGAAGAGAGAGGCATGTAGAAAGTGTAAAGAAGTTCAGGGGAAGTTTTAAATTTAGCTCTCTTAATCTTGGGTCACTCATCAGAAAAAGGAAAGCACAATGTTAGAAATTCAGAGATCATATCACTGGTTGAATTCCGATCATATCACTGGTTGAATTCCTTAGTACTACAGGTTTAAAACTTAAGAGGCTTTTGTCTCAAAACAACATCAACAAAAAGCCAGGTGTGGTAGTGTGCATCTGTAGTCTCAGCTACTGAGGAGACCAATGCAGGAAAATTGCTTAAGCCCAGCAATTTGAGGCTGTAGTCAGTCAAGGTCTCACTACTGCACTGCAGACTGCGTTACAGAACACTTTCTTAAAAAAAAGAAAGGAAAGAAAAGAAAAAGGGAAGGGAAAAGGGAAAGGAGAAAGGGAAGGAGAAAGAGGTATTCTGTGTAGTTATATTAGTGGTCTAACAAACAGACATCTACGAGATAAAATGAAACAAAACACACTGACAATTAAATAGAGAAATCAGACGAAAGTTGAGTCATGTAATCCAAAGCAAAATAGTATTTCAAGAATGAGGGTGTGAATCAGTTTTACAGATACACACGACTGTTTGAGTAATACGCAATAGACAAGTGATATATGGGATTTAGTGACAAGTATAAGATATGATTCCAAAAACAGGGTAAATGCCTGAAGAAAGGAGAGTTAAGAAAAATAAAATTAAACCTTGTCACAGGCAACTCTTTCCATGAGTCTTCCTATCATAGAAAATAAATAAATGAGTTGACAGTGGCATATCTAGAACTAAGACAAGCAGCATGTAGATCTAGTAAAGAAAATGATCAAATGGGGTGTGGCATCTTACACCTGTAATTGCAGCACTTTGGGAGGCTGAGGTGGGGGATCATTTGAGGTCAGTTTGAGACCAGCCTTGGCAACACGGTGAAACCCCATCACAATTATAAGTTCTAAAACTAGCCAAGCGTGGTAGTGCATACCTGTAATATCAGATACTCAGGAGGCTGAGGCAGGAGAATCAATCACCTGAATCCAAGAGGCCAAGGTTGCACTGAGTCAAGATTGTGCCAGAGACTCTCTCTCAAAAAAATTAAACTAAACTAAAATAAAAAGAAATGATCCTGCAGGTAGAGCAAAGAAGTAATGGTACAAGGAGACAACAAATAATAAGCAAATCAGTGTTTTAAGAAGCTGGGAAATCCAAAGCAAAGGCGAAGAGGGTCATAACAAGGAGCAGTAAAAAATATACACAAATCTACACAAGTTTTATTTTTGGTGGTGATTTCTCAGGAAAAAGAAACACAAAAGAAAGTGTGAATAAGAAAGTTGTCACCATTGCCTTGGTAGAAAAAAATGGAGAAAAACCACCACCAACAAAATAATGTAAATTATACAATGTTAAGATCTAGTGTTCTTCATCCCTTCCCATGGTGTTTGTTTCCTCAAGAAATAACAGAAGCCAAATATTCAAAATAGAAGGAAACATTAGCATATATTACTGTCTACATATATTAAGTCAAGTTTGTTTTAACTGCAATTCATTCTTTTAAAATTTGTATTTTAAATTAACAAATATAAATATTTATGGGACACAAAGTGATTTTATAATTCATGTATATATTGCAAAAGAATTATATTGGGCTAGTTACCATATCCATTACCTCACATACATACCATTTCTTTCTTTGTGGTAAGAATATATAAATTCTACATTTTAAACAATCCTTATTTTTGAGATAGAGTTTTGCTCCTGTTGCCCAGACTTGAGTGCACTGGTGCAAACTCAGCTCATTTCAACTGCCACCTCCCGAGTTCAAGTTTTTCTCTTGCCTCAGCCACTCGAGTAGCTGGGGTGAGATGTGCATGCCACCAAACCTGGCTAATTCTTATATTTTCAGTAGAGACAGTGTTTCATCATGTTGGCCAGGCTGGTCTTGAACTCCTGACCTCTACTGATCCTCCCTCCATGGCCACCCAAAGTGCAGGGATTTCAGACATGAGTCACCATGCCTGTCCTTTTTTTTATTAAACAATTTTTAAGTTGACATTTATTAACTGTGATCACCATTCTGTGCAAAGGATCACCAGAACTTCTTCCTGTCTCACTGAAATTTGTTACCCTTTGATGAACACCTCCCCTTTCTCTATCCACGCCCATCACCACCCCACACTCCAATCTCTGACTACTTTTTGTGTGTTTGTAGAAAGAGTCACGGCCTTGCTGCATTGCCCAGGCTGGAGTACAGTGACACAATTATGGCTCACGGTGGCTTCAAACTTCTGACCTCAAGTGATCCAACCACCTCATCCTCCCTTAGTGCTGGAGTGACAGGCATGAGCCACCACATCTGGCATATTCACAGTTTGAATGAGTTCAACTTTTTTAGATTTTACATATAATAGTGATCATTCTATACTTGTCTTTCTGTGCCTCTCTTATTACACTGAGCATAATATCTTCCAATTCCATTCATTTTGTCACAAATAAATAAAAGATCTTCCTCCTTTTTTAAGGCTGTATAGTATATCTCATTGTGTATATGTGCCACACTTTATCTCTTGATGTGCACTTAGGTTGTTACCGTATCTTGGCTGTTATGAATAATGCTGAGATGAATATAGAAGTGCAGATATCTCATTGCCATGCTAATTTTATATCCTTTGAGTACGTATCTGGAAGTAGAGTAGCTGGATTATGTGGTAATTCTTATTTTTAATTTAACTGTATTTTTGAACACTCAATTCTATGACCCCAAAAGCACAGACTAGAAAAGCACAACAAAAAACAATTGGATCACATTACATCAAACTAAAATGTTTCTGTACCACAGAGGGAAAAGGGTGAAAAGCAAATGTTCACTGATAGTGTATATGCTATATTACAAGCACTTATTAAATTAAAGGTATAGGTTCCAAAATGTACTAGGTGAAAAATGTATTATGGTTATTTTTTCTGCTTAGTTTTTGTAGCCAGATGGATTTTTCATTTTGTTTTGTTTAATAAGCTGTACAATTATATTTAAGAAAACAAAAATTATTAATGCATAGTCACATTAGAAAAATCAATTTTATTAGAAACTACTTCCAAGGTTTTGTTGTTTATATTTTTTATGAGTATCTTTATAAAGTCACACTCAGCCTCTTTACTCTTTGTTCTGTGAAAGTATATATGGATATTGCATACTCACTTATTGAAAATATCCTACCCTTCTCCATGAGTGATAGTAATTCCTCAGCTGCTTACTTTTATTCTTTTAACTGAATTTTCTCCAGATGCTTACACAATATCACAGTGCTTCTGGATGATTTTCAGTATCTCCTGGCAATACTTTGCCCGACCACCTTGGTTGCAAATACTGACAGAAGCGGAGCTTAAAGCCAAAGGCTAATATGTAGGTTTTGATGAACTACACGGCAATTATTGAGTCACAACACTTCGGTAAAACGTTCCCTCCAAAGAAACTAAATATCAATATTATTATCACATTTTCTAAAAACTGAAATCTGTAGTGTAGGATTGTATGTCCCACCTCGTGTCTCTTATCAATTCCTCATTTGACAGCTGCAGTTTCACTGCTGACAAGCAGGAGAATTGATGGCAGCATATACTAGCATGATTAAGATAAGCATCCATACTTACCCACCATGCTGGAATTATTTTTTGTGTTGCTAGGA